>NC_000007.14:42058423-42361454 GCF_000001405.40 Homo sapiens | reverse complement strand
GATTAATGTCTCTCTGTGCCAGCTTTGTAGGATGAGATGAACCCTAAAGGACTGCTGTAAAGATGAAATAAAATCATTTTTCTGAAATCATGCTGTAAATGCTAAGGTATAAGCAAGTAGAAAATGTTATTAAGTATTTTTTTACAAATTTTTTTTATTTTTTAATTTTTATCCATTTATTTATTTATTTATTTAGAGGCTGGGTTATGAGACTTGCTATGGGGAGATATGTAAGCAGGGTACCTCTTTTTTTATTTTTATTATTACACTTTAAGTTCTAGCGTACATGTGCACAACGTGCAGGTTTGTTACATACGTATACATGTGCTATGTTGGTTTGCTGCACCCATCAACTCTTCATTTACATTAGGTATTTCTCCTAATGCTATCTCTCCTGATAGGCCCTGGTGTGATGTTCCCCTCCCTGTGTCCATGTGTTCTCATTGTTCAATTCCCACTTATAAGTGAGAACATACGGTGTTTACTTTTCTCTTGTGTTACTTTGCTGAGAATGATGGTTTCCAGTTTCATCCATGTCCCTGCAAAGGACATGAACTCATCCTTTTTTATGGCTGCATAGTATTCCATGGTGTATATGTGCCACATTTTCTTTATCCAGTCTATCATTGATGAGCATTTGGGTTGGTCCAAGACTTTGCTATTGTGAATAGTGCTGCAATAAACATACGTGTGCATGTGTCCTTATAGTAGAATGATTTATAATCCTTTGGGTATATAACCAGTAATAGGATTGCTGGGTCAAATGGTATTTCTAGTTCTAGATCCTTGAGGAATCACCACACTGTCTTCCACAATGGTTGAACTAATTTACTCTCCCACCAACAGTGTAAAGTATTATTTATTTTAATCATAAAAGAAATATTAAGCCAAATAAGAGGATAAACATTCAAAAAATGAATCATTCTTTTAACTACTCAAGTTATTATGAGTTGTGAAAGATTACCAACTGAACCTATTTATGAAGTGTATTTTGGAGAAATAATGGCCCCTTATCCTGTGTGAGTGCATAAGTATTAGAAAATATTCTGTCTATGTGTACATTGTATTTGTAGAAATGGAAATCTGATTAGTTAGTCTGTAGCCCCAGAATAATAGTTGCCTTCTACTTACCCATTCCAAAGTAAAGGGCTGATCATCTAAGCATCACCATAGAGCTGGAAAGGAAGTGGCCAATAACTAACTTTGTGACCATTTGCTCAACAGCCTCCTGATGCTTGTAAAAGTCTGAGGTTGGAAATTCTAGAGAATATTACTGTACAGAGACTTGTCAGAAGTGCTGTGATTTATGCTCCTCCTGTGGGGCAAGATGCTTCCCCTAACCTCAAGCCTAGTGAGAGAAGCTGAAAGAAAACCCGTGGAGAGAGCTCAGGGCTTCCTCCAGCAGCCTTGGGCAATAGAGGGCTATGGTTGGTAAATAACTAAACTCCAACCTACAAAGAGTAAAATGCACATGTTTCCTATGGACCAGATGTGTGCCAGGAGTATGTGAGGGAAAGAGCCAGCCTGGCATCTTTGTAAAGGATGAACCCAAGTGGGTCACAGGGGAGGTAATGGGACTTCAACAGAGAAGGTCTGAGTGGGTGGGGTCAGCAGAGAACCAGGAGGCAAAAGGAAGGGTATAGGAAGCCATTTGGGTATGAATGGCCCATGCCAGGGAACTCATTTCTATGAGACCTCTTGGAAGCACCCACATGTCACCTCTTAGGGAAAAGAGCCACTTGAAACATGTCCAGAAGCCAACACCAGGTTGGTGCCACCGGAATACGACTGGAATCGCTCATGGCATCTAAGGACAGGAAGCATAGCAGAACCCATTGGAGGGTTGATTTAGAAATGAGAACCATGGGCAAGCTAGGTGATCAGGCAGGTCTCTCTCCTCACTCCCTCTCCCTTTCTTTGGCATTCTACTTGCCTGCTGGCCCCACCCCCCACCCACACTCTCTCTCTAGCTTCTGGGGATACTTTTGAATATATTTGCACCTTGGCTTTTATTCTTTTCTTTCTCCTCAGTTTCCACTATGAATGGTGTGAAGGCTCAAACACAGCTCCTATGTATATATTTTCTTATTTCTTGAGAGAACCTCAAACTGACCAGCACATAAAAGGTCCCAGTCCAAATACCTGAGAGAGAGATTTTGATCAGCCCAGAGTCAGATGTCTACCCAGTTTCACTCAACCAGTGCCAGTGTTATAGATTATATTATACAAATATGGCTGCCAAGGACTCACTCAGACAGGTGTGAGAGCATTCTTAGGCAAAGGGGCATGGCCTGAGAAGGTATCCCAAGCGTTGTCTACCATATATATACTCCAAAACACTGAAGGACATAAATGCAAATAAAACATAGTTCATGTAGCAAAACACAAAACAAGGAAACCAAAATGTAAATAGCAAAAAAAAAAAAAAAAAAATAGAAACCAGACCAAACTTACCAAATATGTCACTGATCATAAGTGGTCTAGATTACTTACTAAAGGATAAATGCTCTTGGGTGAATCTATAGAGAAATAAAATAAAACCCAACACTGTACCTACAACAAGTAAACAAGCCAAAAATAGAGTCAAGCACTTATACAAGACAAATAGTAATATAAACATCTGAGGTCAAGATAATTCCAGACAATGTATAATTTATGTTACAGGTAGTAATGAGACACAGGGGTCATTTTATATTGGCAGAAGTACAATATATTCATCATAAAGGTTTATGTGACAAATAATCTTATGTCGAAGTATTAAAATTAAAAATGGAAATAAAAAAATGACAAAAACGCAGTTGTAGAACAAATGAACATATCTCTCAGCCTTTGTCAAGGAAGTAGGCAAATATTTTAAAATATTAATTTTATTAACATAAGGGGTTTGGATCATAATCCTAAAAGACACAATCCAGAATGTTGAAATCCTGAAAGATGAAAATCCCTAAAGTCTAAAATCCCTAACAGCTAAAATCCCCAAAATCATAATCACAGGATAGTTGCATCATGTTGGGTGGAACTATCACCTCATTATTTTCTTCATGCAGAAGAAAATGGATTTCAATGGAATCCCCAAACCATAATGACAGATTTGGAATTAGGTGTGATCAAGGCTTCTAAAAGTAAACGTCAAGGTGTTACCTATAAAGTTGGTTTTTTTCCATTCACTCCAACGCATTCGGCAGAAAATTCAAATGAGTAGATTGGCCATGCCATATGACAACAACAAAAACTTCAGTTTAAAAATGTGTCATTTGCCTCATTGCATTCCTTCCAGCTGATGACATTCCAGGAGCTTTTAATGAATTAAAGCTGTGTTTACCTGAAAAAGCCAGCGAAGTTACTGAGTGATTCAAAATAATTATGTGCATGGTAAGATAAGAAGACACGCAACATTGTTGCTGTACTATCACCTGTATTGTTTCTGGTCTACAATGAGTGTACCCAGAAGGAATGGATTCACTGGCTTTGGCTTCTGGACATGTTTCAAGTGGCTCTTTTCCCTGAGAGGTGACATGTGGATGCTTCCAAGAGGTCTCACAGAAATGAGTTCCCTGACATGGGTATGGGACGTGCATCTTCAAATGGCTTCTTACACCCTTCTTTTTGCCTCCTAGTTCTCTGCTGACCCCACCCACTCAGACCTTCTCTGTTGAAGTCCCATTACCTTTCCTGATGAATGGATTCCCACATACCTGAGACAACATAGAAGCATGGCATACAAAATGGGAAAACGTACTAGAAAATGCTCATGTTGGTGTATGTTGAATCACAGAACAATTTTAAAAAGGAGGCCGGGCACGGTGGCTCACGCCTGTAATCCCAGCACTTTGGGAGGCCAAGGTGGGCAGATCACGAGGTCAGGAGATTGAAGCCATCCTGGCTAACACGATGAAACCCCGTTTCTACTAAAAATACAAAAAATTAGCCGGGTGTGGTGGCAGGCGCCTGTAGTCCCAGCTACTCGGGAGGCTGAGGCAGGAGAATGGCGTGAACTCGGGGGGTGGAGCTTGCAGTGAGCCGAGATAGCGCCATTGCACTCCAGCCTGGGTGACAGAGCAAGACTCTCTCAAAAAAAAAAAAAAAAAAAAAAAAAAGGAGCAGCACTACATAGAAAATGTGAACATATTCTCCCAGGAAAGTCATGTCCTAAAAGAAAAAAAGCCCCTATTCCTCATGATACCAGACTTCAAAATATGCAAGTTAATGATAGTGAAAGTCTTATGACTTTCTTATGAAGAAAGATAGTTCCTATGAGGAAGATAGTCCTTTTGAACTATCTCTATGCCCATTATCTATCCCTTTAATACACTTTTTCATATGCAGGATTTTCTATTTAGTTTTTGGTTTTTTTTTTCTTTATCTTTTTTTAGTTTTTTTTTTTTTTTTTTTTTTTTTGCTATTTTAAACTGTCAGCATTTTCTTTTACAATTCGCTATGCTGTATATTTCATCTCATCATTTCCAATACTTGAGGTATAAATTGTGTAAAGACTTTGAGAAAGTTCCAATTGACTTTATGCAAATGTGACTCTATGGAAGTGCATTATCACAACATTGACTTTGTGAGTAAGCACTGTGTGTATATGTAAAAGTGTTGAAACTTTCTCAATAAATGAAGAGATGTCCTTTATGTACATCTGCAGTTGTGAAAGATGAAATTTCTCGAGATCTCAAGTCTTTGAGCAATTGGTGTGGTGGTGACCTATCAGGTTTTTGTTCAATTTTGTGTAAAGATTTGGGTTGTTCATCACAGTATTTCAAATGACTGCATTATCAATCTGGGTGCACAGAATTACCAACCATAGTGATATGCATTTATACATTTTGCTCTTCAACCTATTTCTTTATTATAAATAGGGTTCATTCGCTCATAGCTGTTTTATCTGTTAGTATATCTGAGTGTCGATGCCTGCAAAAATATGTATGGTTTTAGGCCGGGCGCGGTGGCTCACGCCTGTAATCCCAGCACTTTGGGAGGCCGAGGCGGGCGGATCATGAGGTCAGGAGATCCAGACCATCCTGGCTAACACAGTGAAACCCCGTCTCTACTAAAAAATACAAAAAATTAGCTGGGGCGTGGTGGCGGGCACCTGTAGTCTGCGCTACTCGGGAGGCTGAGGCAGGAGAATGGCCTGAACCTGGGAGGCGGAGCTTGCAGTGAGCGGAAATCGCGCCACTGCACTGCAGCCTGGGCGACAGAGTGAGACTCCATCTCAAAAAAAAAAAATGTATGTATGGTTTTATTGCCTATGTTATTGTGTAAAGTGCCCCATGAAGTGGTCATTTGTGTTTTTATATGTTTCTCAAAAAAATCCCCTTTTAAAATGTAGATAAACATCTGTTGAAGAGTTAACTTTTTTCCGTAGTTATATATTCAGAATTTTCATCTTTTGAGATTGTGATTTTTGAGATTTAGACTGTAGGGATTTTTGATCTTTTGAGACATCAACACTGAGGGTCATGGCATTCAGGATTGTCTTTTGGGATATGATTGGCTCCCAATGTAATGAATAACAATTATTTAAAATACCTGGTTTTGGCCAGGTGCGGTGTCTCATGCCTGTAATCCCAGCACTTTGAGAGGCCGAGGCGGACACATCACTTGAGGTCAGGAGTTTGAGACCAGACTGGCCAACATGGGGAAACCCTGTCTCTACTAACAATACAGAAAAAAAATTAGCCTGGCATGGTGGCGGATGCCTGTAATCCCAGCTACTCAAGAGGCTGAGGCATGAGAATTGCTTGAACCCAGCAGGCAGAGGTTGCAGTGAGCTGAGACCATGCCATGGCACTTCAGCCTGAGCAACAGAGTGAAACTGTATCTCAAAAAAATAAATAAATAAATAAAATACACATTTTTAACTTTTTACCTTACAAATATAAATCATTATTTTGTTTGCAGTGTTTATTAGTAGCTTTTAGAAAATAATCTTATTTTAAGCCACAAATTGAATCTCAATTTATATGGGAAAAAACAGAATCTCTGCCTTCAATAAAATAAAATTAGAAGTAACAGTAAATGTTTAGATATAGAATTCCACAAGTTAGAAATTTTACAATGGTCTTCTACAAAACTACTGGGTCAAAGAGAAAATAAAAGCTGTATATACTTGTATAAATAATTTGTTCATATTGGCTTTTAAAAATATCAATATCAATTTCTGATGAAGTAAATATTTTAAATCACTAACAGAAAAAAGAGAACATTTATATTAATATGATAATGCTAATATTAACAAAAGCAAAAGCAAAACTCAAAAGGTTAAATATTGGAAGATCGAGAGTTTCTCTGCAGCTAACTGTGGATCCAATTGTGATCACTGCAGACAGAGTTAATAAGTGGAAGAAAGAACAAATTACTCAATATAAAGCCAATTAACATCTCATTCAATCAGAATTGAGACAGGACTTCCACACTAGCCTGGATTTGGTTGTGGTTATTTTCACTGATGCCATTTCCAAAGACATATAAGATACTTAAGGCCCAACAGGATAGATTTTCTATGAGTCAGCCAGGTCAACTATCTCAGACTCATTACATGTGTGCAAAGGCTTGTTTGCTTGTTTTTAATAGAGTTTATTTTTTTTTTTAGCAGTTTTAGGTTCACAGCAAAATGGTGGAAAGTACAGAGATGCCAAGGTCAAATGATGTCATCAGGACATGGGCTGACTCCTGTCTCTCAGCTCTAGTTTTCTCTTTGTTGGTTTCATGGTCAGCCAAGCTCTTCTCACTTGATAGCAAGAATGGCCCCTAGGGTAGCACTAGGCTACCTTATGCCAGTCCTTTCCTCCTGTAATACCCCTTTCAGAGTAAAGTCTTTGTTGAACAGAACCCTTGATGGGCCATTGTGAGTTGGAAGGACAGCCTGGGGCTTGGCCAACAGGGCTAGAAGTGGAGGGATTATATATTTTATTATCCAGACCAGGACACTTTGGAGGGTCAGAGGATCCCTATTAATAATTTCACCAGGATGACAGGCATAAGTTGGTTTGGTTCCCATAAATCTGAGTATCTGATCTCCTTTTGAAGAAATGAAGCCGCTCTGCATTTAAGAGAAAAGGCCTACCACGAGATGGCTAACTTTAAAGTGACTGACTATACATCAAGTGTTGGCGAGGACACAGATGAACTGAAACTCTCAGAAGATTATATAACCACTTTGGAAATGAGGGTTAGGATGAGATTTGAAAGGTGAATAGGAAATGATGCCCTAATGCCCAATTCTTCAATCCTTATCAAGTAATGCTCCATTTACCTAATGAGATTCAGTCAGGCTGCTGACAGTGACCTTGAACATTGGTGCATTGGTCAAGCTGGATGTTGTCCTGAATACAGGTGTGATAAAGCAACATCTCCTATTGGTGTTACCTCAAGAGAGAGTTATCACCCTCTTCCAAAGAAGGCTCGCTCCTGGTGTTCCCAAACTGATGAATCTCCATATTGAAATCATCTAGAGTGAATCCTTCAAATTCATTCTTTCAATATTGTTTTGGACACATTGACTCCTTTGTTTTTCCAAGTAGAATCAGCTTATCAATTTCTACCAAAAAAAAAAAAAGGATGTTGATTGATATTACCTTGAATCTACAGATCAATTTGGGGTAAACTAGCATCTTTACAATATTAAGATTTGCAATCCATTAACATGATATAGCTCCCATTTTATTTAAATCTACTATTGTTTATTTCATGAATGCTTTGTAATTTTGGCATACGTATCTTGCACATATTTCATATAAAGTATTGAGTATTTGAGTTTTAAGAATTTTATGTTTTGTTATATAAATACGGTACTTCAACATTTTTAAATTTTCAATATTTTGATCTTTTGATGTTTGCTGTGTATCCTATCATCTCACTAAATTTACCTACTTTTAGAAGCTTTTTTGTAGATACTTTGGGATTCTCGACATAGGCCATCGTGTAATCTGAAAATAAAGACAAATTTATTTCTTCCTTTCTAACATGTATGCCTTTTTTTTTTTTTTTTACTTTTTCTTTCCCTATTTTGTTGGCTAATAACTCCACTAAAAAGGTTGAATAAGTGTGGTAACAGCAAACAACTTTGCTTTGTTTACAATCTTAAAATAAAAGCATTCATTCATTAATACATAATCAGAAATATCAGCTACAAGCTTGTACTACATGTCTTTCATCAGGTTATAGAAGTTCTTATTCATTCTCAATTTCCTGAGAGTTTTATCATGGCTCTTGAATTCTGCCTTTTATGAATTTATTGAGATGATTATATGTTTTTCTTCCTTACAGTCTGCTAATAATGGTGAATTCTACTTCTTAGTTTTCTAACATTGAACCAATCTTGCATATCAGAGATTGCCAGCCTTTTGCTTAACCTGAAAGTCCTATCCTTTGTTCCCAGGGAGACAGCATTCTTATTAGTTATAAACACATAATCAGTTGTTATTAGTTATGATTAGTTATGACACAGACTTCGAAGTTCATTTATTCATTCCTTCAACAAGTATTTATAGAGACCTGCTATTCTCCTGTATTGGGTAACTAAGGAAATCTATGCTTAGCTTTCTCATAAGACAGTCTTGGCTCTACCAGTTTTTACCTACATGACTTTCAGCAAGTCATGTAACTCATCAATGCCTCATTTTTAAAATCCATCAAACAGAAATAATTTCACTTGCCTTTCCCACAGGGCTCATCCCCTCCCTCATTTCAGTCCTACTTCATGGCTTCCTCTCACAGAAGACTTCCATTATCACCCCATGAAATCATAGCCCTCCCCTGAGCCCCTTACTCCCTGTTCGCCTTAGCCAGGCTTTTTCCATGACACTCAGATATAGTATCAATTCCTAGTTTACCTTTTGAGTCCCTCCAATACAATTTAAGCTCCAAAAGTTCAAAGTTGTCTTCTGCCTTGACCACTAGTTTTGCAAAACCTAGAATTATGGCTGATATGGAGATATGATCAAATCGTATGTTGAATGAAGAATAAACTAAATGAGATTGTACAGGTAAAGCATGTAAACCCTGTCTAGCCCAAGGTAGATGTTCATTCAAATTAAGTCTTAATATAAACACATATTCTTCATTGGACTTTCTCGTACATGTTCCTATCATGACTCATCAGGTCCCAGCAGATGTCTACACTCAAACAGCGTATTTGAGGAGATGAATAAATGGATTCTTTACAAAAGGTAACTTGGGGTGGAGTGGAGTGGGGTTAAGGGAAGATGATGCCCCTGGGACTAACAACACTAGGGAGCACTTGTCCTGTTGGTCTAAGGGGTAAGGAGAGGTTTCTCTGCATGTAGGTAATGCAGAAGTGGCTGTAGCTGGAGGAGAAGGTTCTTTCACAGGCACTGCAGCTTTGGTGGAGGAACGCTGCACAGAGGAAATGAGTACCCCGATACCATTGTTCTCTAACCGTTGGCTGATCCCAGAAGCCAGAGGGCAGGGGAATCCCAGGGAGGCACCCCACAAAACTCAGCCTCTCAAGGAACAGAGCAGAGTGGAAGATAGGAGAACATGGAAATGGTCTAGCTCCCGTAACACACAAACCAAAAGCATAAGGTCAAATTCTCAACATGCAGGAAACTTTACAAAGTGCTACCCTTCTAAGCCACCTCCCAGAACCATCTTTTTATTCAGTCCTTTCCCTTCCTGATCTACAAGCATCAGAAGGGTTGCCTGGCTGCTGGAATGTATGCCTTGGGTGAAAGTGCCTTATACCTCTAAGATTCTGTGAAGAGCACACTCATGTGGAGTGGGGTAGTGCTCCTGGGCAATTTCCTGATTCAGTTCTCCTGATCTGCATCTCTTGCCATGCAAAATAAAAGAGAGCTGTTAGCCCAGCAGCCTCCTGTGTTCACGCTGCGGTACAGTATGTCTGTGCATTGTTAAGCAGCTGCCACAGTTTCCCCCAGAGGTTGCTACATTTCAGAGCTGGATGAGGTAATGGGGATATTTAGCCCAAGTTAAGCTTATAAAAGTGCTTTGGGAATCTTTGGAATGAAAAGAACCATGCATACCCAAAGAGTTTGTTATTAATTACACGATGTATGCCTAGAGTTGGAAAAAGATCTCCGTTTGGGTGTCTCCCACTATTAAAAATTACTACCTCTTTGCATGGACAAGATTAATCTGAGAACTGAAATGCAGTAAAATAAACTTCAGGCAATGATTAATAGTGGAAAAACTTCAGATCATTTCCCTACCTATAAGATGGGAATACTGATTATTATTACATCATCAAGACTAGGGGAGGGTATAATGGCAATAATGTGTATGAATCAATTTATAAGAAGTCCTTTTGAGGTGTCAGATAATCTTCTTGGAATGGTAGCTTGATTGTTACAAGGGTTCTTGAAACGCAAGGCTAGTCACAGAGCCATCCCTGTGCAAACTAAATGCAACTTCTCCCCCTGTCTGGGCTATATCTTGGAATACAGCCAGGCATGACTCAATTAATTGAGTAGACTGAGGAACTTGAAGAGAGTGGGACTGAGGAGGGGCCAAGACCTTAAAACCAGCCCTTCCCTCCTGGGGTGGGACAGGTGGTAGGCAGCTTGACCCAGCTGCTGATGCTTGGAGGAAGTCCAGGCCAACAGGCAGAGTTTAATAGCCAAGAGAGATGCAAGAGAACAGGCCAATAGTCAATTTCAGACGGTCTAACAAGAAGTGTCCTCATGGGGTAGAACAACAGAAGAAAAAAAACTTAGGAATGGCAGATACATGGATGTCCAAGCAGGCAAGAGCCACCATCGATATCCTTCAGCAAGGACTGTGGCTATCATCATGGGACTCAAGCTCAGATTTTTACTCTACAGAAGGAAGATTAGCACTTGCCAGCCAGGGACTGGGATAAGAGGCAAAAAGTCGATTGGAAGAGACATGGTTCAGCAAACGGGCCCAAGCCAGAGGTAATTCATGATTCCAGAATTTCTATATAAAGAATATTTGGAGAAGGCAGTATGGGTGGCAGGGCAAGAATGAAACCACGCTGACACAGAACTTTGCCTATGGTTGACAAGATAGCAGTTTTTTTTATGTAAAAGAATGCAGTAGTTATGGAAGAAAACGGACTAACACCCTTCTCACATACACGCAAACACACACACTCAGGCAACCTCCACACACCACTAATATTGGCCCCAAACTAGCCATCAGAATTAAAGTCCAAAATTAGAGCAGACAAGCAGGCAGCAAGATTGTGGTCAATATCTCAGCCTAGTCAGCTCAACCAAGCTCCAGGTGGTGCCTAAAAGGCCCATCCTAATGCATATGCTCCTTGACTTATTTTGGGGTTATGTTATGATAACCCATCATACATTGAAAATAACCTACTGAACATCATAGCTTAGCCTAGCCTACCTTAAATGTACTCAGAGTACTTACATTAGCTTACAGTTGGGTAAAATCACCTAAAGCGAAGCCTATTTTATAATAAAGTGTTGACTATCATGTAATTTATTAAATACTAAAGGTCAAAAATAGAATGGTTGTGCAGGTTCTTAAAGGACAGTTTCTACTGAATGCATATTGCTTTTGCACCATTGTAAAGTCAAATCATTATAAGTTGAACCATTGTAAGTCTGGGACCATCTGCACACTCTTTGTATTTCTGAAGTTCACTCTTGAAAGGCCCTTTTCATTCACATACACAATACAAATGAAAGTCTTGTCGAATTATCATCTTTCCAGCATGTTCTGAGGCACAGTGCCATGAACACGGTAAGTGATCAATAAATATCTGAAATTACATACTTGAACAGAATAATGCATTCAAGGCTCTTCACATCCAGTATACCCCATCAACCTTCTCCCTTTATCACTTTCCCCAGTAATCAATGCCAAATGGCTTTTTGGCCTGAGGATGTTTCTTGAACCCCATTCAGTCTAACGTTGTTGGTTTGGAGTTTTTGGGTTTTCTTTTTCCAGAGTGCCTAGCAAAACATTTCTGACCTCAGTGTCTCTTTTCACAGGTTGAATCAGTTATCTGCACAAGCATTTTGGCCGAGGGTTCAAACGCTGAGCCTCAAGAAGTTAGAAAACACCAGCTCCTGTTTTTGAGCTGGTCTAATGTTACAGTGTACATTGGCATGTTTATCTCCTGCAGAATTTTACTGAGCTCCCATAAGACACTTCCAGGACATTCCTAAATCATGGACTGTGCCCGTGCACCAAGATTACCTGTAGAGCTGGAGATAAATATAGGTGTCTCACATTTGGAGACTTGATTCTGTAGACCTGAGGTTGTGTCTGAGCACTGTAAAGTGATTCTTATGAACCAGAGGTAGGAACGCAGTCAAATTCCAGGTGACAGCCATGTAGAAATGAAGATTCCTGAAAGCTCCAACAAACTGTATTTGTTCCGATAAAACAAAGAAGAGAATCCAAATCCAGAGAACATGTCCCTCCCATGGTATTATGTTCCATATGCAAAATTGTGTAGCCCTTCACACCATTGCATGTTCTCAGAGATTTTCCCTCTCAGTGTTTGAAATCCCAGTGACTGGGATGTGATTAATATCCATTGCCGGCTTGGCAGAGGCCCTCCTTAACAGCAGCCCTAAACAAGAAGGCTCTGGCCCCGTGTTGTGTGCAATTTCAGGGATCTATCCTGAGTGTCAACTAAATTCATCTTGACCTCAGAACAGATGTTTCCACTTAATTTTTCAGAACCATAGATGGTAATCAACTTACAGCAAGTCTTTGACCCAAATACAGCCACCTGGCTTTCCAAAGCAAACCCAGGAGCATTTTAGCAAATCTCTGGGCAGAAAACTGAGAAAAGCGAGAAATGGAATGCTTTGTAAATGCCAGTTATTATAGGTGCACAGAAAGAAAACTTGATTTAGATCAGAAAGATTAAAAGATACAGTCTGTAATCAAGGACCTTAGAGGCCAAACAGGATTTGCACATCAGGATCCCCTCAGGAGATAAAGTTCAGACACTCGGAGATAGTGTTCCTCAGATTTTAATATGCATACAAACCACGTGCAGCCTCCTAAAAATACAGATTCTAATTCAGTGGGGGGCCTGAGACTCTGCATTTCTAAAAGTGTCCCAGATAACCCTGATGCTGCAGGTCCAAAGGCCATGTTTTTGGGTAGCAAGATCCTGTACTGCTGTGGGCCTCTGAGCTGAGCTCCGTAGATGAATTATCAGCTCTGGTCAGGGCAGGGCTGCACCAGAAGCCATAAGGACTTTAAGGCACAAGAGAAACTTGACCCTCATCAGGTCATCCAGGGGACACTGACCTCTTATCTATTGAGATGTGAAGTAATTTTATATCCTGTCTCCCTCTCTTTCTGATGAGACCCCTAGACAACTTCTCTTGTAGACTCTGGGGTGTTTTGCAATTGTGATTAAGTGAAGGTGATGCTGAGATGATTCCAAGTGAGGAATAAAAATGATGTCTGTTTCTTATGCAATGTTTAATTCACAGTCTCTCAATTGGTTTGTGGGGGTTGAGGAAGCAGAGTTTGGAATCAGCAACATAGTCACTGTCACGCTTTTTACATTCAAATAAAATTAGATTTTAGTGGGAACTGGGTGAGTATTCAGCTCCGTGTCTCTGCCATATTCTGTACTCAGATCTGCTTGTGACAAAGGGTGTGTGTTTTCAAGGGGGCTGCCTCAGGTTAGGACAGCTGCCTGTGCTCACAAGCCCAGACAGGGCTTAAACCCATGACTGGGGTGCATGAGATCAGCGACGGTAAAGCAGAGCCATTGAATAGAAGTGACTGACAGGGAGAGACAACTTGGTTGAAGCAGGGCCTCAGATCCCTGGGCTGAAAACCTGGTGTTTAACACTACCAAAATATGACACACAACTGCTCAACCCATTTCTGAAAGTGTGGAACCGTGGCAGTGGCGTTTATGAGCCTACCTGGGCCTTTCCCTCCTCCTGCTGTGATAATACACAGACTGTGTTATCCCCCTGACCATGGTATTTTTAAAAAACAGTCAACATTTAATACATATTTGTTCAGCAGCTTTTTCACTGTCATCATAAAGAGGAAAAATGATTCTTTCCCAAAAACCTCACTAGGATTTATAAATGGAATCTGTGATTTATCAGAATCAAGCTGGTAGAACAGACCACGTGGCCCATCCCCCCTGGTATGGGCATGACTAATACTTAAACACCCCAGATTATTAAGACTTTTTAGGATATTTTTAATAAGCATTAGAGAAAAGAATTCTCTAACCTTCTTAAAGAATATCCCTTAAAGTTAAAAGCATTCACAGTAAGGAAATTCTTCTGCCACCTGACTGCATTTCTTTGTACTAAGAGCTTAAAAAGAAAAAAGGAAACAAAAGGTCGCAATCCAGCTGCCATGAATCCCACTTCCAGCATCACACCTGTTAGTGCATATCTTTCTTAGCATATTCCCTTGTGGTCCTAGAACAAAATGACAAAACTACTACTAGGTATTACAAATAAACTCTGGTGAGCAAAGCCACCAAGTTCCTGGCACTAACAGTTTTCAGGTATTCCTTTTGACCAATATAAATGTGGTTTTAAAAATTATATATATATATATATATATATATATATATATATATATATATATATATATATAGAAAATATAGGCTTGCATATTCAAAGAGATAGACCTGTGCTTCCTAACATGCCAAACACAACATCATGTAGCTTTTTGCATATAAATCTAATTGCAATTACATTATACTAACAGTTCAATTCTTCAATCACACTGGCCACATTTCAAGAGTTCAATAGTTACAAACGGCTAGTAGAAATTAGCATAGCTACAGAACATTTTCATCATCGCAGAGAGTTCTGTTGGTTGATATTGGTCTAAAAGGATATAACCCATATTAATAGTAGTAGCTGTCACTAGAAATTGAGATCAAAGGGTAGTAGAAAGGGAGTTACTAGTTTTTTTAGTTTGTGTTTCTTCAGTTTTTTTTTTTTTTTTTCAGAGTGTGGTTTACTTTTTTTTAACATGAAAACCATGGAAAACTTGAAGTATTGGCTGGAAATCTTTAAACTAAATATATTTTGGGGCCACATTTGGTCAGTGTGTACATGTATTTAGGAATCAAGTTATGAAATATTTAATTAAAATATTATGAAATTCATTCACATGAACACTGTTCCATAATCAAAGCAAAATCATTCTCACTGTTTTTTTTTTCACATTTATAGATAAAGGAAAGGAAAAACATGAACTTCAGAAGTACATCTCCAAGTCGACTTAAGTTTAGCTTAATTTAATAAACACATATGGAGCTTCTATAGTGGTCAGGCCCTATGTTAGGTACTGGAGGAAAAGGATAAACATAACCCTCCAAGAGCTTACAGTCTAGTAGGAAGACAGATCTATAAATAGATTATTCCAAGCCAGAGAGGCAGGTGTGATGAAAGAGCTGTGTTTAGCAATTGGTTTGGGAATTCAAGAAGGTCCATTAGCCCAGCTCTGAAGATCAGAAAAGTCACAGTTCAACTCACTTAGAAAAGAATGAGTACATCTTAATTAGGTAAAGAAGGAATACAGGGAGATTGAAGAACATGCTTGGAAAACAAGAGCAAAAGCAGCTTAAACCAGAAGGGAGGTTGTGCTTTCCCCAGAGGGGGGCCAGTAGAACAAGCCACACCTCAGCTGATGGACTAATTTTCTATGTGACTTGGGAAAGGGATGGGTGCTGCACTGTTATAGGAAACAGCAAGAGCTGTCATGTGAGACAGCCCTGGGTCTGAATCCTGGCTCCTTTGCTTCCTAGCCATTGAATATGTAAGCCACTTCACATATGCAAGCCACTTCACATATGCCAGCTCCCTTTCTCTCTGAGCAGAATGCCTAACAATACCCCCCTGGCAGGATGGGGTGAGGATTGAAGGAGCTATGGTTTAGTAAGCCCAGAACACTGCTGTTCCTGATGCCCCTCAAGGCTCTATCACTTTTCTTCTTTATCACAACTATATTATTTAATAAAGTGTTACTATCAACACCATCAATAACTGCCTTATACTGAGCACCTACTGAGTTCATTGTCCCTGTGCCAAGGACAATTGCAGTACCTATTTTCATCCATCTCGCAAACCCCTGAAATAAGCATTATTTTCCCCATTTTGTAGAAGAGAAAGCAGAGGCTTGGAAAGGTGAAGTAACTTTCCCAAGATCCCATGCCCATCTAGAAGCCCAGAACTTGACCAAGGCTGCAAAGCTGTAAGGCTCTCTGGCAACCTCTCTACTCTATGTTTCTCCAAATGGAGCAAATGAGAATCTTTGTGATGTGGCTGCTGATCCACATTTCAGCAGAGTTTTTGGGAAAAATTTGAACAATGAAGAATTATCATTCACAGTCTCAGTCTGTTGAAGGCCTGCACACAGGACTCTGTTTTGAAAGAACACAACGTTTTTTTAATAATATGCCCATGCAGCTTTATTCTTTCTTAATTCCAAAGAGCGACCTTATTCAGGCAATGTCCCTGAGCAGTTATACTCCAGCAAGTCTTGCTAGACTCCTGCTCAACCCTTCCAGCCTCCAGGGGCTCTAGGTGGCTGCAATGTGACTCTAGGAGACCAGTTCCAGACTGAAGACTCCAGTCAGTCAGATGCTGATCAAGGAATAATTTAAACAATCATCATTTAAATGACAACTGCAAGCAGTGGATCCATTCAATCATAGCCAACACATGCACAGCTTCGAACCTCCAATGCCCAGCCTCATGCACTGACCCAGGCCAGGTATGGCCAAGAGCTGATGGGCTCTGGGCCCACAAGATCTACAACCAAAGAATAAGGATGGTGCTCCTCAAGTTCAAGCACCAGTCTGTGCATAACATCTGAGTCGGCAAGACAGGGCTCAAATTGAGCTAAAATACACACTGCCCATCCCCACCCCCACCCTGCTCCTGGGCTGCCCTTTCCTGTCACCTTCCTGAGGCCTTCTGCTTCTGGCCATTTCCTTGTTTAGAGAGAGAACAGAAGGAGCTGCAAACTGGGAAATACATTTTTAATCAGTTACCAGACTCCTTTGAACTTCAACATGAGTACCCTCAAGGTGTGCTTCAAATTTAGAGTGGAAGTTGCCCAGAGAAGCCATCTGAAATAATCCAAACCAGAATGGCAGTGGCCAAGTTCACGAGTGTGTTGGCCAGGCCCCTGAGCCCTGTCTTACTGACTGAGATGTTATGCACAGACTGGTGCTTGAATTTGAGAAGTACCATCCTTACTCTTTGGTTTGCCCTGTAACTCTGGTTACAGAGGTGGGCACTCCCACTGGGTCCTTACTGGGACCAACGTAGTTCTGGGACCCCAAACCCAGTGGGTTTCTCATGTGCAAGCATGAAATTCTGATTATCATTCTTAATATTACTGTTTATTATTTGCATTCCTATGCTAAATAATTAATCTGTGCCAGCAAGCAATGTCCTAAGACTTTACCAATAGTACCTCACTTAGCCTTCACGAAAACCTTGGAAGGTTAGGTTTCTTCATCTGTCACTGTACAAATTAGGAGACTGAGGTTCAGAGAAGTCAAATTGTCCCAGGATACACGGTGGTGAGAGGTGGGACAGGGATTACTAAGGACATGTTGGGATTATTAGGAATAAGGGCTGGAGAGCAGAAACCTGGCTTTAGAGGAAAGGATGTTAATTACTTTTAAGTGACATCTGTGCAATTAGCCCGTATGCTGAACTGATCTTAATTTCCTCTGGGCCACAAATATCCCATCAGGAAAATGGGACTCATTGCTCTGCCCAATAAAGACTGCCTCACTAATTAATTGACTCATCTATATCCCCTAGGTGCTAGGTTCCGACTCTTAATTGTGAAGCACTTAAATCTATCTGCTCCACATTACAAAGAACACTTTACAAAAGGCACGCAGGCTGTGTGGCGTGCTGCGCACATGGGTTAAAATGCAATGTCTGTTTAATGAGCGTTTTCCAACTCAGGCATTGTGCTGGATAGTCTGGAAGCCAAATTTAAACAAATGATGGGGAAGCTGAAGAGAATGCATCTCTTTAGAACAAACAAGGAGATCTTTTTCTAACTGCTTATTTATCACAGACTTTATCTCAGTCTGCTAACAAGTAAAAAGGAAAAGGTGGCAACTGAGTTAGCCTTGTCCATCTACAACTTTAGCCAGCATGTGCTTCTAATGAAGCCAAGCCTTTCTGCTCACAGAATGTTCTATCACCTCCCCTAATTGAAAAGTAATAAAAACATCACAAACAGTGTCAATTACCCATTGAAGGGTCTCTTTCCTACTACTTACTTTTTCAGACATCAAGTGGTTCTGGAAAATACTCCAGGCTGCTTCCCCACTTCCCACTCCCGTAATATTTCTTTCAGAAGTGACGAGAAGAGACAGCATCCCTTGTTGGTGTTGGATCATTAAGTATCTGTCGGAAAATA
The DNA here is from genome assembly GCF_000001405.40 of Homo sapiens. Classification (NCBI taxonomy): domain Eukaryota; kingdom Metazoa; phylum Chordata; class Mammalia; order Primates; family Hominidae; genus Homo; species Homo sapiens. Next base: position 42,343,079 of record NC_000007.14, on the reverse strand, counting down.
TGACTTAGGTTGGATCCAGACATTCAAACACAGAATGGGGGAAAAAATCAAAATAACTGCAAAAAGTGAGTGTTGGTTAATTACGATCTGAAGTCAATAAAGTCATCTGATGGCAGATTTAGGGGAACTCATTAGAGAGTGGAATTCAATTGTGGAGAACTGCAAGCTGCTACAGCTCTGAAACCAGCACATTTCATTAGGGTCCTCAAATGGGATGAGAGAAATACCTCCAGGGCAGGAGCTCTCCCCCTTCTCTGCAGCCTCACAATGGAAGATCTGTAAAGCATTTGCAGCAGTAGTAAGTAAAGAATAAGATATCCAGGTGTCCCACAGAAGCCACTTCTTTTGCATTTTTCAGAAGGAAATCACAGAAACTCTCAGCTTACTTTTTAAAATGCCAGCCAAACTTAAGAGCCATAAGGATTTCACTGGACACAGCAGCCACAGCCTTCTGCTCAGCTGGCCTCAGGCATTTTAAAGTCGTAGGCTCCAGAGGCTGAGTTGTAGGACCATTTTGAGCATGGCTATTAATAGGAACTTGAGTAGTGTTCAGCTGCAAGCGATGACTGTGAAAACTCCTAGTGAACCATACAGAATATATTTAAGTGTGGAATTCGCTCTACCTGCCCTGAAACTTAAGTCTCCTGAAGTAAAGCTATAAATTAGGCAATGTTTACCTGTGTTTTTTTAACTTTAAGTTCTAGGATACATGTGCAGAATGTGCAGGTTGGTTACATAGGTATACATGTGCCATGGTGCTTTGCTGCACCAATCAACCTGTCATCTAGGTTTTAAGCCCTGCATGCATTAGGTATTTGTCTTAATGCTCTCCCTCCCTGTGCTCCCCGCTCCCCAACAGGCCCCAGTGTGTGATGTTCCCCTCCCTGTGTCCATGTGTTTTCATCGTTCAGCTCCCACTTATAAGTGAGAACATGCGGTATTTGGTTTTCTGTTCCTGTAGTAGTTTGCTGAGAATTATGGTTTCCAGCTTCAACCATGTCCCTGCGAAGGACATGAACTCATTCTTTTTTATGGCTGCTTAGTATTCCATGGTGTATATGTGCCCCATACCTGTAGTTTCTTACAGGCAGAATACTTCCCTTTTGGGGGCCCTCTGTCCCCTGCTCATTTGTCCTCATTGCTTAGGACATGCTCCTCAGTCTCTTAACACTTACCCAATAATCTCTTACATATCAAGCACCTATTTGTGACACCTTGCTAGGCCGGGGTTTGCTAATATTGTTGGAAAAATTAAAATGAACATACGACAAGCATCATCCTATTCTTTTGGAGGTATTGCCTAAAAGAAAAGTGCCCACCGCGTGAAAACAGAAGACAACCATCTACAAGTCAAATTAACCCTGCCCTGATACCTTGATGCCAGACTGCCAGCCTCCAGAACTGTAGGAAAATAAATTTCTGTTGCTTCCTTTTTTTTTTTAAGTGTCTTGTTCTTCTCATTTATCAGACAAGGTGATTTGATGTGAAGTTCACAAAATATGACCCCTGTACATATACCCAGATACTCATTCTAAAAAAAAAATCAAAAAATAACAACAACAAAAGCTAAACACAAAATAGCATGAAATCAGAGCATCTCTTAAAACAATCAGACCCAGAAAAAGGATAAGGAAGAAGGCTGCGAATTATACTGGTAAGTTTATACCGCGGGACTTGTTTACATGGGTGCACTTTTATTGTTTAACCCCTAGAAACCAAGTTTTCTCTGCCTTAAAACATTGAAAGGAAGAACTGGGATCGCATTCTTTCTCTGAAAGTGTTACCTTCCCTTATAGACAAGAGTCTCACAAATCAATATGAAATGGATGGGCCCCAAAATGAAAAAGAAAAATGGGCAAGGGAAATTCAAAAAAGAAGAAATATATGCAAATGTCTAAAGCACATTAAAAGAGAGAAGAATTCAACTTTCTTAATACTCAGTATAAATTAAACAACTATAAGTTGTCATTTTTTATCTGTTGTTAATGTCTGACACTGGTGAGGGTTGGTGAAAAGGGGACTGCAGTTTGCTGTTTAGTGGAGGTGTAAATTGTTACAATCTTTTTGTGGAGCAATTTTCTAATTAGTAATCAGAAAAATGTTCACAGTTTGGGGCCTGATCATTCTCTTTTCAAGAGTGTATCCTTAGGAAATAAGCTGAGATGCATTTGAGGCTCTGAGCACAAAAACATTCATCACCCGCTGCCCCTACCCGCGTCCCCGTCCTGTGGCACGGCTGGGTTAGGGTTAGGTTTCGGATTAGGTAGTTGGGCTGTGGGTAAGCCCCATTGCAATAGCTTCCCCCAGGAGCAGCTCACACTTTTCAAACAGGATGAAGGATTCCAGATGTTCTCCTGACCTCCTGATGGTCTAACCTCATGTCCAGCCCTTGCTCCTTTAACCTAAGGGCTATTAACAGGGTTCCATCTGTGTCTCTACACTCGCTTTGTCTGCACACTGCCCCTCTTCCACTTAGGGTGAGTCATGAGTCCGCCTTTTCTTTCGATTCATTCTCATCTAACAGAAATTGTTGGAGATTCGGTGTGCAAGTTTAGGCTTTCCAAGTGTCAGCACTGGAGCAGTTTTTTCTCTTATTTTTATACCTATTGGTCATTTTAATGGGGATCTGGAAGGAGAGGAATTAGACACTTGTGCTGACATCACATTCTTACCCAGAAGTCCTAGGTTGCTTTTTTAAAACAAAAGAAAATCAGAGGCAGAGAAAGGCAAGGAGTAAGGCGGGAGAGAGAGGGCCCAGGGGAGGCAAAGATCCGTTTGTGAAGCGCCCCTCCGTAATTGTAGATAACTCCCTGCAAGTTTGTCTTCTAGTGTGAATTATTTTAAACACTTTGCCATTTGCCTGAGTCTTAATGAATGAGGATTTTGTGGGAATGGAATTGGGGGTAGGAAGGAAAATTACTGTAAAATAGCAGATTTCTGGGGGAAGAAGAAATTTAAGTGTGATACTATAGTACAGGAATGGGCCTGGCCTGCCTAAGGACTTCTAGAATCTGCAGTCAAGATAACTGGCATCCTGAGAAGCCAAAAGGGAGTGAAATGCACCCAAAAGTAGAATAGGAGGAAAAGTCTAATTGATTTTGTACTCTGTGCAATTTTGCCTACAAATTTGGTGACAGCAACTGCCTTATTTGCAATCCCTGAATCAAATGTTTACCTTGATGAATTGCACTGAGATGTTTGGCTACACAAAAACCATTTCCTCATGGAGAGTTTAATTTAGTTGGCTATTTCAAAAGTGAATATTGAATAGTCACATGCTTTCAAAGTCATGTGTGGATTTGACAGAATACAACCACAGTTTTTTAGTGCCAGAGTTGGTATCACAAAGCCCTTTGGAATATACTGAACCATGCAGTTGTAGTAGCTGTATTAATATTCATCTGAGAGTGACAGCTCTCTCCTCTTCTCTGTCTTCAATGTGGCATATATTTGATATTCTCCTGGTGCTCTTTGATTCTATACAGCACGTCATAGTGAAGACATCCATGCCGACATGGAAAATTCAGGGTTTTTCTGCTATTATTTTTGAATCACTGATAATCCTCACAAAATTGTCATTCAGTTCAACAAAATTTCTTGTTATAACATTCATAAGATGAGTGTGTGTGTCTGGTGTGTCTGCATGTGTGTATGTGTGCATGTGTGCATAAGAAACGTTTCTCAAAACCGGGCTAATTGTAATTGGGAAATGCTTAAGGAAAAAAAGAAAGCTGATCAAGGAAATTTTGGTGATGTTTAACAGCTGTTTTGTGGGTACATATCTGTTATATTTTTTAGACCACAATTAAATGTGATTTTAATAGTCATTTGGTATTTAAATAATATGCTATGATTGTCATATGGAATTTTAATTAAATGCACATTTTCTTCTAAAATATGAAGCGTTACCACTGTGAAAAGACCTTTTCTCTTTAAGAACATATTTAAAAGTAATGTTATGTTCCCTGTGATTCAGTAAAGAAAAAATTCTTTTACAATATTATTTATTCTTCTACATTACTCCAGCGTTTGATGAGTCTTGAGGGAATGAAAGGCAAGAATTTTAAACTGAGTAAATGTTCCCCTAATCTCCTAATGAGGATAATGAAAACAGCACACAGAAGGATATGTTTAAGATAAAACACACTTCAAGTAAATAGCATCTAAGAAGCAGCAGTGACTCCTATTCTGTCTCTATTCTGGGCATTTCCTGCATGCCATGTTTGTGAGGCAGTCTCATTTCATTTCTTTACCTTTGTTCTCATTTTCTTTAGGAAACTTTGTATCTCATACTCTCCGCCCCTCCTCCAGCACGCAAAGCCTGAGAACTTAGATCTTAGTTAAAAGAGAGCTTGTATTTATACATAAAACTTTGCAAATCACCATTCATTCTTTCCACAGACTTTGGGGAATTTCAATGTTTTGGTGCTTACTCAAGTGACATTTTAAAGACCTCTTTGCCTGCTATCATTTTATAGCATTGTTTTTAAAGCATCCTTTCTCTAGTGTTTTCCTTGTATGACCTCTGCTGCCTGTTCACTTATTCTGACCTGTGCTCTCCAAGTGTCTCCTTGTGACCACAAACTAGGATAGGCCCATGAGGGAAAGATTGCTGTTCACAAGCCAAAACCCTCATACACTCAATGGTGTTTGAAAAATTAAAAACTAAAACCCAAAAATGTGCAGCCCTGCCCCTTCATTCCACCGCAACAGCTCTGGCAGTTGCTTTCTCTTTCTGTCTCTGTTAGCTTTTCATCTTCCTGAGAGTCCAGAAGCCTCCCCGTCAGAAGTGTGTTAACAGCAGTTCAGCCCATTTCAGGGTGAAGGACAGTTTGTCATCTAACTGGTGAGTACAAGACAACTTCTGGTTATTTTTTAAAGCCAATTGTTAGCATAATAAGGGGAAATCATTGAACCTCTAGTTGTAATGAAAATGCCAACAAGTTTCTCCCAAATATATTTAACCTTTAAAAGCCATCAGAAGGTCACCTCGGTTTCTAATATTTCTGGTCACCACTTTCTAGCAATAAAAAAGTGTATTTTCTAAGGGTTGTGGGAATTACATAACATACAATTGATTGATTGATTGATTTTTTTTTTTTTTTTTGCCCTCAAGTTTTAACCCTCTTAGGGAGAAAGTACATAGACTGAAAAGAATTTGACTGAACGAAGACTCGATCACACGCTGTGTACCCGCCCTGTGTAGGTGAACTCAGTGCAAATATCTAATTGGAATCCTGAATGACACCAAAACCCTTTGCTGGAGCTGGGAGCAGAGAGGGAATTATGAGGGGGAGGCAACAGGAAGCGTCACCTGGTCAGGAAGGACTCCCTGAGCCTCAGCTAACAGGAAGCGTCACCTGGTCAGGAAAGATTCCCTGAGCCTCAGGTCAGGTGAGAGAATGTCTCTTCCCTATGGCCTAAGGAATTCGACACAGGCTGAGCTGAGAGAAAAACAAGAAGCTGGTGTCTGTGAAGCATGGAAGGGTTGCCCATCGAACCAGCAAATGGAGGGGACATAGCAGATATCACGGGGTGGGGTGTGCAACCAAGGAGCAGAAAGCCAAGGAGACAAGGTCATGGCATCGAGTGCCAGAGTGCTCCAGAAGGGAAGCCAGAGCCCTTATGATGCCCTCCAGGCTACCGCCATGGCCACCAGGGCTGAGGGCCGGGGGGGCACGGAGGGCAGTGTCTGGGAGGCAGTGGCGAGCACAGAAAGCTGGGTGGGAAGGCATCTCTGGACCTGCAGGGACCACAGAATCATATGTGGGGCATGGGCAGATGTGCATAGAGGTCAAAGGAGAGTGAAATAGATCCTGTATATTCCTCTACTGCTTAGATGGTTATAAAGGGGATGCTTTACAATGTAAATATGCTTATAAAGGGGATGAAAAGTGTGTGGAATAAAATATAATATGCCTTCCTTCTTAGCCCTTAGTGAACATTAATAATAGACTATAGAACTCTCAGAACAGAGTTTCAGAATTCTTTTTAACACAGCCAACTAAATCACAAGCAACTGACAAGATATGGCTCCCAAGTTAAACCAATTTGCCATCTCTGCTCCCTCTGTTCTTTGACGTTTAGGAAAATAGCCCACGCATCCTTACCACTTCCAGTTAGTGGCTACCCATGAGTGAGACAGTCACCCTGTGCTGAAGCATTTCCAAGACTCAAAACTCACTCCTTCCTAATTATCTTACTATCATTTATGCCTTGGGGTTGTTTACATCTCCCGTCTCTGTCTGCTGGAAATACTATTCAACCCTCTGCCACCACATGGCTCTTCTTCAGTCCACACCCAGTGGCAGCGCTGGTAGTTTGAAATTAGCCAGCGTGTAAATATCCTGAAATAGGGAAACACTATAAATCAGGGCTTTCTCCCCCACCTGACCCTCAAGAGAGCCAATTATTAAACATTTACCGATACATCACTGGAGACAGTAGCACTTTGAGGCATGGAAAAAGTTGAAGAAGTAGAAGCCAGACATTTGAAAAGATACTATCTGAGGGGAGGAGTGCAGTAAGACTTTCTGAGAGGACTGGCATTTATATGCTCATCTCTGAGTGCTCCATGGCCACATCAGCATCATTCGCAGGGTCAGCGAAAGGGTAAATTGTCAATGCTTCCGAAAGCACCATTAATCTTACCAAATGAAGAAATAAATGCATCTCAATGATGGATTTTTCTGTAAACTATTATGGAGAACCCTTGAGGTGATTCTCACAGGAGATATGAATACAGTACAGGTGGCCAGGAAAGGAAAAAAATAATATAAACCAACATGCAGGAACTACAAGAAAAAAAGAGGAATGGAGGTACTACCCATGATATTAAAAAGAGGTCCGTGGAAGATTTCAAAAGTAAGTTTTTTAGAAAAAATATTAATGCAAATGAAAAAATCAAAGCATGACATCACTCTTTTTTATAAACAGTGTTTAATAGGTTAGGCCAGTGAATTTCAATTGTGTCTCCTACATAATTGGGAATCTAGATCAGATACTAAGAAAGGGATCAAGCTGACAGAAGACCAGTTTCCACTACCCCTCACCAGGGCAACTAATTTTTCTTGTTTCACATTTAGTTTTCTAATAAGATTCCATTTGAAGAAAGGCTACCTCCGCTTTCAAACTGTGGGGGAAAATAATAAAACGAAAGATTGGTCTATCTGTTTAATTGAAATATAAGTTTATAATCAGTCATTACAAGAATACCATCAAGAATTATCACTGAAAATATATTGAAGAATTTATTTTAAACACAATAATTCTAAATTACCTACCTATTCATGAAATCTTGAAAAATGTTGTGCTTCATGTATAGATATTTGTAAGAGACATTAAAATACATAATCAGTTTAATAATTTTTTGCTATCTTTGTTGATTTTTGCTATATTTGTTGACTTTTTTTTTTTTTAGCAGAAATCAGGTGTGAAAGGTTGAACAAGCAGAAAGGGGCCAGAATATGTAGGATCCTCTACAATTTGAGTCTACGGGTTCAGTTGAGGGTGACATGATTGGATTAGCATTCTGAAAATGCACCCTGATTTAAAGTGGAGAACGTGGAGATTTGAAAAAGCTGTGAATGGATATGGGAAGATTAGTTAGGATACTATTAAAACGGTCCAGACTTACTATGGTGGTGAGGTAGAGATGTATAAAAGTGGATAAAAGAGATGCCTGGGAAGTAAGATGAACAAGTAGTTAAAAGGAGGGAAGTTTAAAGAATGGCTCTCAGGTTTCTACAGTATGCAACTGAATGACGGACTGATTTTTGCAATTGAGATAAGGAATTCTGAAAGACGTATGAGTGGAAAAGAGGTAGATAATGAATCCAAATGGAATATACTGTTGTTGAGATACCATTGAGGTATCCAAAGAAGATTTCAGGTAAGCAATTGGATAGTATGCCTATGGAGCTCAGAAAGAGATATGATTATCATGGCACATTTATATTTACATACCATAATTCACCCATTTAAAGTGTACCATTTAATGGTTTATAGTACATTGACAAAATTGTGCAACCATTACTACAGTCAATTTTAAAACCCTTTCATTACCACAAAAAGAAACCCTTTACCTATTAACAATCACCCTTTATCTATTAATCAATTTCTCCTGCACCCTATCCCTAGGTACTACTAATCTACTTTCTATCTCTATGGATGTGCATATTCTGAACATTTCATATAAATAGAATAATATATTATGTGGCCTTTTCTGTCTGGCTTTTTTTACTCAGCATGTTTTCAAGATTCATCCATGTTGTAGCATACTTCCTTCTTTGTTATAGCTGAATAATATTCCATTGGAACATTAGATATACTAGATATACCATATTGTGTTTATCCATTCATTAGGTGATAGATATTTGGGTTGTTTCCCCTTTGGGGCCATTACAAATAAGCTGATATAAACATTCATGAACAAGTTTTTGTGTGTACATATGTATTTATTTCTCTTCATGAAATAGTTAGGACTGCACTTTCTAGGTTAATGACAACTCCATGTTTAGCATTTCAAGAAACTGCCAAACTGTACTCCATAGCAGTTAAACCATTTTACTTCTCTTAAGCTGTGTGTAAGGGTTCCAATTTTACCACATCCATGCCAACACGTTATTGTCCATTTAAAAAAGTATAGCTACACTAATGAGTGTGAAGTGCTGTCTCATTGTGATTTTTGATTTGCATTTTCCTAATGATTAAATATGTTAAGCATATTTTCATGTTCTTATTGGCCAATTGCATGTCTTCTGTGTAGAAATCTCCATTCAATTTTTTCCCATTTTAAAATTAAATTATTTGTATTTTTATTATAAACATTCTTTACGTAGTCTGGATACATGCCCCTTTATCAGACATATAATTTACAAATATGTTTCTCACTCTCTGTGTTCTTTTCACCTTGATAGTGTCCATTGATGTGCAACATTTTTTAGTTTTGATGAAGTCAAATTTTTTTTCTTTGGTTGCTTTGCTTTTGGAATCATATCCAGAAAAAAAAAATCGCCTAATCCAAGGTCACAGAGATTCACACCTATGTCTTCTTAAGAATTTTATAGTTTTTGTTCTTATATTTAGGTCTTTGATCAATTTTGAATTAATTTTTATATATGATGTGCAGTAACAATTTAACTTTTTTTTTTTTTTTTTGCATATGACTATCAATAGTTGCCCAGCACTATTTGTTGAAAGGACTGGACTGTTTTTTCCTCATTAAATTATGTTGATACCCTTAAAGTAAACCAACTGACCATAAATATAAGATCTTTGTTTCTTGATTCTTAATCCTATTTCATTGTTCTATAAATCTATTCTTATGCCAGTACCACACTCTCTTCTTATGAAGCTATCATGGCTTAGTAGTAAAATTTGAAATCAGGAAGTGTGCATTTTCTCTGTTCCTTTTAAAGACTGTTTTAGCTATTCTGGGTTCCCTACATTTCTCTGTGAAGTTTGGAATCAGCTATTAATGTCTGCAAAAAAACGCAACTGGATTTTTATAGGGAATTCATTAACTTTGTATATAAATCTGGGGAATGTAACCATCTTAACAATATTAAATCTTCCATGAACATGAAATGTCTTCCTATTAGGTCTTATTTAATTTCTTTCAACAATGTTTTATAGTTTACAGTGTGCAAACCTGCATTTCTTTTGTTAAATTTATTACTAATTATTTTATCCTTTTTTATGCTATTTTTAATGAATATTTAAATTATATTTTGGATTGTCCATTGATAGTGCATAGAAATATAATGTATTTCAAAATTTAGATCTTGTATCCTGCAACATTGCTAAGCTTGTTTATTAGCTAGCTCTAATAGCTGTGTAATGGATTCCTTAGGATTTTGTTTATAAAAAGATAACATAGTCTGAAAATGGAAGTATTTTTACTGCTTCATTTCCATCTGAATGCATTTTTTTCTTTGCTTAATTACCTCGGCTAGAAATTCCAGTACAATGTTGAGTGAAAATGATAAGAGCAGATATCCTTGTCATTTTCCTCCCCTTCATTTTGAAGGATAGTTTTGCTGCATATAGAATTCTTGGTTAACAGTCTTTTTCTTTCAACACTAAATACATCATTCCATTTCTTCTGGCCTCCATGATTTTTGATAAGAAATCAGCTATTAATTTTATTAAGGCTTCCTTGTACATGATGCTTCTCTCTTGCTGCTTTTAAGATTCTTTCTTTGTCTCTTGCCTTTGACAGTTTATGATGTGTCTGGCCGCAGATCTCTGATTTAGTCCTACCTGGAGTTCATTGAACTTCTTGGATATGTAGATTAATGTTTTTCATCAAATTTGGTAAGTTTGGGGCCATTATTTCTTTACTTATTCTTTTGCCCCTTTTCCTATATCCTCTCCTTTTGGGACTTACATTGTGCATATATTGGGACTCTTTATAATGTCTTGCAACCCTATGGGGGTTTTTTCCTTCATTCTTTTATTTTTCTTCAGACAGCGTATTCTCCATTGACCTGTTTCCAGATCTGCTGATTCTTTTCTCCATCTGTTCAAAGATACTGCTGAGACCCTCTAGTGAATTTTTTATTTTCATTATTTTACCTTTCAACTGCAGATTATTTTTAATTCTTTTTTTATTATTTATAAATTTTATTGACATTCTCTATGTGGTGAGACATCATTATTACACTTTCTATTAGTTCTTTAGATGTGGTTTACTTTAGTTCTTTGGACATATTTAAAATAACTGATTTAAAGTCTTTGTTGGCCAGGTACAGTGTAATTCCAGCACTTTGGGGGTCCGAGGCAGGAGGATCACTTGAGGCCATCAGTTCATGACAGGCCTGGGAAATATAGCAAGACTTCATCTCTACCAAAAAAAACCTTCTTTTAATTAAAAAATTAGCCAGACATGGTGGTGTGTGCTTGTACTCCCAGGAGTTTGAGGCTGCAGTGAGCCATGATTGCACCACTGTACTCCAGCCTGGGTGACAAAGTGGGACCCAGTCTCTAAAAAATAAAAATAAATAAATAATAAGGTCTTTGTCAAGTAAGCCCAATGTCTAGGATTCCTTGAGGAATTAACTGGTTGTACTGACTCTTTTTCTTTTCTTGCATATGAGCCATATTTTTTCTTTCCATATCACAATTTTTGTTGGAAAAATTGGACATTTTAAATCAGAAAATCAGATCTTTCTTCCTCTCCAGGGTTTGTTGCTGTCTGTATTGCTGTTTATTGTTGTTGGTTTTGCTCTCCTGTTTTCTGGTGAATTCCCTGAACTAATTCTGTAAATTCTGCATTCTTTCTCATGTATGCCACTGAAATCTCTGCTTGATTGGTTTAGTAGTTAGATAGTTATTGGAAAGAGGATTTCCTTAAATGCCTGGAACTAATAAATCTCCCAGTCTTTGTCAAGGACCTCTGTATGTATGTTGGAGTAAGCCTTCACTACTTAGCTAGGCAGTTTAGAATTGTGCCTTAGCTTTCACTTCCTGCTTGGCAGAACCTGAAGGTTAGCCAGAGGTCAGAACTTAGAGTTTTTTCAGATATTTTCAGAGCATGCACACAGCCCTACACATGCATGTAGCTTTCTAAATTCCCAAGAATATGTCAGAACTTTTTAAAGCCCCCTGTAGAATTCACTACCCAGTCTTTCCTTTTAAATTTTCTGAATAGCTTGTTGTTTACCCCAAATATCTCCACCTCAGGTAGCTCTGATGATAAACAATCACTATCAATTGTTTCTGATAAATGCCCCCATAGAAAAGGTTATTCTAGTGGGTGAGTTTTAAGTCAGGTCAAGAGAAGACAAACTGTAAAAGTGGGGTTTCCAGGGAACTATCATACAGGTCAAATAATGATACCGCTCTGAAATGGAGCTTTGAAAGATCCCTAACACTTTTCTGACCACTCCAGTATCTGCTAGACTGCTGGTTTTCCAGTGGTTGTTTGTTCGTTTGTTTGTTTGGAGACGGAGTCTTGCTCTGTTGCCAGGCTGGAGGGCAGTGGGTCAATCTCAGCTCACTGCAACCTCCGACTCCTTGGCTCAAGTGATTCTCCTGCCTCAGCCTCCCAAGTGGCTGGGATTACAAGCACGCACCACCATACCCAGCTAATTTTTGCATTTTTAGTAGAGACGGGGTTTCACCACGTTGGCCAGATGGTCTTGAACTCCTGACCTCGTGATCCGCCCGCCTCAGCCTCCCAAAGTGCTGGGATTACAGGTGTGAGCCACTGCGCCTGGCCCCGGTGTTTTTAAAAAGTTAATTTCGACCATGTTTTTCCAGCGTTCTCATTGCTTTTATGGAGAAGAGGCTTTTCAGATGTTTTTCTTCCACCATTTTTCCTGACAACCACAAGGTCATTCTTAAATCATAAAGCCCTTTGGGCATATTTGCTTTAAAAATAGAATATTTTGGCTGGGCACGATGACTCACACCTATAATCCCAGCACTTTGGGAGGCTGAGGCCAGCAAATCACAAGGTCAGGAGTTTGAGACCAGCCTGACCAACATGGTGAAACCCCGTCTCTACTGAAAATACAAAAATTAGCCTGGCATAGGGGTGCACGTCTGTAATCCCAGCTACTCAGGAGGCTGAGGCAGGAGAATTGCTTGAACCCGGGAGGCAGAGGTTGCAGTGAACCAAGATTGCGCCATTGCACTCCAGCCTGAGCAACAGATCGAAACTCCGTCTCAAAAAGCAAAATAAATAAATAAATAAGTACAATATTTTTTCACAGACTTGTGAAACATTTCTCTTTCAGCCTGGGCATGGTGGCTCATGCCTGTAATCTCTGCACTTCGGGAGGCTGAGGCAGGCAGATCACTTGAGGCCAGGATTTCGAGACCAGCCTGGCAGACATGGTGAAACCCTGTCTCTACTAAAAATACAAAAAGAAAAAAAAAAAAAAAAAAGTAGCCAGGCATTGTGGTGGGTGCCTGTAATCCCAGCTACTCAGGAGGCTGAGGCATAAGAATCGCTTGAACCTGGGAGGCAGAGGTTGCAGGGAGCCAGGATTGCACCACTGCACTCCAGCCTAGGTGAGAGAGTGAGACTCCATCTCAAAATAAAAAAAAAAAAAAAAAAGGAAGGAAGGAAGGGAGGGAGGGGAAGAAAGAGAGAGAAAGAGAGAGAGAGAAAGAAAGAAGAAAGAAAGAGAGAGAGAAAGAAAGAAGAAAGAAAGAGAGAGAAAGAAAGAAGGAAGGAAGGAAGGAAGGAAGGAAGGAAGGAAGGAAGGAAGGAAGGAAGGAAGGAAGAAAGGGGAAAGATTTCTCTTTGATTATATGTATTACACTATCATGTTTGTTGAATAACTGAAAACTTAAATGCCTTTTAATGGACTTTATATTGGCAGGTCTTCCTGTGGTCCCCTTTGGGTTTAGAGAGCACATTTCTATATTTATAATCTTAAAATGGACCTGATTCATTATGACTTCTCAAATATTTTGCGAGATTAATAGTAATAAGTAAATAAATGCAAACATAGTATAACTATATTAACTCAGATATCTGATAATCTAATTTCAATATTAATTTATTATTAAGAAATTATAAATACCAAATGTGAAAGGAGAAGAGAATCTGGTAATAGAGGTGTTAATTATAATTAATTAATAGTTGTGCCCTTTGTAGATAAGCTTGATCCAGATTATTTTATTTGCCACATCTAAGGTCCAGGATCCAGTGGACTTTTGTTGTCATCTTCATTTTCTTTATTATATCAAATCTGCTATGTGAAATGTAGAATTTGATCTTGGCTTTTAATCAGGTTCTTCACTTGATAACACTAATACTGGTTTGATTAATTAATTGATTTGTTGGCATTATTTTACCCTCACAAAACTTCTCTGGGATGATTTTACTTTCATTCTATGAAAGCATATTTTACCCTTTTTTTGTGTGTTAAACACTAATGATGAGTAAGATGCCCTTGTAAAAATGGTAACTTTAAAATATAACATTAAGTTTGCTATGAAAATCTCATATATGGAACATTATAGCTTTCTTAAAAAAAGATATATGAAACACCTACTTTAAAGCCTTCCTACCTAAAAGGCTCTCTCTTTTCAATCTTTCTAGGGCTTGAATTTCTCATTCATTTGGTAGCTTAGAGTCCCAGGATTAAGATATGGTGATGCATGGAGGGAGAACCCCACTCTGGGAAGAGAAGAGCAACAGCATCTCCTGTCTCCCTCAGTCCAGGCTTTGTGCCAGATTATCTCACGGATCCTCACAAGTACACAGCCTAGGTTGGTATTCTTAATACTGTTCCCAAATAGGGACGCTATTGCTTAAAAAGTTGTATAAACTTGGAAAAGTTCAGTAAATGGTGGATATAAGATAAGAACCAGGAATTTTTTACTTCATAGTCTTCAAAAACATCACACACATTTCAACATTAATCTGCAAAAACCAATGAAGAAGGTAAAGAAGAGTCTATACTTGTTGAGGCCCCGTTATGCCACATATTAGTCAATATTTCACATGTTATGTCAGTCCATCTTATCAACAACATTGTGAGGAATCAGAAATATAAAGAAGTTAAGTAATTTGATAAAAATCACACTTCTAGCAAATGCCTGGCACATAAAAGATGATTAATATCTATTTATTAAGGAGATAAATGAAAGTAGGAGAGGCTGATTTTAGTTCAATGGACTGCCCTCCTGTACCTCCCTAGATTTCCTTAGACAACTTTTTTACCTTTTTTTGGCCTACTCAAGAACCAGATCCTAAAATAATTAGATCCTTGCTTTTGTATGGAAAGGAGATTAGGCAAAAAAAAATGGATATTGCAGAGCCAAGAGCAATAAGCAGGATAAGAGCTTGAAAAACCCTATGAGGCAAAGATAGGGTCTGTGGCAGGCAAAGTCCATGCTTTCCACCTACATCTACAGACTCCAAAAAATTCACCGTTTTCTTAGTCCTAAATTTGACTGGTGATTTTCAAAAATATTTTTTACTTTCATGATCTCAAAAGATTAAAGATTCCAGAGAAGGTGGGGAGAGAACTTCAAAAGTTTGCCTCACAACTCTTTTGGATCAAAGGGATTTTATTTTCCTGGCACTGAAGAACTAAAAGATACATAAAACGGCACAATATTTTATAGGGTTCCTTATGGATGGGCTATTCTTTAAATGCTGAGGAAGGAAACAAATAATGCACCAGACTATTTAATTAAACTGTGTCTAAAATCTGCGCTCCGCTGTATTAGAGGCACCTCCTCAGACTTGTAAACCAGTGGGCCAAAGTCAATTAAGAAGGACATGTCTACAAATGTTTCAACGATTACCAGTTACTTGCCTCTGACGCCCTCCCCTAATCTCCAGGACATAAATGGTGAACGAAAAATCAGTCACTTGATTTACCTCCAAGATCAATCTGAAGGACAAGTTTAGCACTTAAAACAACTGGTTTTGAAGAAGTGGTGACTTTCAGTTAGTAACAATATAGGATACCATGGTGAAGAAGGGAGAGAAACCAACCCAGGATCAGAGTCAAAGCTCTTCAAAGCTAGTCCTTATCTACCTCCCTGGCCTATTCCCTACCACCTGGGGTATACACTTTCTCTATCTTCTGTGGTTCCCAAGCCAGGGACAACAGTCACAAAACACTGCCTGCCTTCGCACACAAAGTTCCCTCTGGAATTTGAGGATGTGACTTTCTTCCAACGATCTATTCTAGTTTGTGCTCCCTTCCTCCTTTCCATGAGCCCTCTGCTCCCCAAACTATAAAAATGCCTTGTCCCTCCCAGCCTGGGTCTTTGTAGATGAGGCTATCCATTCCTTTCAGCCTCTTTACTCTGGCCTCATCCCAGAATAAGAACCTAAGACACTTTCTCCCTAGAAGTCTTACCAAATAAGTCCTACTCACTTGCCTTAAATCTTTAACCTCTGAGGACACAGGGCATTTTCTGTTTCATCCATACAGTTTCCTCCAACCATTTTAATTCAAGTTGCATGCTTCCTTACTATAGGTTTTAGGTACAGATTTAACACCCTGTCAGTTCTTCTATTGCCTCTTTCCAGGGTCTTATTTTAACTTTCTGTGATTTAAAAACTCTCTTTGTCATTCTGAGCCCATGTTTCTTTGTATAAGAATTAATTATGAGAAATGACTGATAAAATCACTCATTTTTGAATGATACAATGGTAATTTATAATCATGGTTGAAATGCTTGAGGTCACATTCTACTCCAGGCTGAAATGATCTGGTTCTTCTTAGCATATTTGATTGTGTAATTAATTTTATTTATTAGGCTTATGTTGGTAAGTTATATTTAAAAGTAAACGATTAAAACTTACGATAAAGTCCAGAACTAACAGCTATACCAAGAAACCATTCTGTGTTATACCTGCAATCGATGCTATGGAAGTTAAGGAATGTAACCCTTTGACAAAACTAGAAATGCATCCATCTGTACCAGCTGGAGTTTTAGAGGAATCCAATAAACAATACTTGTTGTGGACTGAATTGTGTCCTCCCAAAATTTGTCAAACTCCTAACCCTCAGTACCTCAGAATGTGACTGCTTCTGGAGACAAGGTCTTTAAAGAGGTAATTAAATTAAAATAAGGTCATTAGGGTGACCCTTAACCCAATGTGACAGGTGACTTAAAAGAAGAAGAGATTAAGACACAGACAGATACAGAGGAAAGATTACATGAAGACTCAGGAAAATGACGCCATCTACAAGCGAAGGAGAGAGGCCTCAGGATAAATCAACCCTACAGACACCTTAATCTCAGATTTCTAGCCTCTAGACTTGTAAGAAAATAAATTTCTGTTGTTTAAGTGATCAGTCTGTGGTGCTTTTTGTTATGGCTGCGCTGGCAAACTAATACAGTGCTCCTTCTCTTCTTTCAAGTTCAATCAAGTGGAAGACAGTGATAGGAGTCAGTCGTATCAAGAGGAAAGCACTATGTCTATGAGATAACTGGTTGAAGTTCATGCCTTTAGTTCTATGGTTCAATGGGCTAGCCTATACCTCCTTTCTAAATTAGACAAACTTTCCTACTCAGTTACTTGTGGAGTCAGATAACCTCAGGCCAGAGTCAGGTCCCTTACTGTGTGGCAGAGAACAGACCAGAATGTGTTCCTGGAAGATACAAAAGAGAAAGATGTTGTTGAGCTCACTTTTTTCTAGCAAATTTACCATTGACATGGGACTGAGGGGTACAGAGAGAGGCCAGGAGTGTTACTAGCAGAAGTAACTAAGAATGGAAACTCCATTCTTAGTGGGGGATAAGTGCCAACTATCACAATCTGCAGAGCTTTTGTTCTCTTAAGTCATTTGATGTAACCTCAGTGACTGTGGTCACCCAGGGATATGACTCTTCCTCTTAGAAGAGGAAAAGAGCAATCTAACTTCCCAGTGCTGATTTTATCTGCATATGATCTCATTCCCGTAAATTCTATAGAAGATCATCTGGGTTATCTGGAGAAAGAGAAGACATTCTGTCTCACCCAGAGGCCAGTTGATGTCTATGGTTCAGAATGGAAAGTCAGGAGGTTAATTGTGGAATTGTGTTCAGCATATCTGAAGGGGGTAGTGAGAGTGAATCCTTCTATGCTACTCTCCCAGTGAAGGGCAGCTGTGATATTTTAGCTTTCTTACATAACTCAGAACTTTGTATCAAAGGCGTCCCACAAGCTTAAGGTGTCTTTCTTTCCCACCTGCTGAATCCAAGACCGTTAATGCTCATTCCATTTACAGTTTTCTATTGTTGGTCCTGGGTGCAGGCTCTATCCAGTGATTTTATTTCCTATGCTCTAGAGTTACTTACATCCACAAAGCCTACTTCCTGGGATAATTTTGCACTGGTCCCTACATTTGCTTCATGGGGTCAGTCGACCCAGCAGGTTCTTAAACTGAAGGTGCTATTGGCATTTCTGAAGCCTGACTTCTGAACGCCTAGTGTTGACCACTACATATCTCTGCCACATGTACCTCAGTTTTTAATATTACAGTAATGAAGTAACATAAATTTCTGTTACTCTTTTTATGCAGTAGAGTCCTGTGTGTTCAATGTGAATTTCTCCAATTTTTTAGGAGGAACTTTATTTGAACAACTAAGTTTGTTGCTATCTTTTTTCTCTAGCATATCTCTAGTTAGCACGTTCGATGGATCTGAGTGGTTTTTTTTTTAATCTCTCTGTTTTTTTCTCCCTTTGCTCTCAGACTGAGACAGTGAGTTTTTGCTTGCTTATCTGTTCGTTTTTAAATATGCTTTTTGTTGTTGTTGTTGTTGTTGTTTTTGTGGTTTTTTGTTTGTTTGTTTGGTTGGTTTTTATTCAGGAGGTACATGTGCAGGTTTGTTGCACTGATGCTGTGGTTTGGGCTTTAATTGAACCCATCTCCCAAATAGTGAACATAGTACACAGTAGATAGTTCTTCAACTTTTGCCCTCTCTCTCCCTCTTTTGGAGTCCCCAGTGTTTATTGTACCCATCATTATGTCCATGTGTACCCAATGTTTAGCTCCAAATTATAAGTGAGAACATGCAGTATTTTGTTTTCTGTTACTGTGTTAATTCACTTAGGATAATGGCCTCTAGCTGCATCCAGCTTGCTGCAAAGGATATTATTTTGTTCTTTTTTATGGTTACATAGTATTCCATGGTGTTTATGTACTAAATTGGGTAAATTTTCTTTATCCAATATACTGTTGATGGGTACCAAGGTGGATCCCATTCGTTTGCTATGTGAGTAGTGCTGTGATAAACATGTGAATGCATTTGTCCTTTTGGCAGAATGATTTACTTTCCTTTGGGTATATACCCAGTAATGGAATTGCAGGTTGAATGATAATTCTATTTTTAATTCTTCAAGAAACCTCCAAACTGCTTCCACAGGAGCTGAACAAATGTTTGCCTGAGAGCTAAGACTAAAGATAAGCCCTGCCCACAAACACAGAATTAGAAGTTGAAAATTGAGGGGAGATGTTGATTGGGGAAAAAAAAAACATGTAGAAAGTCATATAGGAAACCTTTCATAAGGTTTCAAATGGACAATAAGATCACCAAATATTTGAAAAAAATCAAATACAAAATAAAAGACAGATATTCATAAGCAATTACTGACTATGAGAAATAGGTATTTATTATTCAAATATAGGATGAAAACATTTTAGAAAATATAACTAATAGCACCAGGAAATGTCAAATATAATGGATCTGTAAAATAGAAAGAGATTTCATTTTTTTAAATGAGCATCATAGTATCAGAAAGAGTTTATGGAAATGCAAGTATAATCCCGAAGTCCTAAAAATTAAAGCCAAAGAAACTACCCTGAAACTAAAATAAAAATATCAGAAAAAGAAAATATAAAAGAAGAGTTAAGAAACATCAGGGATAAAACCAAAAGTTCAACATCTGTCTTATAGGAGTTCCAGAAAAAGAAAACAGAAAGGAGGAAATATAAAGAGGGAGGAGGAAGAGAAGAAGGAAGAGGACGTGGGAGGACTAGAAAAGGGGGGAGGAAAAAAAGATTTCTTAAAGCCTAAGAAAGACGCTAGTGTTTACATCAGAAAGATAGTAGAACAAGAGGTCACCAGCCCATGTCCCACCAAAAAAACCAAATATTTGGCTGCTATCCTTGGAATGAACTGTGTTTTTGGAAACTTTGGAATCTAGGTAGAAGGTTGCAAAAGCCCAGTAGAGACCAAGACCAAGGAGGGTTGCTTTGAGAAAGCAAGTCCATGCACCACTAGCAGGCCTGCCATCTGTGGTTCTGGCTACAGACCAGAAGCAGTCATATCCCCCTGGCCAAGGGAACCAGGAGTATCCAGGCCTCTAGGTTACAAGCATGCTGACTTCAGACCCAACTGTGTTGTCTGAGAAAAGTCTCATGACTTTACTCCAGCCCCACTCTACATGGATCACAAAGAACCAGGCAAATGTGACACTACCAAAAGAAACTAATAAAAGCTTTAGTAACCAACCCTAAAGTAAAGGACTGATTGACAAAGAATTCATGAACTGATTGACAAAGAATTCAAAATAAATGTGTTAAACAAACTCGATGAGCTACAAGAGAACAGAGATAGACAACTAAGTGAAATTAGAAAAATAACACATGAATGAAATAAGAAGTCTGTCGAAGAAATAATAAACATTAAAAAGATCCAAATAGAAATCCTAGAGCTGAGAATAAAATGATTGGTCTGAAATGTAATACAGAGTCTCAGTCATGAAGGAAAATAAACAATGACTGAACTCAAAGACAGGTTATTTGAAATTATTAAGTTAGAGGGAAAAATGATTAAAAAGGGTGAGGAAAGCTTATGTGACTAATGGGAACATTAAGTGAACCAATATATACATTATGGATGTCCTAAAAGAAATAGAGAAACTGAAGGGAAAAGAAAGCTTATTTAAAGAAATAATGACAGAAAACTTCCAAAACCAGAGAATAGAATTGAACATCCATAGTCTTAGTGCCCAGAAAATCCCTAATAGGCTAAACATTAAGAGATCTGCAGATACAATGCAATTCTTTTGAAAATTGCAGTGGCATTTTTCAAAGAAATAGAAACAACAATCGTAAATACATATGAACCAGAAAGACCCCAAGTAGCCAAAGCAATTTTGAGCAAAAATAACAAAACTAGAGGCATCACACTTACTGATTTTAAATTATACTATAAAGCTACAGTAATCAAAATGGTACAATACTGGCATAAAACCAGACACATAGATCAATAGAATGAAATTAACCCAGTCAACTAATTTTCAACAAGGGTAAAAGAATATGCTCTGAGGAAACGATACTCTCTTTAATAAATGTGCTGGTAAAACTGTATATCCACATGCAGACTAATGAAATTTCACCCTTATCTCACACACAATATAAAAAAATCAACTCAAAAAATGAATTAAAGACTTAAACATAAGACCAGAAACTGTCAAGCTCCTGGAAAGAAACAAAGGGGAAAACATTGGTTTAGGCAATGATTTTTTGGATATTACCCCAAAAGCACAGGCAACAAAAGCAAAAATAGACAAGTTGAACTGCATGAAAATAAAAAGCTAAGCACAGCAAAGGAAAAAAATCAACACAGTGAGACAACCTACAGTATGGGACGAAATATTTGTAACCCATGTATCTGATAAGGGCTTACCATCTTAAGTAGATGAGGAACTCCCACAACTCAATAGTAAAAATTTTTTTAAAAAAGTTAAAAAGTGAGGAAAGGACCTGAATAAGCATTTCTCAAAAGAAGATATACAGATATGAAAAGGTGCTCAGCACCAATCATCTTGGAAATGCAAATCAAAACCACAGTGAGGTAATAACTCACACTTTCTAGAATGACTGTAATCAAAAAGACAAAAGGTAACAAGTGTTGATGAGAATATGAAAAAGGGAGAACCCTTACACATTGTTCGTGGGAATGTATATTGTTACAACCATTACGGAAAACAATATGCAGTTTCCTCAAAAAGTTAAAAATAGAACTAACATGATCCAGAAATCCTACTTGTGGGTATGTATCTAAAAGAATTAAAACCAGGACTCAAAAAAATACCTGAACTCCTAAGTTCATTACAGCATTATTCACAATAGCCAAAATATGGAAACAACACAAATGGCCATCACTGGATGAATGGCTAAAGAAAATGTGACTTATATATGCCATGCAATATTATTCCACCTCAAAAAAGAAGCAAATCCTGACATATGTGAAAACATGAATAGATCTAGAGGATATTATGCTAAGCAATGCATGATCTCACTTATATGTGGAATTTAAAATAATCAAACTCATGGAAGCAGAGAGTAGAAAGGTAGTTGACAGGAGCTGGAAGTGGGAGAAATGGTGAAATGCTGGTCAAAATGTCAGCTATACTGAATGAGTAAATTCCGGCGATCTACTGTATGGCATGGTGACTGGAATTAATAATACTGTATTATATACTTGAAATTTTCTAAGAGAGTAGCTCTTAAGTGTTTTCATCACCAAAAAAAGTGATATTATGCTAGGTGATAGATACATTAATTTGCTTGATTGTGGTAATTATTTTACTATATATGTCTATCAAAACATCACATTGTACACCTTAAGTATATATAATTTTATTTGTCAATTATACCTCAATAAAGCTGGAAAAGTAATTTAAAAAAAGAAAGATGCTAGTCTCCAAACTACAATCAAATCCCACTCTTAGACACATCTTAGACTTAGGGTAACAAAAATTTTGAAATATCCTTAAATCTTCAGAAGAGAAGTGGTGTCCATGTTTATTTACAAATGAACAGCAAGCAGATTACTAGTGTCCTTATGAGAATGCTAGATGGAAATAAGCCAAATTCTAAGAGATATGAGTTTTGTATCTAAAATTCTATGGCCAGCACAACAGTCAGATTTTTGTTTTATACACCCTTTCTGAAAAGTATTCCTGTGAATGAAACTGGATCTATGAAAAAAAGAAGCATGAGGTCCAAGAAAGAGGGAAACTATGCTACAAAGAAAATGAAATCTCAGGGCAACAGCTGTTTAGTCAGTCAAAACTGGAAATGAAGACTAAAGGTTCTGAAAAAGTCACTTTAAGAAGAAAGTGGATATTATTCAACAAGCTGAGAAAAAAGTGATATGCCAAAGTTTATTTTTAATAAGTGAACATTCACTGGCAGAGACTGTTTTGCTATACGAACAGAAAAGATCTGAGTGTGGGTATGTGCACGTGTGTGTGTGCGTGTGTGCACACGTGCATGTACGCACACTTCTCAGAATAACAAAAGAACATGCAAAGTGTATCTGGGAAATCAGTGCTAGCATTAGATTAACCTGTAAATTTTATTATGTCCTGTAATCAGTGTAAAACCTGAAGCTTTAAAAATGGACTTAAAGTGGTAGGAAAATGAAATGGCATAACAGCACACAAAAGCAACAAGTAGAAAGGAAAGCTAATAAGAATTTTTATGTAGGCCCATGGGAAAGTTGTTAATATTTGTTGAGCATTTGTGATTTATTGTTAGTTACCTTATGAGCTGTTTTTCAGTCATCATCAGTTTAATCTTCACAACAATATTTTGAAGTGGTTATGATTATCCCAGTTTTTACTTATGAAGTGGTTGAGTAACTTGCCCCAGGTCACAAAATGGTAAGTAGCAAAATCAGCCTTCTTGAACAGGCCTGATTATTATTAAAAATTCCAGGCTTTCTCTTCTCCATTCTACCTGCATAAGGGATACATAAACTTAATTTAGCACGTGGGAGGCTTTAATTATGACTGACGAAGGACACAAGAGTCATTTCAAATACTTCCCTAATAGTTTGAAATCCAATATGACTCATGCTGGGGCATCCTCAGGAAAAAGAAATATTTCCTTTCCTTTGTACACAGCAATAAAATTTCATCTAAAATTCTTATCCATATACCTCAGGAAAAACTTTACAAAATCAGAGGAAGATCAGGAAAAAGCAATTAAAATGACCAAAGGGCTAGATGGGCCATTATATAAAGTTAGATTGAAAGGATTGTGAAATGATTGGTATAAAGGAAATCATTAAGACTGTAAACAAGAATGTTCATTAGATCAAGCAGATGTCTCAAAACGCTTCTCAAAAGGGAAAATTTAGAAAAAGTAAAGGAAGAAATAACCCAATTTTAAAAGGACAAATGACTTAGCATTGTTCCAAAGTTACACAAAGGACCAAGAAACCCATGACAACATGTTCAACATCACTAGTTTTCAAGGAAATGCAAATCCAAGCCATAAGGAGATAACACTTCATAACCAGTAGGATGGCTATAATAAAAAAGACAATAACAGGTGTTGGCAAAGAGGTACAAATATAAGGACCCTCATTCTTTGCTTGTAGGAAAGTAAAATGGTGAACTCACTTTGGAAAACAGTTTGTCAGCTCCTCAAAAATATAAACATAGAATTATGATATTACTCAACCATTCCATTTTCACATGTACATCAAAATGAAATGAAATATGTTCACAAGGAAAAATTGCACATTAATGTTCACAGTAGCATTACTCATAGTAGCCAAAAAGTGGAAACAAGCCAAACATCCATTAACTGATAAATGTCCCCTTTACTATTCCCTTTGCTTTTTTCAAGTGGGACTATCTCCCCATAGCCCCCACAGCTGGGAACGTGCTGGATCACACTTGAAGTCAGCATGTCTCAGAGTCTCTTTCAAGGCCCATGGCAAGTACTACCTCATTACTGCTGCTGATTATTCAGGGCCCAAGGGCTCTTTAGTCACAAGGTTATGAATCCTGCCAGGACTGGGTCCTCCCCTTCAAGGCAGTAGGTCCTCTACTGTCCCAGGGTGTGTCTTGAAATATTATCCAGGAGCTAGGGTCTGGAATAGGTGCCTCATGACTCTGCCCGGTGCCCTATCCCACTGTGGCTGAGCTTGTATCTAAGTTGCAAGATAAAGTCCTCTTTGCTCTTCCCTCTTCTCTGCTTAAGCAGAAGGAATGAGTCTCTTTCAGAGGTGTGAGCTGCACCGCCTGGGTTTGGGAGTAGGGTGGCACAAGCACTCCCTTAACTGCCCTAGTTCATGTCTCACTTTGGAAAATATGCCCCCCAAGTCCACCAGCTCCAAGCCCAGCACAACACTAAGACTTGCCTAGGAGTTGCAGTCCTTGTGGCTTAGACCGCCTTTCAAGTTTATTTAGAACCCAGAACACTTTAGCCCACAGTGGTGAGGCTTGCAAAACTGAAGTTCCAATGGCTAGGATGGGCAATTCTCCTCTAGCAGGGCTTGTCTAAATACTCCCTCCTTAAGCATCAGCTGTGTTCTGCCCAGTGTTGGCAGCAGTGAGTTCTAACGCAAAGTCCCACAACCACTGCACTCTCCCTCCCCAAAATGCATAGATTCTCCACACCACATGGCTGCTGCTGGGCGTTGGGGGAGGGGTAGTGTTGGCAAATTAAGGCTGTCTTTCCTACCCTGTTTAGCGTCTCTTTCAGCGCTGTGAAGTTAAAACCAGGTAGTATGGTCACTTACCTGATTTTTGGTTCTTATGATGGCTAACCAAATGTCACCAAAATATTCAACCTAAATTTGTTGTTTCTGCAGGAGGGATGACTATGAAGCCTTCCATTTGGCCATCTTGCCCCTCTCCATTTTCTGTTTTTAGTTTTTAAAGAAATCTTCTTACTTTTTTCCATAGTGGCTGTACTAGTTTAGATTTGCACCAACAGTGTATAAGAGTTCTGCTTTCTCCATATCCTCCCCAACATCTGTTATTTTTTGTGTTTTTAATAATAGTCATTCTGACTGCAATAAGATCTCATCATGTTTTGATTTGCATTTCTCTGACAATTTGTGATGTTGAGTATTTTTCCATATACCTGTTAGCTATTTGTGTGTCTGCTTTTGAGAAATGTCTATTCATGTCCTTTGCCTACTTTTTAATGGGATTATTTGGGATTTTTTTCCTGTTGACTTGAGTTCCTTGTGTATTCTAGACATTAGCTTGGATATTAGTTGAATTAAGAGTTTGTGAATATTTTCTCCCATTCAACCAGTTATCTCTTCATTCTGTTATTTCTTTTGCTGTGCAGAAACTTTTTAGTTTAGTTAGATCCTATTTGTTTATTATTGTTTTTGTTGCCCATGCTTCTGAAGATTTAGTCATAAATTCTTTGCTTAGACCAATATCCAGGAGAATTTTCCCTAGGTTTTCTTCTAGTATTTTTATAGTTTTAGGTCTTATGTATAAGTTTTTGATCTGTTTTGAGTTGATTTTGGTTTATGGTGAGATAGGTGTCCAGTTTCATTTTTCTGTGTTTGACAAACTGATTCCAGAGTATATATGGAGAGTCAAGAATATCCAACACAATATTGGAGGAGGAAAATAAAGTTGGAGAACTGACATTACTCAACTTCAAGACTTACTATAAAGCTACAGTAATCCAGACAATAGGGTATTAGCAAGATAACAGACAGATAGGTCAGTGGGACAGAATAGAGAGCCCAGAAATAAATCCACATAAATATAGTCAATTGATCTTTGACACAGGAACAAAGGTGATAAAATGGAGCAAATGTAGTATTTTCAACAAATAGTGCAGAGACAACTAGGCATCGAAATGCATAAAAATGAATATATTCACAATAGCCAAGATATGATATCAACCTAAGTGTATATCAGTGGATAAATAGATAAAGAAAATGTGGTATATATATATAGTGGAATACTATTTAGCCTTTTAAAAAAGAAAAACCTGTAGTTTGTAACAACCTGGAAGAACCTGGATAACATTATTTTAGTGAAATAAGCCAGGCACAGAAAAGCAGTTAACATATGATCTTACTTATATGTGGAATCTAAAACAAACTCATAGAAGCAGAGAGTAGAATGGTGATTACCAGAAGCTGGGAGTAGAGGGTAGATTGAGGAGATGTTAGTCAAATGATATAAAATATCAGTTAGACAGGAAGAATTAGTTCAAGAGATCCACTGTACAACATGGTGACTATAGTCAATAACAATGTATTGCATATACTTGAAAATTGCTAGGAGAATAGATTTTAGGTGTTCTCACCATAAACAAAAAAATAAGTGTGTGAGGTAATGCAGATGTTAATTGGCTTGATTTGGCCATTCTACAAAAAATACATATCAAAACATCAAGTTGTGCACCATAAATATATACAATTTTTGTCAAGAAAGATAAATATAAAGCAAATCTAGATATAGAGCATGCACCCTTCACAAAAATTAATGCAAAATGGCTTACAGACCTAACTGTAAAATATAAAACTACAAAACTCCTAGAAGATAACACAGGAGAAAATCTACATGACCTTGGGTGTGACAATGACTTTTTAGATATAACATCAAAGGCATGATTCATGAAAGAATTGATATGCTCTACTTTATTAAAATTAAAAACTTTTCAGCAAAAGACTACCAACAGATGAAAAGACAAGCCACAGACTGGGTGAAAATATTTGCAAATACTGAGAATTCTAAAAGTATTTACACATAGAATTCGAAACAAAATGAAAACTATCACAATGCAGGTAAAACAATCAAAAGAAATATTACAGTCCTTACTCCTAACAAAAACAAAACTCCCACAAGCACACACCCAAGACAAATTTTATGTGAATGGAAAATCAGTTGTTCAAGTCTTTTTTTTTTTTTTTTAAAAAAAAAGAAGTCATTGCAATATTATTTCATTGATGTTGAGAGATGATGAGCAATTGTTTGTTCAATGAACATTCAAGTAGCATAGTTTATCAAAGAGTCTCACCACAGTGCAGTTTTATGTGTGCTGCACAGCTGGAAGCAAAAATGCACACAAAAGAGAAAAAACAAACCACAGAACTATTCAGCTGAGACAGTCAAGCAGCAATGAAAGCAGTCTGGATTTTTTTTTTCCTTTTCCACATAAAGATACCATTTGGTTGAATAAACAGGGCATTCTCTGCATTTAAAATAAACTTAATTTTCAAACAGCAGAGGGAAAGGGGGAAATGAAACTAAACCAAACATAAAACAAAACCAGAGATCGCTAAGAAAGGGACTTCAAATCAAATTTTTATTTTAATTAAGACAACACCCGACAATAGAAATCTGAGAAGGACATTGACACAAAAAACACCTTTTTCTTCAAATTCAACTAATCAATTCATGAGAATGGCATCCAACTACCTACATATGGAAAAGATCTTTGTGTGCCCAAGTGGACAATGTGACAAGGGAAGCTTTTGTTGTTGAGGAGTTGTGGTGGTTACTTACAGAAAACCTAAAAACAACGTGTGCTTCCCTCCTCTCTAACTCATAACTACAACCCAGGAGGTTATAAAAACAAACGCACATTCTTCCGAGTCTAAACAACTCCTTTGAAGTATCTTGTGCCACAAGAAATGCACCTCTGTCCCATTCTGCAAAGAGGGCATAGGAAGATTACTGGAAGGACTCCTCTGAGGAGGGAAAGTCTTTCTTGCATATTTTAGAAATCTGTGGCTGCCTCAAGGGATGTCCATTACTCTAATCTTGCCAAAACCTCAGTTGCTTCTCAGGCTCTGGCCAAAAGGCAAAGCTTCTCCAACATGTTCTGATTATTGGATTAATCTTTGCTCATCAATCTTTGTTGATTCATTACCTTCTTTAGCAAAGGATATCAGCACTAATCAGACCAAACTATGACCACAATCTGCCTCTTTTACCTTAAGGAAATGTAACTTTCCAAAGCTAGACAGTAGGGGATAAACAGGAAATATGACCAACTTGAAACTGGGAGGTGAAGCACTCCAGCAAGTGAGCTAAGATATTCATGACTGCCCCAATTCCTATAGCAATGAGAGGCTAAAGAGAAAGCAAGAGCGAGCCCAAGAAAAGCAATGCTCAGATTTCTCCTCTTCTGGCTGTATAAACTTCTTTGAAGCTTTAAGAATTAGCTAGAACAAAAGGTAATGGCTCTGAGAAGTGGAGATTTTTCTGGCAATAGGAAAAAGAAAAACTGAGCCTAAAGAACAGATGAATTTGTGAATGATTTGTTTCTAGGAATATAGACTTAATGATTCCTTCCCTACTCTCTATCTATCTTTCTCTTTTGCTTATGTAACACTGAAAGAAGGAAGAAGAGCTAAGGATTTTTTTAATTAACAATTTTTAAATTTTTTAAAACAGAATGTATTTGCTTAAAATGAAGGGAACAGCTTAAAAGTTTTGTAGTATTTTTAATAGTCTTACAGAATTAGTAAAACAGAGATTGGAATCTAGGGCTCAACAAAATGAGATGGCCTTGGCAAACCCCCAATGCTTTGTTTGAGAACTCAAAGAGTTAATCTTAGAATTAAAAATAAAGGGATGTAGTCAGCTTCTTGCAGAAGATTTGTCTCAGCTTGGAATCATCATTAGATTAAGATAATCCCATTTTTCTAAAGTATCCGGCTTCCTAGAGTGATGGCCTCACACATCTGACAAACATAAATTCTCTGTGGCAAAGAATAACCTTATGGTAGGCTTCAAATTATTTTTATAAACTACTTTAAAACTATATTTTTCAACACAGTTCAAAGTAACCAAACATACCAGGAGACAAGATATCATAAAAAGAAAGGCAGCAGGAAGAAAATGATAGAAAGGCCGGGTGCGGTGGCTCATGCCTGTAATCCCAGCACTTTGGGAGGCTGAGGCGGGCGGATTGCTTGAGCTCAGGAGATCGAGACCAGCTTGGGCAACACAGTGAAATGCTTGAACCTGGGAGGAGGAGGTTGCAGTGAGCCAAGATCGCGCCGCTGCATTCCAGCCTGGATGACAGAGTGAGACTCTGTCTAAAAAAAAGAAAAAGAGAGAGAGAGAGATCGAGGCCATCCTGGCCAACATGGTGAACCCATCCCTACTAAAAATACAAAAATTAGCCGGGCGTGGTGGGGTGGTGGTGGTGGGCGCCTGTAATCCCGGCTACTCTGGAGGCTGAGGCAGAAGAATCGCTTGAACCTCGGAGGCGGAGGTTGTAGTGAGCTGAGATCACACCACTGCACTCCAGCCTGGTGACAGAGCGAGACCCCGTCTAAAAAAAAAAGATAGAAATAGATTATATATGTTGGGGTTATACAAGGCGGATTCTAACATAATGCTCCTTAATAAGCTTAAGGAGATAAAAGTAGGATAACCAATTCATTCCAATTTGTCTGGAATTTTCTGAGTTTTGGTATTGAAAGTCCTGTGTCCCAGGAAGTCCCTCATTCCTGGTAAACCAAGAGGGTTGGTCACCCTAGAAAAGAAAATGTTGAGAATTTCAGCAAAGAACTAGAAAATATAAGAATATGTAAACTCTATACATGGAAAGTACTATAACCGAAATTAAGAACTTGATAAATGGGTTTAATAGCACATTAGGCACTCTGAATAGAGAAATAGTAAAATGAAGACAGATCAGAAAAAATATCTAGAAAGAAAAAATATCAAAAAGGAAGATAAAAGGAACAAAAATACTAAGAAGAGGACAAGGAGTATAGAGAAGAGGCCTAAAATACATGTAATTCGAGTTGCAAAAGAAGAGCAGAGAGAAACTGGGTCAGCCTCAATATTTAAAAATATAATGGTTGAGAATATTTATGGTTTGATTAAAGACATCAAGCCATAAACTGAAAAGCGCCATGAACCATAAGCAGGAGGAAATGGAAGGCCCATCATAGCAAAAGTGCTGAAAACGAAGGAAAAGAGAAAATTTTTAAGTTGCCAGCAAAAATAAGAGAGGACTTACTGTCAATATATAGGCACTTTACCTGATATCTAACTTCTAAAAAGAAATAATAAGATTCAAAACAATTTTAAAAACATCCCTGAAGAAATAAAAGATAAAAACCTCCAGGACATCTATAGGACAGTATCGGTCACCTACATCTAAATCTTTTAATAAATCCTTCTAAAACTATACAGAAAAACAAGGAGAGCAAATGAATTGACATGTAACTATGCTTAGTGCATGACAGAGGATATTACAAACATAAAGTTCCATGCGAGTTGGAAAACAAACACTTCAAATCCAGCAGAGCCAGCTTCAGTGCACGTACTACAGTAGCAACAAAGGAAGTCTGAAAAATTAAATAAATAAAGTGCATTATGATGTTAACAGTGATAAAAATTAAATCACACAATCTTCCAAAAATGAGTTCAACACTGAATGGAGAAATTCTTAGAACAGGTCTGAGACCCGGCAGATTTCCCTGAAATGGGGGTAATAGAAAGAGAAAAGAGTGTCGAATCAGGGGTTGGGTTCTCACGAAGGTACCACTCTGAGGTCAGAGAGAACTTCAAAGTGGTGGTAGTACTTTTTAGTCTTGGTGACCATGGGAAAGAATTATAAGCAGTGAAAATTAAGGTCCTACCAAAAAAAAATTCTCAAATTCAGAAGACATACACACTTTTCCAAGCCACACCTCCTCCTCCACAAAAAAGAACACCATCTTTTCTAAATTGCACTTTATTATACCAACGAAGGATGTTCATAAGAAACCTGGTAATCCACCCAGACCCATCATATCTGCCTACTATTGTTTGGCAGAAATAAATACATTTTAAAATGCACAGAAAATAGCAACAATATCTATGCAAGTTAGTATTAGAAAAAAAACAGAAAGTGAGAATCAAGTATTTCAGATGATGAAAATTCTCACCATAAGACATCCATAAAATACAACACCTTAAACTGAAATAAATATCTTTAAGTGAGTATTTTCAGATGTTTTTAGGTTGTAGTAGAACATTTTAAAAACATAAAGCAAAAAAGACATAAAAACATAACCATAAGAAACAAGAGTTGACAGAACTCAGAAGAAACTAAGAAAAGACAAAATTTTCTGAAAATGAAAAAACTGGAAGATGTCAAAGGGAGAATAGATCCAATGAAGCTATAATAAGAGGAATTGAGAAGAAGAATGAAAACAACTGAGTAAAAAATAACATAATCATGTCAGAAATACATAGAATCAAGCCAGACATGGTGGCTCACACCTGTCAGGTAAAACCCGGTCTCTACGAAAAAACAAAACATAGCCAGTTGTGTTGACACTCACCTGTAATCCCAGCTACTCAGGTGGCTGAGGTGAGAGGATCACCTGAAATTGGGGAGACTGAAGCTCCAGTAAGTTGTGATCATACCACTGCACTTCAGCCTGGGTAGCAGAGTGAGACCCTGTCTCAAGAAGAAAAAAAGAAAAGGCAAAAAAGAAGGAAAGAAAGAAAGAAATAGAATCAGACTGAAAGAATTGGATATAAAAGACAGGCAAAGAAGATCCAACAGATATAATGGGAATCCTAAAGAAAAAGAAAATGAAAGCAATGGAACTGAATAAATACTTAAAACCACAATAAATAAAATTTATGTAAAGAAAAGAATACCAATCTATACTTGAAGGAGCCATCCATGTTCCTAAAAATTTTACTTGCCAAGATATTCCATAATAAAATTATTAGACTTAAAAGAGAAAAGTGATTCTGTACCAATAGACAAAAGACCAAGTGACTTACAAAGGAAAGATCTGTAGGTTATTGAAAGATACTGCAACAGAAACATACAAAGAAAGACATCCGTCGTGCAATATTTTCAAGAAAGGAGTAAAGAAAATGTGAATGAAGAACTTTATATCTGACCAA
The DNA here is from genome assembly GCF_000001405.40 of Homo sapiens. NCBI lineage: Eukaryota > Metazoa > Chordata > Mammalia > Primates > Hominidae > Homo > Homo sapiens. The sequence continues at coordinate 42,311,008 of NC_000007.14, read as the reverse complement.
GCTGTCCATGAAATACCAAGGCTATTTTATATGTGCACAATCTCAGGATATATTGTACTCACAAGCTATTCTTAAGGAAGCTACTAGAGGACAAGCTTTATATAATCAAGAGATAGCCAGATAAGCTTTAGCAAAGGAGTGATAATAATCGAATATGTTTAAGTCTAAGGCTAAAAGAAAGATGGAGACAAAGAAGAAAAAATAGTATAAAATATTATATGTTATGACAAAGTAGGAACAGCTAAAATAAATGGAAAGACACAGAAGATAAAAAGAATAAATTAGAAAAGATAAAACTATTTCATAGATAATTTGTGGGAGTCAAATAATATCATTTAAAATAGACAAAACTGAATAGTAGAAGTCTAAGTAAATAAAACTAAGTACTGAGGACATTATATAATATAATAGCAATAGTAATAAGATAACTAATATGACAAATATGACACCAGACACCAAAGTTGCCAATACCTTCATCTTGGACTTCCCAGGCTTCAGAACTGGAAGAAATGAATTTCTACTATGTATAAATTGCTGAGTTTATGCAATTTTGTTATATCAGCAGGAATGGACTAAGATACAGCCTGAACTGAATAAAACAATAAGTAATGTTATAAAAATCCTAAACAATAATCATTAAGGTAGTACATTGGGGGTATGTATTGAAAGTTTCATATTTATGAAGTTTTGTTAACTTTTTCTAAAGCATAAATGGACCAATCACAGAGACATACTATATCTTATTAGAGCACAAAGAAAATTTCAATACATTATAGGCAAGTTCTAAGGAAAAATTAATAGCAAAATTCTAAAGCCATTAAAAATGTTTTTAAAAACCTCTCTACTAAACAACTCATGTGAAAAGTGAAAAAGATTGAAATTGCAGAATGTCTAGCATATGATAATAACACTAAATATTGGATATATAGAATACAAATAAATAAGGAAAACTGATAGCCTTAAACAACAGCCTTACAAAAATAAAAATTAAAGAATAAAGGTGTAAATATTAAATCATAACCTCTGCTGAACTAAAGAAAAATGTAAACCAAAAAGAACAGAAATAAAATAAAAGCAGAACGAATATGGTAGAAAATAGAGAAATAATACAACTAATGAATAAATGAAAATGCTCTTTCATTGAGGAAAAAAATCATCAATATAGACAAACTACTGGGACACATATTTAAGGAAAAATAAGAAATGCGCTGGGCACGGTGGCTCACACTTGTAATCCCAACACTTTGGGAGGCTGAGGTGGGCAGATGACAAGGTTAGGCGTTTGAGACCAGCCTGACCAATATGGTGAAACCCCATCCCTACTAAAAATACAAAAATTAGCTGGTCGTGGTGTTGTGCACCTATAGTCCCAGCTACTCAGGAGGCTGAGGCAGAAGAATCTCTTGAACCCAGGAGGCAGAGGTTGCAGTGAGCCGAGATCGCACCACTGCACTCCAGCCTAGGCAACAGAGCAAGACTCCGTCTCAAAAAAAAAAAAAAAAAAAGAAATGACAAAGGACCAATAACCATTAAAATAAATGACATTTTCAAAATTATAGGCACTACTTTGCACTACTCTGTAAATAAATTTGAAAACCAAGATGAGCTGAAATGCATCTTGATCATGGTGAATGGTCCTTTTAATGTGCTGTTGAATTTAGTTTGCTAGTATTTTATTGAGGATTTTTGCATTTATGTTCATCAGGCATATTAGCTTGTAGTTTTCTTTTTTGTAATTTCCTTGTTGGTTTGAGTGTCAGGGAAATGCTGGCCTCATAGAGTGAATTTGGAAGTATTCCTTCCTTCTCAGTTTTTTGAAATAGTTTGAGTAGAATTGGTATTCTTTAAATATTTGGTAGAATTCAGCAGTGAATCTGTCAAGTCCTGAGCTTTCTTTGATGGGAAACTTTATATTATTGCTTTGATCTTGTTATTCATCACTGGTCTGTTCAGGTTTTCTATTTCTTCATGATTTAAACATAGCATGCTGTATGTGTCCAGGATTTTACCCATTTCTTCCAGGTTTTACAATTCGTTGGTGTATAGTTAGTTGTTCATGGTAATCTCTTGTGATCCTTTGTATTTCTGTGATATCAGCTGCAATGTGTCCTTTTTCTCTCTAATTTTATTTAGTTGAGTTTCTATTTTTTTGAAGGCTAGCTAAGGTTATGTCAATTTTGTTTATCTTTTCAGTAACCCAGCTCTTTGTTTCATTGATTTTTTCATATTTTAGAACCTATTTGTTTGTTTATGCTCTAACCTTTGTTATTTATTTCCTTCTTTTCTCTCATTTCTTGATTGTTCTTACTTTTCTGGTTCCTTGAGGTGTAATGTTAGGTTGTTTATTTAAGATCTTTCAACTTTCATGATGTAGGTGTTTGTTGCTGTAAACTTTCCTTGTAGCATTGCTTTGATGTATCCATAGGTTTTGGTATGTTGTGTTTGCATTCCCATCAAAATACCAATGGCATTCTTCACAGAAATAGGAAAAATAATCTTAAAATTCATATGCAAATACAAAAGACCCTAGACAGGCAAAGCTATCTTGAGCAAACAGAACGAAGCTCAAAGCATCACACTACCTGACTTCAAAAGATAGTACAAAGCTATAGTAACCAAAACAGCATGGTACTGGCATAAAAATAGACACATAGATCAATGAAAGAAAATAGAGAACCCTGAAATAAATCCGTTCATTTACAGCCAACCAATTTTCAACAAAGTCACCAAGAACATGCAATGAAGAAAGGGTAGTTTCTTCAATAAGTGTTATTGGGAGAAAACTGGATATCCATACGAAGAAGAATGAAAATAGACCTCTATCTCTCACCATTTACAAAAATCATCTCAAAATGAATTAAATACTTAAATGTAAGACCTGAAACTATGAAACTACTAGAAGGAAATGTTTTATGAAATTGGACTGGGCAAAGAGTTTTTTAATAAGACCTCAAAAGCATAGGTGAAACAAGTAAAAATAGACAAATGAGATTACATCACACTATGAAACTTATTCATAACAAAGGAAACAATCAGTAGACTGAAGAGGCAATATACAGAATGGGAGAAAGTATTTGCAAACTATGCGCCTGATTAATATCTAGAATACATTAGGAACTCAAACAACTCAATAGCAAAAATGACAGCAACAGTTCTTTAAAATTTTATTTAAAAATGGGTGAAAAGCCTGAACACACTGGGTGCAGTGGCTCATGCCTGTAATCCCAGCACTTTTGGAGGCCAAAGGAGACGAATCACTTGAGTCCGGGAGCTCAAGATCAACCTGGGCAATGTGGTGAAACCCTGTCTCTACAAAAAATATAAAAATTAGCTGGACATGGTGGTGTGCAGGTGCAAGGACTGCTTAAGCTCAGGAGGCAGAGGTTGCAGTCAGCCAAGATAGCACCACTGTACTGTAGTCTGTGTGACAGAGTGAGAACCTGTCTCTCAACAGTGGGCTTAAAATATTCAGTAAACCATACTGTAAACCGACGTGCTGTCATACAGACTCTGTTGTTTCAATTATAGAGCACAGGCAGAGTAGATTTGGCATAATTCTATTTTCTTGTATTAGCCTTGAGGGTCCTACCATTCTGATTTTTCAGAATGGTAAATGAGCATTGGCTTCAACTTAAAGTCACCAGCTGCACTAACCTTAACAAGAGAATTAGCCTGTCCTTTGAAGCTTTTGAGCCAGACATTAAAAGTCCTAGACAGCATCTTCTTCCAATATAAGACTATTTTGTCTGCCTTGAAAAACTGTTGTTTACTGTCACCATCTTCATGAATGATCTTAGCTAGCTCTTCTGGGAAACTTACTGTAACTTACCGAATCAGGACTTGCTGCTTCACCTTGCACTTTCATCTTACGGAGATGGTTTCTTTCCTTAAACCACATGAACCAGCCTCTGCTAGCTTCCAACTTTTCTTCTGCAGTTTCCTCACCTCTCTCAGCCTTTATAGAAATGAAGAGAATTAGAGCCTTGCTCTGAATTGGGCTTTGGGTTCAGGAAATGTTATGGCTGGCTTGATCTTTTATCCAGACCATGCAGACTTTCTCCCTATCAGCAATAAAGTTATTTTGCTTTCTTATCATTTGTGTGTTGTGTGTTCACTGGAGTAGCACTTCTAATTTCCTTCAGAAACTTTTCTTTTGCATTCACAACTTGGCCATTTCGTGCAAGAGGCCTAGCTTTTGGCCTATTTTTGCTTTAGAACATGGCTTTCTTACTAAGCTTAACATTTCTAGCTTTTATTTTAACATGAGAGACAGGCACCTCTTCCTTTCACCTGAACACTTAAAGTCCACTGTAGGGTTATTAACTGTCCTTTTTTTTTTTTTTTTGAGTTCGAGTCTCGCTCTGTCGCCCAGGCTGGAGTGCAGTGGTGCGATCTTGGCTCACTGCAACCACCACCTCCTGGGTTCCAGGAATTCTCCTGCCTCAGCCTCCCAAGTAGCTGTGACTACAGGCGCCCGCCACCACGCCCAGCTAATTTTTTTATTTTTAGTAGAGACGGGGTTTTACCATGTGAGCCAGGATGGTCTTGATCTCCTGACCTCATGATCCACCCTAATTTTTAAATATTAAAAATATTTAGTATTTAAATATTTTTAAATATTGTGTATCAGGCAATAGGGAGGCCAGAGAAAAGGAAGAAACAGTGAACAGCCAGTTGGTGGAGCAGTCAGAACACACAACGTTTATCAATTAAGTTTTCCATCTTCCATGGGCAAAGTCCCCCAAAACAATTACAATAGTAACATCAAAGGTCACTCACTGACCACGGAGCGTCATAACAGATATGATGATGATGAAAAAGTTTAATTCAATGAAAAGAGAATTACAATTCCTGCAATATTCATGTGACACAGATTCATGTGTCATTTTCCTGTGACACAGAGACATGAAGTAAGCACATGCTGTTAGAAAAATAGCACCCATAGACTGGCTAGGTGCTGGGTTGCCACAAACCTTCAATTTGTAAAAAATACAATATCTGTGAAGTGCAATAAATGAAAGTATCCCTGTGTGTAAAATCTCCATAATGAAAATTTCAAAATATGTATAAAATACAAAAGTGGACATGAATAAATGGAAAGACATCTTTTGTTCTTGGGGAGTATAAATCAAAATTATAAACATGTCAATTCTCCCCAAGATGATATGTAAATTTAAAATGATCCCAACACAAATATTAAAAATTTTCTTTCTGGAGCTAGATAAGTTGATTCTAAATTTCACATGAAAAATTTAAAATGCAAGAAATGCTTGGAACTGCTGGAAAAAAAGAGAACAATTGGAGAGACTACCCCTGCAAGACAATAGGGAAAATTAAAACAGTGTCAAACTGGTGTAGATCTGGTTCAAGATCCAGAAACTTATCCAAGAGCATATGAAAACAAAGAATTTATGATAAAGGTAGCATTTCAAATTACTAAGAAAATATTAAGGTTTGAGTAAACGGTTTTGAAACGAATGGTCATTTGGAAAAAGATAAGATTGAATCTATATATCACACATGAGAATAAACTCCAAATACATCAGATATCCATACATAAAAGAAAAAATCTTCAGTAGAAATGCTAGGAAAAAAAATGAAGAATTCCTTCAACACATGGATGTGGGAAAAGCTGATCTAACTATGACCCAAAATCCAGATGAAGTTTTAAAGAAAGGATGATATATTCTAATACATTTTTGAAGAAAACTTTTGCATTATAAAAACAAAAAGGAAACCATAATAAACAAAATCAAAGAACAAATGACAAAGTGGGAGGAGATATTTGCAAAAGATAATGAGCTAATTTCCCTACAGGAAATTCTTAAAATCAAATAAAAACCAAACACTATTTTTTTTTAATGGGTAAATGACATGAACAGAGAATTTATCCAAACAGATGTACAAATGACCCTTAAAACTAAAAACCTGCTCAACTTCCTTCACTGAGAAAATGCTAGTTAAAACAACACTGAGCTGTCATTTTTCTCAAACCACTGGATGGACAAAATATTCAAGTCTAACACTATTAGCAAAGCTGTGAAGACACAGATACCCTCACAAATTGACAGTAGGAAGGGAAAATAGTAAAATCCTTATGGAGGAGTGTTTGGCAATACAGCCTACTATGTGCACATTTACTGTTCGACCCAGAAATCCCATTTCTAGGAATTCATTCTAAAGTTATACCTTGACAAACACAAAGCAACATGTACAAAATTACGTCAATGTCTATTCAAAAGAGAGAGGTTGAGTAAACGATAAGGCACCCACACAATGGAGTTTTATGAAGCTATTTAAAAAGAACAAACAAGACCTTTATAAACTAATGTGGAGTGTTTTTTTCAGGTATATTATGTGAAAAAACAAGGTACCAAAGAATAAAGAATGTAGTGTGCCACCTCTTGTGTAAAAAAGGAAACATTCTACGTAGAAATAGGAAAATAAGTGAGATTTTGCAAAGTTTTGACTTTTGAATCAGGTAAATATTTGCATATTAAAAATTAAATGTAAAAGGATAAAAAAATTAAAATTATCTATAAGGAGAACTTGACTGATTATGAATTTTATAATACAACCATATGGGAAAAATATTATTTCAAGTAATACATATTTTAGGAACTGAAAGAACTGCACAGAAATCTTGAACTTTGTTTAGTAAACTTTATTAATGGGTGGTAGTTTGGTGTCATAATTCTAAAACCCTTGTTTTATATTGTAGAATGGAGTTCACAAGTCAATACACAGATATGGTTGGGAACTGATGTTCTCAATGTGACAGAATATAAGACACATGTATCTTCTTTATTTTCCATATATACATATGGTAAAGAAAATTACTGCAATATTAGCTTTAAATAGAATCAGTATGAAATCATGACTTCTAAAATTGTAGTTCCTAGCTGTTTCCTATAACAGCCTAGAAGCGATGATGTTGCAGCAGCAATGAGCACAGCTGAAGCCAGATCTTGGTTTGTGTGGTAGGCAGAATGATACCCTTCTTCCAAAAACAGTTCACATCCTAATTCCCAGAACCTGTGACTATGGTATGCGCTCTGGCTCTTAATTAAGTTGTGGATAAAATTAAGTTTGTTAACCTTGGATTACATTATTGGGCCCAAAATAATTACAAGGGTCCCTAAAAGATGACAGGAGAGGCAGAAGAGTCCATCGCATCAGAGTGGTGTGAGGTAAGAAAGACTTGACCAGGCATTGCTGGTGCTTTGAAAATAGACGGTGTCAACAAGTCAAAGATTATGGGAAGCCTCTAGTAGGTAGAAAAGAAAAGGAAATGGACTTGCCTTTAGAGCCTTCAGGAAAGAATGCAGCCCTGCTGATATCTTGGTATTACCCTAGCAAGATCTATTTCAGACTCCTGACCTTACAACAATAAGATTTAAAACGTGTTTTGTCTTAAGTCACTGAATTTGTGGTAATTTGTTGCAACAGCAGTAGGAAGCTAGTACAGTTTCCAGATACTCTTCCCTACCAAAATGGGCAATAGCTAGCTGAAGAAAAGGCTGATTTCCAGTGCTGGGGAAGCGATAGTTCCTGATAAGCCAGGAGATTTCACTGTAGCACAAAGCAAGAGGTCCTGAAAGAATGATGAAGGTCTTCAAATGGACACAGATTTGAAGAGGTTCCCACTGGCTAAATATGGGACAATTGGAGCATCTAAAAGAATAGTGATAGAAATGGTTTATAATATGATGAATAAAAAGAGTATTGATTAATTCATAGAGGCACTAAAAGAAAATTAATACAGAAGATCGTCAGCTAAAAAATGTAGAAATAATTATAGAATTGGAAAGTTACACTTGACAATCGCCACGCTAGTAGTAGATTTAGGTTAAGAGTCATTAATGGCTGCTAAAGCAATTTGGTGAAAGCTTCAGGGAAGTGAACATTCATATGGTCTCAGATTATCACCTCACAGATCCTGCAGATTGCTTATTAATCATAGAGGGGAATCGTTCTGACACAACGAGAAGAACACATGACATCTGTTTTCTTGCAAAAATTTTTATCCTGATTCTTATAAAGAAATAATTCAACAAACTCAGATTTAGGGGCGTTTTACAAAACATACAGCCTGGAATCTTCAAAAATGTTTATACCATTAGTGAGAAAAATATCAGGAAGACTGATCTGGATTGATGGAGACTGAAGAGATGGAATAACTAAATGGAATTGCATCATCCTTGATTGGATCCTGGACTTTGAAACCCACTTAACACACTCTAATGAGCATTTTTGAGAACACTTGGAAATACTGAATGTTAGGTAATATTAATTCATGATATTAAATATCTTTGGTGTGATAATATTGTGCTTATACAGAATGCCCTGCTTCTTAGAAATACCTTGTTGAAATAAGTGAAAGGTATAGGATATTCATTGTACTACTCTTTGTGTAGCTTTAAAATTCTTCAAAATAGGCTGGGCGTGGTGGCTTGTGCCTGTAATCCAAGCACTTTGAAAGGCCGAGGTGGGCGGATCACAAGGTCAAGAGATCAAGACCATCCTGGCCAACGTGGTAAAACCCCACCTCTACTAAAAATACAAAAAATGAACTGGGCGTGGTGGCACATGTCTGTAGTCCCAGCTACTCGGGAGGATGAGGCAGGAGAATCGCTTGAACCCAGGAGGCGGAGGTTGCAGCCAGCCGAGATTGTGCCACCGCACTCCAGCCTAGTGCCAAAGCGAAACTCCGTCTCAAAAAAAAAAAAAAAAAAAAAAAAAAAAAAAAATTCAAAATAAAACATTGGAGGAGAAAAAGAAATAAGCACCCTAGAATTCTTTACCTAGTATAAATATTCTTTAAGAATGACTGAAATTTTAACCTTTTTAGACATAAAAAGTCCTGAGAATCTTTAATTGGCAGATTTATATCAAAGGAAATACTACAATTGTGTTCAGAAGAAAAATAAGCCCAGATGGAAGGTTAGATGTGAGAAAACAATAAAGAAAAATGAAAATCATAACTATGTGGGAATACCTAAATGGATATTTACAGTATAAAACAATAACAATACCTTATGTAGTTTAAAATGCCTATAGAATTAAAATACACAAAGGTCAAGAATTACAAGAGGCTGGTGAATGCAGCTCAAGTTAGTTCTGAAGTCTTTGCATTGTCCAGAATAACTCTGATAAGAATGCATACTGCTATCTCTAAGGTAACCAGGAAAATAGTGAAACATGCATTACTCCTAGGCTAATAGAAGAAAAATAGAATAATAAAAAATATCCAATATAGCAAAAAAGGAGGAAAAATGAAACATTGAGGAACAAGGCAAATAAAAAGTATTTAGTAAGATGGTAATTTAAACTCAAACATATCAGTAACTGCAATAAGTGTAAATAAACTAAACGCTCCAATTTAGATAAGATCAGGTTGGATATAAGAAAATCTAAAATAACCATCTGCTGTTTACCAGAAACATATCGAAAACATTAAGGATAGAGAAAGATTGAAAGTAAAAAGAAGTTTGCTTTCTGACCACAATCCATTAAGCAAAAAAATCAATAAGAAAAGCCCCCATACGTTTGGAAATTTAGCACTACACTTTTAAACAACCAATATTCCAAAACGAAATGGACTGTTGACATGATGACACATCTCACCCTGGACTGAGTAAACATTTTGATTTCCACAGCAGTGAAAATTAAAACATATTAAAAGTTGTAGAATACAGCTGTGCTTAGAGGAATATTTATAGCCCTAAAATGGATATCTTAGAAAAAAGTAAAAGTTGAAAATCAACAAGCTAAAGATTAGTTACAAAACATAAATAAATTAAACTAAAATAAAGTAGAATGAAGTAAATAATAAATAGAAGAGCAGAAATTAATAAAAATAGAAAACAAACAAATATACAATAGGGATTATCAATGAAGCATTGGAGTGATGAATAAAATCTATAACTCTCCAGAAGACTTTCCAAGAAAAAAAAAAGAGAAGCAAAAAACCAATGTCAAGAGTAAAGGAAAATGGAATCTGGGGGATATCCCCACAAATTCTGCAAACATTTAAAAGATAGTACCTGTATATCAAAATATTGTACCGTATACCTTAAATATATATAGTTTGTTTGCCAGTTATACCTCACTAAAGCTAGGGGTGGGGGTATAATAGTAAGAACATATTGTAAAAAACCTTTTTGCCAATAAATTTGAAATTTTAGTTGAAATACACAAATTCCTAGAAAAATACAGCCTATGAAAACTGACACAAGAATCCAAATTAGTTTTACTAAAACTAGTAAATATAATGAGTTCATAATTAGAAATTTAAAACTTTCTTATAAGGAAAATTTCTGGCCCCGACAACATTGTTGGTGAATTCTACTAAACATCTCAGGAAAAAATAATATAATTTTTTAAAAAACTTACCGAGAAAATAGAAGAAGAAAGAATTCTCCGCACTTATTTTATGAGGCCAGATAATGTTGATATCGAAACCTGACACATTGCAGAAAGGCAAATTATAGATGAACTTCATTCATAATCATAGATGCAAAAATTCTGAATGCAATATAATATGGAATCCAGCAATATATAAAAAGGATAATAGAATTCAACCAAGTTCAGTTTAATCCAGGAATGCATGGTTACTCTAATATTGAAAAATCAATTGATGTAATTTACCATAAAGAAAAAGGAAAAGGTATGAACCTCTCAGCAGATGAAGAGAAAAGCATTAATAGAATTGGCATCTATCTTGATTTTTTAGCACACTCATAAACAAAGAGATGGCTTTAGTTTAATAAAAGTTAACATAAACAAAATCTACAGCACGTCAGCTATCCTTTGCTACATAATTAACCACCCCAAAACTTAATGGTTGAAAAAGTAACCATTTTATTTGCTCTAGGCAGGTTTTGTAGATCAGTCCCTTCATCTTGGATCGTTCTCTGCCTCCTTTTGCTTGTGGCTTGCTTGGATGTTGTCTAGGGTCACTCACGAAGCCACATCTGGTGGCTCAACAAAAGCCAGTTGGTCTGAAACACTCTTTTTCACAGGGCTGGTGGTCGGTGCTGGCTGTGACAGCTAGAAAGGTAGGCCTTTCTCTCTCCATTGTGCCTTCTCCTCTGGGAGGCTAGCCAGAGCTTCTTGACAGGACAATGAGAGAATTCCAGAAAGCGACAGCAGAGCTGCAAGGCTTCTTGAAGCGTAGGCTATGGAATCCACACAGTGTCATGTATGTTGCATTATTTTATCAAGGCAAGTTACAAGGCCAGCTCTGATTCTGGGAGAACAGATGACTAGAACCTCCCTCCTGATGAGAGGAGTAAATGCACGCTCACCTTGCAAAGGGGCACGTAAATGGGGAGGTTAGAAATCTATGCCCGTATTTTTTGATGTACCACGTATAGTACACATCACATTAATAGTGAAATATTGGAGGCTTTCCTTTTAAGTTTAAAAATCAGAGAAGGATACCCACCATCACCACTTTACTAAAATTATATGGGAGATCCTAGACAGTTTTGTAAGCCAAGAAAGAGTTTTTTGAAAAAATATAGTTTATAAAGAGAAAATAATTGTCATTATTTACTCATAGCACATGTAAAATATGCTACAGAATCTACAGATAAATTATTAGAATAATATTTGAGATAAACATATAAAATGTAATGGTATTGCTATATGTCAGCAACAAACAGTTTATCAAATTTGTAATAACATCACTTGTCATAACATCAAAATGATCAAACACCCAGGAATATATCTAACAAAGAATATACAAAATTGTAAGCAAAAAGCAAACAAAAACTATTAAAAATGAGAGTTTAAGAGAATGAAAAGACACACCATAGACTGGGAGAAAATTTTGCAGAACGTATACCTGATGAAGATACATGTATCCAAAATATACAAATATCTCTTAAGCTCAACAATAAGAAAACAAACAACCCAACTAAATAGTGGACAAAATATCTGAACAGACACATCACCAAAGAAGATATACAGATGGCAAGTAAGCATATAAGAGACATGCCAACATCATATGTTATCAGGGAGTTACAAATTAAGACAAGAGTGAGACATCACTACGCATTTATTATAATGGTAAAAAGCCCAGAAAACAACATCAAATGCTGGGAAGGATGTGGAGCAACAAGAACTCTCATTCATGACTGGTGGAAAATGCAAAATGATATTTTCCATTTTGGAAATGCAACAGCCACTTTAAAAGACAGTTTGACAGCTTTTATCAAGCTAAACATAGTTTTACCATATATGATTCATTTCCAGGTGAGTTGAAAACATGTTCAACCACAAAGTTGCACGTGAATGTTTATAGCAGTTTTATTCACAATCATCAAAATCCGAAAGCAACTGAGATATACTTCAATGGGTGAATAGATAGGCAAACTATGGGACATCCATACAAAGGAATATTGTTTAGCAATTAAAAATGAACTATCAAGCCACAAAAAGACTTGGAGGAACTTTAAATATATATTGCTAAGTGAAGGAAACCAGTCTGAAATGCCTACTCTGTAATTCCAACCGTGTGACATCTGAAAAAGACAAAACTATGTAAAGTAAAAATATCAGGGGTTACCTGGGTTTGGGGGGAAGTAGAAAAGTGATGAATAATTGAAGCAAATGAGATTCTTGGGGCAGTGAAACTATTCTGTATGATAGTTTAATGGTAGATACATTATATTACGCACTTGTCAAAACCCATAGAACTATACAAAACAAAAAGTCAATCTTAATTAAAGCCTGGATTTTAGCTAATAATAATGTATTAATGATTCATTAACTTTAACAAATGTCCCACACTAATGCAAGATGTTAATGATAGGGGAAACTGCACATGTTGGAGGGGATGCTGTGTAAACTTTCTGTATTAGCAATTTTTCTGTAAATCTAAAACTGTTATAAAAAGTGAAATCTACTGATTTCTTTAAAAAACAAAAAAAAATTAGGCTGGGTACCATGGCTCATGCCTGTAATCCCAACACTTCGGGAGGCTGAAGTGGGAGGTTTGCTTGAGGCCAGGAGTTCGAGACCAGCCTGGAAAACAAAGCAAGACACTGTCTCAACCAAGAAAAAAAAAAATTAGCTGGGCACTGACTGCAGCACACACCTGGAGTCCTAGTTACTCTACACAGAGTGTGGAGGAAGTGGGTGGTTGAGGCAGGAGGACTGCTTGAGCCTAGGAATTTGAGGCTGCAGTGAGCTATGGTCACACCACTGTACACACACACACACATACACACACACACACAAATAAATAAATAAGACCTAAATAAAATTCATGAATTAAGACTGAATTATAGATCTAAGTTAATGCCAATCAAAACACAACAGTTATTATTTGGGGTAGGATGGGGTGGTGGATGTTGTGTTGGTTTGGTTTGGTTTGGTTTGATTTGGTTTTGGTGGTACTTCACAATCTAATACAAAAGTTTGTGTAAAAATGCAAAGGGTCAAAAGTAGCTAAGACAATATTCAAGTAGAACAGTTAGAGGACTTGCTCCACCAGATATCAAGTCCAATTTTAAATCTGTAGTAATTACGACAATATGGAATATTTGCCAAAACAAATAGACCAATGGGATGAAATACTGAGTCCAAAAGCAGACCACATATATATACAGATGAGTGTCCCTGATCAACTTGAGACCGTACGTGTTTCAGATTTTTGATTATTTTGGATTTTTAAATATTTGCATTACATACTTATTGGTTGAACATCCCTAATCCAAAAATTGAAAATGCTCCAGTGAGCATTTCCTTTGAACATTGTTTTGATGCTCAAAACATTTCAGATTTTGGAGCATTTTGGATTTCAAATTTTTGGATTTGGGATGCTCAACTTACATGTAACTGATAAGAAAGGTGGTACCGCAAAATAGTCTAAGGTAGAGGTTCTTTTCAGTCAGTAATGCTAAGAAAAGTTGGAAATCTCTGTGGTGGAAAAAAAAAAAAGAAACCTAATCCCCACCTCATACCATAACAATGCCAGCTCCAAATGGATTCTGGAACCGCATGCCAAAAGTAAAGCAATCGAGCTTATAGAACAAGAGCTCTTAGCCTGGTGTCTACACTGTGAACTCCCAAAGAGTTCACAGCTAGAATTCAGAAAGTTCATAAACTTGGACAGGAAAAAATAACTGATGTTTATTTTATATAACTTTTCAGACTCAAATTCACGATTTCCTTCAATTATGAATATAGACAACAATCCACAGTAGTGTTAGCAGCACCTGTCTAGTTGGCACCAACAGTAATCATAGGTATTTTCATTTTACACTACAGATGTTGCAGATTGCTTTATATATCACTTCCACTCAGTTTTACTTCAAAATTATTGTAGTTATTTGACCCATTGCTAGAGCTTGGTATCTAATGTTAACAAAAAGCACATAAATTACTATACAAAATGACTTTTAAAAATATTTTAACAACTGTATTTTGACAACATTAGCTTCCTTTTTAATCATGTGTATTTCATATTATACATTTAAAATGTTTTTCTGAGGTGTTTACACCTGTAATCCCACACCATGGGAGGCCAAAGCAGAAAAATCACTTGAGGTCAGGAGTTCGAGACCAGCCTGGGCAACATGGGGAAACCTCATCTCTACTAAAAATGCAAAAAAAATTAGCCAGGCATGGTGGCGCATGCCAGTAATCTCAGCTCCTCGGGAGACTGAGGTGGGAGAATCACCTGAGCCTGGGAAGTCTAGGCTGCAGTGAGCTATGATGGCACCACCGCACTCCAGCCTGGGTGACACAGCAAGACCCTGTCTCAAAAAAGAAATCCATGGCACAGAAAATATTAAAAATAATACAAGAGACAATCCTCATAACACTGAAGTAGGGAAAGTACTAACCACAAAAGAAAAAAGATGAGAGAAGAAAACAAAATTCTCAGAATGAAGAATTTCTACAAACAAAAGAAACTTGAAAGAAAGTAAAACTGCAAGCCACAGAATGAGAGAAAAATATTTGTAACACATGTAACCAAATAAAGCTTTTGCCCAAAACACACAAGGAACGCCTACATTAATAAGACAAGATACACAACTCAAGAGAAAACTGGACAAGAGCCTTGGACAGGTACTTCACAAAAATAAGAAATTCAGGTAACCAATACACTTGTGAAAAGATGGTCAGCCTCACTAATAATGAAAACAATGTTTTTAAAAGTTAAAACCACCATAGTATACTGTTATACACTCACCAGAATGGCTAAAGTGGGGAAAACACAGAAAAATAAACCGTCATTATGGATGTGGAGCAATAGAAACTCACATACATCACTTGGGAAAATGGGAAAATGGTACAACTATTTTGGAAAACTCTTTGACGTCAGCTACTAAAATTGAAAATACATCACACCATGATCAAAACATTTCACCCTTGATTAATATTTAACAGAAATGTTGCTCCAAGAGGCAGGTACAAGAATGTTTACAGCAGCATTGTTTAGAATGACCCCAAACTGTAAGCTGAAATGTCCTTTAATAGTAGATATACAAATTATAATTTATCCAAACACTGGAATTCTGTACAGTAATGAAAAGGAACAGAATACAGTTACATGCAGCAACATTGATGAGTTTCACGAATACATAATGTTGAGCAGCAGAAGCTACAAACAAAAGAATATCTTACTAGATTGATGCATTTATGTAGAGTTCAAAATATATGCAAAACTAAACTGCAGTGCTTTGATGGGAAAGAAAAGCAAAGAGGTGATTACAACCATAGTTGGGATCATGGTGATCTCTGGGAGAAGGGAAGGATGGTGCCTCGGTGAGTTCACAGAGCAGCTCCCAGAGTGCAGGCAGAGTACTGTCCTTGCCCCTACATGGTGGTCGCATGACCGCTCATTTTGGACTATACCACTGAGCTGTACTTTTCTGTTTTGTGCAAGTTCTGCTGGGAAAAGAAAACAGTAGATGTACAGAGTTGGCAATTTATTTTACAGTAAAAATGTTAAAATAAAAAGTGATATATGTTTTTCATAGGATAAGGTTCAGGCAGTGCAAAAGGCTGGATGGTGAAAATGGAACATCTATCACTAGAGATAACTGGTAGTGTTTCTTGTTTATCTTTTCAAAGTTTTTCTATGCCTAAGCAGTTAGAGATACAGATAGAGAGATGGAGAGATGATAAGGAAGGGGAGAGGGAGGAGATAGATAGTTGAAAGAGAAAGCAACAAAGAGAGAGAGACCTTCTAAAGGAAAAACATACTATACAAAGAGAAACATACTGTATTCACACTGTTCTGCATCATGCCTTTTTCATTGAACTAAATATCTTGGAGGTTCTTCCATATAAGCACATACAAATGTAGCAAGTTCTTTTTAATGACAATATTATACCTGTATAAATTTACCATAATTTCTTTATTATTATTGATAAAAAAAAATTTTTTTTTGAGATGGAGTCTCACTCTGTTGCCCAGGTTGGAGTGCAGTGGTGCGATCTTGGCTCACTGCAACCTCCACCTCCCAGGTTCAAGCAGTTCTCCTGCCTCAGCCTCCCAAGTAGCTGGAACTACAGCCGGCTAATTTTTTCTGTATTTTTAGTAGAGACGGAGTTTCACCATGTTGGCCAAGCTGGTCTTGAACTCCTGACCTCAAGTGATCTGCCCGCCTTGGCCTCCCAAAGTGCTGGGATTACAGGCATGAGCCACCATGCCCAGCCCATTATTGATAGAATTTAGATTGCTTCCAGTCATTTACCAATACAAAGAACTTTATAATGACCACCTTTATATGCAGTGCACTGATACATGAAAGTATGTGTAGGTAGGTTTCTGGAAGAAGCATTGCTAGGTCACAGGGCATGTTGATAGCTACTGATCTCCAAAATGTTGAATCAATTTACATCCTACCAACAGTGTATGAGAGAATCTGTTTCCCAACACTCTCCTCAATACTCTGTATTATTAAATGTTTTGATCTTTGCCAATTAAATATGTAAAAATTGGCCTCCAGTTTAAACTTGCACTTCTTTTGTTAAAAATAAGTGTGCATCTTTTCACATATTTATACATGTTGCTGTTTCTTTTTCTATGAACTCTTCATTTATAGCATTTGCCTACTTAAAGATTTGGAATAGATAATGCATTTCCTTGGTTGAGAAGTCAAAAGATATGAAATAAGACACAATAACATTTCCCTCCCATCCCATCTTCCGCCTACACAATACCCCTTTCTTATAAGCAACCAATTCCATGATTTTCATATATGCCCTTCCAAAGAAATTCTATGTGTAAGCATACAAATATATGCATATGTACATGCATGTGTGTGTTTCCCTCTTTTTTTTCCCCAAACGGTAGGGGGAAGATGGAATGGGAGGGAAATATTATTGGGTTATTTTTCCCTGTACACATTCTTCTGCCAAAGATTTTCAAAGATTTTTGAGGCCTTCCCCAATCCCAGCTGACCAAGTGGAGGCATGCGATAGGCACAATAATTTCTACCATCTAGATGCAGCACAGGAGGCTTCACTGTGGATGGCAGGAAGAAACCAGGAGAAAGAGGTCTGTTTCTAAGAAGTGTTTCTCATAAGGCTCTGCCCTGAAGCTATTTCTTCCCATCAGAAACCACAGGACCGGATAAACAGCCCCTCCCAAAGTGCTGAGAAAAGCAAACAGTGGATGTACAGCAGTGACCTGAGCACATCGAGACGGACACAGCACAAACGTGGGGGTCGTAGACAGCAGCAGGATGAAGGATTGCCAGTCAGGGAGCACACAGGTGAGAATGTAGCTAGCAGTTAGCACAGCCAGCCTGGCAGCAAACCAAAAGCAGAACTCCAACCCAGGAAGGTAGCTGCCAGTCCTCTCCCTGGGTACACAGTGATGCAATGCCAAACTCGCAGAGGACAGACAAGCACGAAACAGATTGTGGGAGTGGGACACGGACTTGCATTGGGAAGATGCAGAGTGGCTGACATTCTAGAAGAGACAGTGAGTCAGGCACTGAGGGTGGGGCTTAGTCCCATACCAGGATCCCAACTGAGACATGGCCTCTGGGCACCATGATTAACCAGTAGGAATTAGTGTTTAAACAAGATCTTACCTGCACTCTGCATATTGTAATTAGCTATGTGCATGTTTAAATTAATTAGGGCACAGTTTTGTATGTACCTTGCCCATAGGATTGTTTGGTTCTGCTCTACTTAAATCCTTTCTTGTTTTTCTATATTCCTAATCAAATAACTTCATCAATTGTTGGGGAACTGAAACCTCTAAATGAATTACCCAAACTGAGCATGGGTTGTGACTATGAATACTTCCATGGACTACCTTTAGAGTCGTTTATTCTTCTAGTCTACTCTGATCAGTACTAAGCACCTACTGTGTTCCAGACAACATGATAGGAGCAGAGGACATGACAAGTGGAGTAGGTACAGTTCCTACACTCAAGGAATCCAGTCTGTTTTGGGGAAGAGAGACATAATTAAAATGGATAATTAAAATCCAGTATAAAAAGTTCTGCAATAAAAAATATTAACTGAGTGTCTAAAGAGTGCAATGGATGGAGCCACCAGTTCTGCCTGAAGTTATCAGGAAAGGATTCCCAGAGGAAATGACACTTGAGCTAGGTCTTAAAAGGGATTACAGGAGTCTTCTAGGCAGAGAAGTGGAAGAAGGCATTGTTGGCTGGGAGAATAGTGTGTGTATAAAAGCACAGTTATATCTGGGCATAGCATCTCCTGAGAGGACTTAGAAGTTCACTGTAGCTGAGGCAAAGGTGCATGGTGAGAGGAGGTGAGGGAAAAGAGGTACGTAAGGCCCAAATTGCTAAAGCATTTGGGAAACCAACAAACCCAGCCCTGACAGGTTTGACTGATAGGAACTAGTGGCCAAATGTCCACCTAGGAAGGTAATGCAATCAACCTAGGAGAACACTGAGGGCCACCAGTGATGCAGGCACAGGGAATATACAATCTAACTAGGACCTTACTGTAATGGAATTTTGCAGGTTAAATTTTGCACATCAGTGAGGAGAAGGAATTAACTCTCCCATCCTTACCCTTATAGCAGTGATTCTCAACCAAGGGGCATCGCGACAAAATTGTCCCAGCTGGTGGATGCTGCAGGCATTTAGTAAGTAGAGGCTGCTAAACATCCTAGCATACACAGGACTGCCCCCACAACAGAGAACTACCCAGTCCAAATGTCAATAGTACTGAGGTTGGGAAACCTGCCCTATACATAATAGAAATATTTTACCCACATATGGATTGCACATTGGAGGCACTAGTGCATAATAGTTACATCCCTTTTAAAATCCAAGAAATGTAGAGGAACTGTTTATATCTTTTTCAGTCTTTCCATCTTTTGCCTCCTGCTCTCACTTTTAGCTTCCTGAACTACCATGTTAGCAGCTTCTTCTGTACTGCAGTGTCCTCTCTCAAGTTCTTGGCCTCACACCCCTTTACTCCCATAGTAATACCTGGCATTCACATTAATATTGTGCTTCACAGTGTCTGACATGCTCTCGCTCATGCTTTGTAATTTTAGGCACACGTAAGTGCTATGAAGTAAGTAAGACAGGCATCGTAAGCACAGTTTGCAGGTGAGGATCTCTGGATCACATGGCCAGCATGTGCTCAAGCCAGGCCTCCAATTTAAACGGACTCCTGAATCAAAGCCTCCTCACCCACACATTACAGCAGGTTGCCTTCACATTTTTTAACTGGGGACTAAAATATGCCTTAAATGTCTGAACAATGTTTAAGCAATTTCAGTGTTTAATGTATTTATGTATTTGATGATTCTTCACTTATACAGCTGGCCTTACCAGGTCTGTTTGCTGTATGCTGTGTCTTTTGAAAGACTGTTATAGGTGAGAATGGCCCTTAGCGTTGATGGCCTCCTTTCATCTGGTGGATCTACTGCTTTCTGCAGTAACCACAGTCATGCATAGGATACCTAAAGAGCATCTGCCCAGCCTCAGGATCTGCATGCTTAAGAGGGAGTTCTTGGTAGTCATGATTGACTCCCCCTAGTACTGTAAGAGAGTCGAGGGCCATATACGTTAATCAGTTGGGCCAATCAGAGTGAGAATTTGACATTGAGACTGCAAATAGGATTTAGCCTCCCCCCAGGTGGCTGAAACTATGACATGTAAACATGGGACCTATTGGTTTTCATATCTTTCTAGCATGTGGACAAAAAAATCCAAAACAAAAGTACAAAAACTAGTTTGCAGAAACAGGATAATGAAGCAAATGATTAAAAATAAAAAGAAATGGTTATCTATATACAAAAGAACAAAGTTGGACCTCTTCTTTATACTACGCACAAAAATTAACTCAAAGGGAATCATAGACCTAAATGTAACTGCCAAAATGATAAAATTCTTAGAAGAAAACATAGGAGTAAATTTTTGTGACGCTGGGGTAGGCAATACCTTCTTAGACATGACAACAAAAGCACAAGCAACATGAAAAAAATGATAAACTGGACTTCATCAAAATTAAAGACTTTCGTGCTTTAAAGGACATTACAAAGCTAAATAACCCACAGAATGAAACAAAATATTCTAAATCATATATCTGATAAAAAGAATTGCATCCAGAATCTATCAAGAACTCTTATAACTCAATAATAAAAGGACAACCCAATTGAAAATCAGATTTAAAAAATCTGGATAGATCCAAAGAAGATATTAAAATGCCCCCATAAGGTCAGAAAAAGATACTTAACATCATTAGTCACTATGGATTAATCAGAACCACAGTGGTATACTACTTCCCACCCACTAGGATGCCTATAATCAAAAAAGCAAAAACTAACAAGCATCAGCGAGGATGAGGAGAAATTGGAACTCTTACACATTACTGGTGGGAATGTAAAATTACTCAGCCACTGTGGAAAACAGTTAGGCAATTCCTCAAAATGTTAAATGCGAAGTTGCCATATGATCCCACAATTCCACTCCTACTTATATATCCGAAAGAATAAAAGCATGTGTTAACACAAAAATTTATACACAAATGTCCACAGCAGCATTATCCATAAGAGCCAAAGAGTAAAAGCAACCCAAATGTCTATCAACGGTTGAATGTAGATAAAGGTGGCATATCCATACAATGAAATATTTGGCAATATAAGTGAACAAAGTACTGATAGACACTACAGCATGGATGAACCTTGAAAATATTACAGTAAATGAAAAAAGCCAGACCCAATAGCCCACAAATTATGTGATTCCACTTGCAGGAAATGTTCAGAATAGGCAAATCAACAGAGACAGAAAGCAAATAGTGGTTACCATGAGCTGGTGGGGTTTGGAGGGCCATGAAAAGTGAGCCATTAGGCACATGGGACTTCTTTGGGGGATGATGACATGCTCTCAAATGGATTGGGGTGATGATTGCACAACTCTATAAATATACGAAATACTGTTGAATTGTAAACTTTAAATGAATAAATTTTATGACTTGTGGTAGGAGTAGGAAAAGCTATGATCTTGGGCTTAGCAAAATGTCAAAAGAGATGTCAAAGATTGAGAAATAAAAGAAAAAATGAGGTCAGGATTCAAACGGATACAAGAATAGAGCACAAAACCAAGTGGGGAGAAGCACTAAAGTAACAGGTGTCTTACTCCATTATTACTTATTATGGAATTCCTGAAAGTGAGCAGTTTGTAAAATAAAGGAATTTATTTCTTACGGTTTTAGAGGCTGAGAAGTCCAAGGTCAAGGAGCTGCATTTTGTGAGGGCCTTCTTGCTAAAGGGGACTCTCTGCAGAGTCCAGAGGCAGTGCAGGGCATCACATGGTGAGGGGGCTGAGCATGTTAAGTCTCTCTTCTACTTCTTCTTATAAAGTCGTCAGTCCCACTGCAGTGATAGCCCATTAATTCTTTAATTCTTTAACCCGTTAATCTAATTATCTATGAATAGATTAATCCTTCTGACCCAATCACCTCTTACAGGCCCCATCTCTTAATACTGCCACATTGGGGATTAAGTTTCAACATGAATTTTAGAGGAAACAAATATTCAAACCAGTAGCAACGAAGTCTAAGTGGAGGGAACGTGAGGGGAAAAGAATGTGGTCTTTGGATTCCCATTTCCAACCCCAAAGATTCTCCCTACTTGCTTTGAGACCTGGTTGTATGGGTCAACCTCTCTGATTCCCAGTTTCCAAATTGGCACAACAAAGTTTAAAACCTCCTTTTCAGAATTGCAAAAAAAGAAAACTAGAAGAATAAACATTTTATTCTCTGTAAAAAGCTAATAAAGTTATATAAGGACAGAGAGTTATTCTCTCTAGTTCACCATGTGGTCCTGGAACATTTCAAAGAGCACACTAGGCTTTCAACAACAAAAACTAGCTATTAATCACCCTGAGAAGCATATTGATAGAAGTACCTGCAAACACAGAGATATCACTCCGTGTTTATCGGTGCTTAACACTCTGTTCTAACTTATCATTAATTTGCTTTAGTTCTTTCTCCCCCACTAGGCTGTGGGTTGTTTGAGGACAGGGACTTCATCCCAGTTGCCTAGCATGATGGATCCTTTCCCATAGGCAGTGCTCCATAAGGGAATGGTAAATGATTTAAGGAAATTCACTAAATGGACCTTGGATGAGACTGAGGGGAGATAGCATTAATTAAGTTTCAGAGGCAGAGCAATATAAGTAGACACAAAAGGTAGGATTACATTTTCTTTTCTTTTTGAGATGGAGTCTCACTCTGTCACCTAGGCTGGAGTGCAGTGGCGCCACTTGGATCACTGCAACCTCCGCCTCCCAGGTTCAAGCGATTCTCCTGCCTCAGCCTCCCAAGTAGCTGGGATTACAGACGTGCACCACTACACTCAGCTAATGTTTGTATTTGTAGTAGAGATGGGGTTTCACCATGTTGTCCAGGCTGGTCTTGAACTCCTGACCTCAAGTGATCTGCCCGCCTTGGCCTCCCAAAGTGCTGGGATTACAGGCATGAGCTGCTGCGCCCAACCACAATTACATTTTCCATGCCCAGGATGCTATGGAAGCCAGATGCTATCTGAATCATAAAGGATGAGTTAGGAGTTAGCAAGGGAAACAAGATATGTAAAGGAATCATGGCAGATATTCACATGGAAATGTGAACAAGTGCAAGCAGATACAACGTGTGGTGCATTTGAAGGAGTGAGGGCAGCAAAGCATGTGCTCAGGAGTGAGGACTTCAGACTTTATTCCAGGGAAGGGAAAATTATAAATGGAGTTAGGGTAGAAAAGTGAGTGATATAGTTTTGCCATGAAAGAAAGATTGACATGGAATATGAATCAATGAAGGTAAGATAGAGGGGAGATCAGTTAGGAGATTATTGCAATACTCTTCCTGAGAGGTGATAAAATCCTGAACAAAGCCAGAAGAGGGAGAATAAAGATGGGGCTGACTGGAAAATTCTCTGAGATGATTCTCTAAGGCAGGGACGTGTTTATAAGCACAAACACTTGCTAATGACAGTGAAGTAACATATCAAGAGGAAACACTGTCTTAATTAATTAAAACTATCCCTGTTGAGTAATTGCTATTAGGCTCATTTTAACTGAGATATAATTTCATGCAGTAAAAGACACCTTCCTAGTGAACAATTCTATCAGTTTCAACAAACACAGCCAAATGTGCCATGCTCCTGTAGTTCCAGCTACTTGCAGGCCATAGTCCAGCTCTGTCACCTTAAAAAATTATCTCAAAACCTTCTATACTCAATTCCTCTTCTCATCCCTAACCCAACCCATCTGCTTTTGGACCCTATAGTTTTGCTCCTTCCAGAATGTCATATAAATGGAATCATACAGTATGTAACCTTTAAATCTGGTCTCTTTCACTTCTTTTTTTTTTTTTTTTTTTTTTTTTGAGATGGAGTCTTGCTCTGTCGCCCAGGCTGGAGTGCAGTGGCGCGATCTCGGCTTACTGCAAGCTCCGCCTCCTGGGTTCACACCATTCTCCTGCCTCAGCCTCCTGAGTAGCTGGAACTACAGGCACCCACCACCACGCCCAGCTAATTTTTTGTATTTTTAGTAAAGATGGGGTTTCACCATGTTAGCCAGGATGGTTTTGATCTCCTGACCTCGTGATCCGCCCACCTCAGCCTCCCAAAGTACTGGGATTACAGGTGTGAGCCACCGTGCCCAGCTGGTCTCTTTCACTTCTAATGTATTTGATATGCATTCATATTGTTGCATATGTAAATAGTTTGATGCCTTTTATTGCTGAGTAGTATTGCAGGCTATGAACATACCATCATTTGCTTATCCATTTACCTGTTTAAAGACATTTGGGTTACTTCCAGTTTGGGGCTATTACAAATAAAGCTGTTATAAATATATACATATAAGTTTTTCTGTGAATATAAGTTTTCATTTCTCTTGGGTGGAGTGATGGTAAGTATATGTTTAGTATATGGTTAAGTGTATGTTTAACTTTGTAAGAAACTGTAAGCTGTTTTCCGAAGTAGCTATGGCATTTTGCACTCCCACTAACAATGAATGAGAGTTCCAGTTGTTCCTAATTCTCATCAGAACTCAGAATTGTCAGTGTTTTTTGTTGTTGTTATTGTTTGCTTTATTTGGGGTTGTTCTTGTTTATAGCCATTCTAATAGTGTACAGTAGTATCCCATTGTGGTTTTAATTTGCATTTCTCTAATGCTATAATGTTGAGCATCTTTTCATGTGCCAATTTGCCATTCATATAATTGAGTGACGTATATGATACACTTGAGTGAAATGTCTAGGTAAGCTTTTGCTTATTATTTTAAAATTTGGTTGTTTCTTTCTTTGTCTTCTCATTATTGAGTTTTGAGTGTTCTTTATATATTCCAGATTCAAGGCCTATGTCAGATATGTGCTTTGCAATATTTTCTCCCTGTCTATGACGTGTTTCTCATTCTCTTGACAGTGACTTGCAGAAAATGAAAGTGTTTAATCTTGATGGAGTTCAATTTGCCTTTCTTTTTTTCTTTTATGCTTTGTGCTGTTGGTACCATATCTGAGAAATCTTTGCATAAGCCAGAGTTACAAAGCCTTTGTCCTGCATTTTGTTCTGAATGTTCTATAGTTTTAGATTTGATATTTATGTTCCATTTCAAGTTAATTTTTGTATATGTTGCCTGATAGCAGGTTTTTAACTACAGCCTAGAAAATGGTAGTTTGTATTCCTAGTCCCAGGAATTTTGCTTGCAAGCTAAAGAAGGAAGTTCTTTCTCTCCAAACTTTTGGTAAACAGATCAAAAGTGGAAGAGATAACATGTGGCTAGATCCCAGATAACCTGCAAAAATACTTAAAAGAATTCTAAAACAGTAGATGACTGGATTTCCTAAACACTACATTGTTTATCTAGAGTAAATAATCAGTGAGTCTAGCTTCATCATGATAGCTTGGTTTTTATGATTGCTGTAAAAATGTCCTGGTGTTAAGACTAAGCTTAAGATGACTCTTCAGTTTCTGTTTTTTTAACCTCCAACTTCAGAGTTAGACTCTAGTGGCAAGTTTATTGTTTGTATGTCCCCTGTGCTATTCCCTGATACATTTTTTGGTAATTAAATTAAAGCCCTGACATTTCCCACAAAAATCTACTGTGGTTTGCTCTTCTGACCCCAAGTTCTTAGCCCTGGTGATACACTAATGAAGAGAGCGGCAGGTCAGTTTTATTTCCAAAGTGGCTTCTATTTTGATAAATAATTCTTACTAGTTAAGCTAGATCTGCTCAAGATAGCAAAGCAGATAGCAGCGATGGATTTTGTGTGCATGGGTCAACATAACAGCTGAGGTGTCTTTTTGGTTGCTGCTGTTGTTGTTTTTATAAGATATAACTAAGTGCGTCCAATGAGATGAGGTAACATTTGAACCTTGGGCTAAAGTGGTGTGTTTGTATTCGGACCAGCATTTACTGTGGAGGACTCTAGAGCATGTGGCTAAATTTATTGGACTGAGAATTGGAAAGGCTTTTAATTGGCATTTCCATTAACAGAGTTAGACTATGGGGCAGGTCACAAGGTTCTAGTCTATAAGGGATAGAAAAACACCACTGTGACCTCAAACCAGACTGCAAACAAAAAGAAGTAAAGAAAGCCTTATTTCATAGAGTTCTCATGAAGTTTCTCATGAAGAGTTTCTCATGAAGAAAACTATATGTGATTGGAAGAATTTTCATGGGCCACTTAAAGGGTGTATGGGGCTAAATCTACCAGAATAAAAAAAGAAGGTGGTCCAGGGACAACAGTTTATAAACTGCCTGCTAAGGAAGGAGAGACAGACAGGTCACCTTCTTTCCTGGGAGGGGCTTGCACAGGAGACCCTGGATCTTTCTCAGGACTTGTTTGCAGCCACTCTCAGCCTCTTCCCTAAATGGATGTCCAATATCTCTTTTTAAGACACCATATTAAGGTACCCCCAGATTATTAGCCTACCTGGAGGTTCACATATCTCTGGCTTTGCCTTGACCTAGAAGTAGTGGATGACTTTGCTGACATTTTAATTCAGATAGTCACAGGACTCTGAGAGATATTTAGTAAAGACAGATAGTATGTCATTCAAATTCGGTGTTCAAGCAAAGCTTGAGCAAAGCTTCAGCCTTTTAGGCACTGGTTAAGAGAAATGTTGCATTTGGAATTGAAAGCTGAGGTTGGTTTTTTGGTCGGTTGGTTGGTTGGTAGGTTCGGTTGGTTGGTTGGTTGGCTTGCTGGTTGATTCAGGGACTGTGTTGTGGACACCTCCCGAGGCCCCTGCTGAATCTCTGCCCACGTCTAATGTCCCCCAAAAGCCCGGAGAGAGTGAAGAGCTGACCTGCTTTTCCTTGCTACCCCTACCCCAGTAGCACCTGAGTTAAATGACTCTGGGAATTAAATGGCCAAAAAGGGAAGTCAAGAGGGCTGGTGAGTGGGGTCTGCACAGATCTGCCTGGGACAGAAATTTATTGCAACGATTGAGTATTGGCTTCAGACATTCAGGTTCATATTAGCTTCAAATCTCCATTCTACAGTATTTCCTTAGCATTGTGGCAGAAAATTCGAAATGTTTCCTTTTGCTCTACATTGGGTGAATTTCCTGAGAATGTACAAGAAGTATACATGACAATTTTAAGGATGACTATCACCCAAGCCATTTGGTAAGGGTGTAATCTTCCTTAGAAATTGAAGCCAGCTTATATTTGTCGTCCATATTTCTGCCAATTCTGTGAGGAAATGTAAACCATGTACTCATATTGTATTGAAATGAATCATTCTCATGACAAGAATCTGAAAGTGTTGCCAAGCACTGGGCATCTGAACCTCCATGGGCTGCCAAGGATTGCAGCAACTGACAGTGCTTGGTGTGGGCTTCAGCAAATAACATGCTCCCTGGATGTTTCTTTGGCCCCAGTCATAAAGTGGTGGCATCAACGTTTGCTACTGTTGCCTGCCACTGCCCCAAACACACACCCAAAGCAGGCTCTGAAGATAAATAATAATTTGTTGTGAAGTCAGTGGGGATGAAAGGTACTAAAACAACATAAAGGGGCTTTAGTGAACCAACCTCCCACCCTGCAGACTCTGCTGGGTGAGAAAGAAGCACCCATTATTATTAAATACTGTCCTAGACCGGAGCCAGGGCACCCAAGACTCTTTCTCTCTAGCACCATTAAATGCATGAGAATCAAAAGAAGGCAATTTCCCAGCTATAGTCAGCACTTCATTACAAGCCAGCTCTGGGGGTAATTATCTTCTTCCTCAGAATTATTTCCTGCCCCTGCATCATCTCTACCTTACATCTTCGCTATGACTTATCCTCCAGGAAGCACAATACTCTACCAGTTCCTCCCTCCTCCTGAGAGACCTCTACACCTTGGATTCCTCTGCTTGTGATAACAGCTATGATTTACTTCAGTCTTTTTCAACTAGTCCTCCAAGTGCCAATTTTTGAAGGATAGCCTTCTGCTGCTAAGCACACATGCTAATGGACATAAATCTGTAAGCAGTTTTGGGAAGTGATTAGGAAGAAAAATATACCCCATTTGTTGCAGAGGTGATGAGGCAGAAGACAGAGAGGCTGGGGAGGAAAGCTATCCAGCCAGCTGCTCAGAGAGCCTCATAGGATGCCACCCCCTTAATGGGGTCCACATATTCCAAGAGCTGGACCACAGAAAATGAAAAGTACAAAGTGAATTACCTGTTTTCCACCATGAATCAAACTCAAGGTAAATAACTCATAGTAACCAAACTCATAAAAATGGTTACAAAATAAGAGTTTCCACTCACTATTTTAATAAGGTAAAAGGGAACATCCAACTAGACTCACATGTTTCCATCTGCTATCAAAACATGTTATTCCCTTAAGAAAATCCCCCTTGGAAGACAAAATGATAAATGAATGTTAATGCATTGCTTCTTAGAAGTGTATCCTCAGATGGGCAGCATCAGTAGCTTGGGGAAGCTTGTTAGGTTCTCTGTGGATATAGCCCAAGAATCAATGCAAACTCTCCCAGGGATCCTTATGCCTGCTGAAGGACCCACTGATTTAATGGGCATGGAACTTGCACAAAAAGAGTTGCACAGGAAATCCATTTATCCAGTAAGCATTAATGAATCCCTCCTCTGTGGGAATGCAGAAATTCAAAGAAGAGTCATTTTCCTAAAGACAGAAAGTCCTCTCCCTAGGAAATAAGTGTGTAGAGATTTTAAATGCAACAGAGGGTGGTAGGATAGAGCTATGTACAGGCTTCTGCTGAACACCAGGGAAGAAACTCCATACTGGATTAAGAAAATATAAGAAAAGAAAGAAAACTGAAAGACTTTCTGTGGGAGGCAGGGATGGGTTGATATCTGAAAGACTTTTAGTGGAAGAATATAAATTAGTCAGCTAGATAAGATGAGAAAGGTGTTTATAATAAAGAAAAATTGTGAACAACCTAAGAACCCAATAATAGAGAACTAATTAAGTCACTGAAGTTGAAATGTACAAGCTTTTTTTTTTTTTGGCTGTGGACAACCCTTCCTGTTTAATATTTAAACAAAATATTAAGCAGGAGCCTTATATGTAAAGCAGCTAAAAGCAAAATTGTACTTTCTGAACTGAAAGTGAGGAGTCCTCAGCTGCTTCCCCCATCTCTCAAGGCACTTTCTGCAGGCTCCCTGGTCAACCTGATATTGGGTTGCAATGCAAAAACACTTGCTGTAAAAGAAAATGGAACACTATGGAAAATTCTCCAGGGTGTGCTAAGTGAAAGGAGCAGATTACTACCTGGGCAGCCTCTTTCCAAGGTCATCTTCTCTGGGTGTTTGCACATCCCCAGGCCCAGTGGGTGCACAAAAGGCAGGTGTTTGGGGTTTGGGAGGCAGGAGATGCACAGGCTGGGGTGTCGCACAAGCGCTTGCCAAGCCTCCCCAGAAGACAATGGGGGCAGGCCAGTGCTGGGTTGGGCCACAGCTGCTCTCACTTTACTGCCCTACTTCATCACGGAAGTCACAAGAGCCCAAAAATTGCATTTTTGACTTTAGGCTTCCAGGATGCTTTGAAGGTTAATGTGTCAAGGTAGATGGACAAAACATATTTTATTCAACAGTTTGTTAGCTTGACTTTTGACTTTTGAATATTGAGACCTATGGTGTGTGGGCCTTCATTTGCATTCTCGTCCAGGTCTTGCAAATATTGGGGTAGACTTATTTTACTTAATATGAAGGTATCGCTCCATGTTTTCTTTCAGTTTGTGTTTGTTGAATAAATGTTGAATGAATAAAATGTTTTATTTTAAACTTTCTGTGTAATTACAGTTTAAGTGTGTCTTTTTAAAAAGCATGTAATTCAATATTGCTTTTAAACTAATCTGATCATTGATTCTCTTTCTTAGGGAATTTACTTATTTGGTTTGTCACGGCCAGTGGCTGTCCTTACTTACCTTCTTTTATACTTTCTATTTCTTATGCTTACTTGCTTTTTCTTCCCTTTTCTACGTTTTATTATATGTTCATCCTCCCTCAATGACTTGAACAGTATACATTCTGTTTTAATTCTATTTCATATTATCTTTAAGTTAAAAAAAATTCTTCTACCAAAATCAGAAAATGAAAAGGTAGTTGGGCACAGTGGCTCATGCCTGTAATCCCAACACTTCGGGAGGCCGAGGCAGGCAGATCATGAGGTCAAGAGATTGAGACCATCCTGACCAACATGGTGAAACCTTGTCTCTACTAAAATAAAAAAATTAGCCAGGCACGGTGGTGCACGCCTGTAGTCCCAGCTACTCGGGAGGCTGAGGCAGGGGAATCGCTTGAACCTGGGAGGTGGAGGTTGCAGTGAGCTGAGATTGCATCGCTGCACTCCCGTCTAGTGACAGGGCAAGACTCCGTCTCAAAAAAGAAAGAAAGAAAATGAAATGGTATCTTTTGACTCTATTGCTTGAAGAAGAAACTTATTCCAGTTTTGTTTCCTTGAAATTTATTCCAGTTTTATTTCCTTCTGTTCTTATTTTTGGCAAATATAAAATGAGGTTTTTCAAGCCGGATTATTATGTTTTTCATTTTGTGGAATCCTTTTAAGAAATTATTTTTGACATTAGAATTTCATTCTGTAATGATATTTATTCTTTCTACTAAACTATGCTGTTTTTGAGATCTTAATTTTGTGAAATTCTCAATAAGGAAAGTATATTTCAGATAATTTTTCACTGAAATGGTAGTTGAGATAAACTGCACGTAGAGTCACTTGCAGTTGTGAGAAATAATAGAGATCCTGCACAGCCTTTACTCAGTTCCGCCCCATGGCAACATCTTGTAAAATTCTAGTACAGTATCACAACCGGGACACTGACATGGTTGTAGTCTACAGCTCTTATTTGGATTTTCCTATACTTGTACTCACTCTGCGGTGTTTACATGTGTTTAGTTTTATACAATTTTATCTCACGTGACAGTTCCTGTATTCACCACCACAGTCAAGATACAGAACACTTCCACCCCCACAAGGATCCTCCTCTTGCCTTTTTATAGCCATACCCACCCCCTCCTTCATACTCCCCTACTCCATCCAGTTTCTAATCCCTGGCAAGGACTAATCAATTTTCCATTTCTTTTTTTGTTTGTTTTCATTTCAAGAATGTTACATAAATGGAATCCTATAGTATGTTACTTTGGAGGACTGGCTTTTTCCATTGAGTATAATTCTCTAGAGATGTATTGAAATTGCTGGATATATCAATAGTTTGTTCCTTTTTGTGATTGAGTAATATTCCATGCTATGAATGTGCCACCATTTAAGCATCCACATTTTGGAGAACATCTGGCTATTTCCAGTTTGGGGATCTTACAAATAATTACTTGGGGGTCTTACAAATAATGCTGCTATAAACATCCATGTACAGGTTTCGGGTGAACATAAGTTGGTTTTTTTTTTTCCTCTGGGATACATGCCAAAAATCCAGTTGTCAGGTCATATGGCAATTGCATGTTTAGTTTTATAAGAACCTGTGAAACTTTACCAGAGTGGCTGTACCGTTTTACTCAAGCAATTTTAAAAAGAAAGATATGAATTTATGCTTTCTGGGCTCTTACTTATCTCAGAATGTCTGTCTTTTGCCTTCACACGTATGATAAATTGGCTGGGAAAATATACTCGTTTCACATTAGTTTTTCCTCAAAATTATATAGAATTTATTCTAACACTTTCTGATAGTCTATGCTTCAAAGAAATCTGTTTCTAGCTTAATTTTTGTTCCTTTGCAGGCAATGAGTTTGTCTTGTTTTGATATTTATAAGATGCTTTCTTTCCTTTGCTTTTAAAATCACGGGGTATATAAGAAAAACAGTTGGCCTTTGTTTTAGCTCAGAAAAAAAAAAAACCTAAACTATGTTTTTGATCATTGAATCTGTTGTTCTGGGCTCTACCATTCTTTGTCTGCCATATTTATTACCTACCCGCTCATCATTTTCTTATATTTGTTCTTTCTTTTTGCATTCTCTGAGAGCATCTCAAGTTTTTCCCTTGCATCAGTGATTTACTTTTCCACAGTGTCAATTCAGCTTTGGAGCACCTTCATCTGGATTTAAATTCTGCCACTCAATTTTAATGCTATTTCAAACCCTCCATATCTCACAGAACTTTCATTTCACATCACTCTGTTGTCTTAACCTCAGAATAGCCTCACTACTTCTCTCTGCACCTAATTCAAGAAGTCAAAACTTCTCACATTCACTTGAAGTCATAGAGGATGCTTCTTTTTAAACTAGTTCTTATAATAAATCATTTTCAAAAACATGGTTTTTCCTAAGTTTTCAAAGTGATGTTTTCTTCTCTTGTGCTCCAGTATTTTCAATTTTTTAAAAGAGGAAAAATTTATATAACATAAAATTCACAATTTTAACCTGTCGTAGGTGTACAAATCACTGGCTTTTTGTATATTTACACTGTGGTGCAATCACTATGACCACTGTCTAGTTCCAGAACATTTCATCAGCCCAAAAGGAAACCCTGCACCCAGTAAGCTGTCACTTCCCTTTCTTGCCTACTCCCCTGGCAACCACGAATCTGTGTTCTGTCTCCATGGATTTGCCTATTCTGAATATTTCATATAAATGCCATCACATAATATGTGGCTTTTCGTGCCTGGCTTCTTTCACTTAGCATAATGTCTTGCCGTATTTTTTTTTCTCATAGACTTTTTATTTTTTAGAGCAGTTTTAGGTTTACAGCAAAATTGAGCAGAAAGTCCAGAGATTTCTCTTATGCTTCCTACTCCCACGTATATGCAGCTGCCCCCACTGTCAACATCCCCCACCAGAGTGGTGCATTTGTTACAACTGATGAACCTACATTGACACATAGTGATCACTCGAAGTCCGTAGCTTTCATTAGGGTTCACGCTTGGTGTTATGTTTTCTATGGGTTTGAACAAATTCATAATGACATGTCTCCACCATCAGTATTATACAGAGTAGTTTCACTGTCCTAAAAATCCATCTTATTGAAGTATTTTTTTAAGTTAATTTCTTGATGTGATCATTATTCTCACTCACATAGATTAACCTGGCCACTACATTTGTCAAGAGAGAGCATAGCTGAGTTGCCTCACAGGTATTTTCTTGGTAGTCAGAAAAGCCCCTTCTCCATTCTACAGCTGTGGAGCACATAGAAGTGGCAAGACCTTATTCCAGCCCCCAGTGCCTGTGGCTTTCATCTCAGTACGATTGTCTGGATCAGACTTTCACTTCTCCCTCTCATCTCTCACCTCCACTGGATAACTCAGAAGCCTGCATTGTTTTCAGAAAAAGCAGTTGACCAGTTTAAATATGTGTTTCGTAATAATAGCTTTGAAAATAGGCTGCTTCTGAAAAGCTAAGGAGCAAAGAGATGTTTTTGAAATAATAAGAATTCTGTGTTTGAGACAGTTTGTGTAACTAGAAGGCAGAACAGCACAGTGCTTGAAAACTGAGGTTCAGGTGCCTGAGGGCCTCGGTTGTATTCTACTCTGCCATGTACAGAAAGGCCACAGGCACATTTCATAACTGCTCTGTACTTTAGTAGAGGAAAATAATAATTCCTGACACTGTCGTTTGGGGAATTAAATGAGTGAATACTCATTTGCAATGAGTATTACTTTGTCCTCATTTGTAATGGGTATTAAATGAGCAAATACTCACTTGTTAATACTCTTTGCTGCTAAAGTGGCTTTTAGAACTACCTGGTGTATAGATAAAAAAGGATGATAATTTATATTAGAAAAAAGTTGATAATTGTTCAATTAAAGCATATATTTTCAATCAAACCATATGACAAATAATTGTTCATGTCCCATATTTTCTGACAATTCAGAGAGCCCACAATTCTTTCAGTTTTCTTTGATTTCAGTGTTCAACATATGGAGGAAAAAGAAAGCAATTCAATATCTCTCACTTCTTTCTTCTAAACACAAGGTTTATTCCTGATCTTCTTCCTCTACTCCCAGAAATAGTCTTGCCCAATATCAACCCTGCCACCCTCAAAATAAGCACACCATACTTTAAGCTATGATCCCATCACGATCAATGTACCTGAATAAGGAAAATATGTTCTCAGTCAGGGTCTATCTCTGCTTGATCCAGTCCTGATCACCTTCCTGGAGTAGGTAGGAGGCAATTAAATCAATCTTTGGGATGGTGATGCTGGGAACCTTTTAAGTTTCCCAGGTGATTCTACCATGAGACCAAAGATAAGAACTATTCTTCTCAATAATAAATCCCTAAAATTTCCTTCCAGTTCTACCAGTTTATGAACTGAAGTCAATTTTTTTATCCTTCTTTTTAACCAGACTTCTTGATTTCTGTCATTGCGGGAAGGAGCACATCGTAGACACCTATTTGTTCCAAAATTTTGACATAGCCACATTTGGGCAAGGGTCCAGGCATATATTCCTTCAAAGAAAAAATATTTTCCAGGACAAAAGTTGACAGTCTTTGGAAATCTAAGGCATTCTAAAAGTATCTTTGTCTTGGGACTCCCAGCAGGCTGAACTGATTCAGATGGTCCCCATTTTAAAGAATGTGAAATGAAAAGGTCATAGAGGCCTTGGGTCTTACACATTAGGAACAAACCACCCACCTACCCTCCTAGTCCTAGAAACAAAATGTTTCTACTGACTTCAAGAAGAGTGACTTTTTCTGCCAAAAGCCGTTTCTGCCTATTTGGGTTTTCAGAGCTAAAAATAGCAAAGATTTTTAAAATATTGTATGTAAGCCACAAATATTATACAATGATCACATCCTGGCCAATTCTCATATCCCATCAGTAGCCTGGTGGGCTGACCATCTTGGCTCTGGTTTTATAAATGGCCAAAAACTTGTGTGTGCCTCAGTTCCTGCCTATATAGAAGTATCTAATTCCAGAAAGTTAATACAGGTGATTAAATAGTGGTTGCCTTTCACTCCCACAAAATGCAACCATCTGGATACCTATTACATGAGAAAGATTACTGAACAGAGAGTTCTAGAGTTGAATCTCACTTTCTTACTTACTGAGCATTTGCTTTTTCCACATTATGTAACCTCTCAGAGATCTGGTTTCCTTAGTGCTTGGCACCTGAATTGTCAGTATCAGTAATTGTATGAATGAACAAAGGAATGAATGAAGAATGACTCTTAGCTCCCCCTACCTATCAGGATTTTGGCAAGTACCATTTCAGAAATGATGGGTCAAAATGTTTGCAAACTGAAAAATATCATAAAAAATGTAAGATGTGGTTATTGTTAAAATCAATAATAATAACAGTAGTAATCTAACACTGATTATGTAAGCAAAAAGAGCCTTATTTCGTGCAATCAAACACTTCCTCAGAATCCATGTGGTTGATTTCCTATATTATATTCATAAAAGAATCAATATTTTTAAGAGTTTTTACTTACACAAAATCTAAACACACTTAGAATATGCTTTTCT
Organism: Homo sapiens; assembly: GCF_000001405.40. Classification (NCBI taxonomy): domain Eukaryota; kingdom Metazoa; phylum Chordata; class Mammalia; order Primates; family Hominidae; genus Homo; species Homo sapiens. Next base: position 42,275,634 of record NC_000007.14, on the reverse strand, counting down.
GTTGGTTTGTTTTGGTTTGGTTTTTGAGTCAGGGTCAGGCTCTGTCACTTGGGCTGGAGTGCAGTGGCATGATCACAGTTCACTGTAGCCTCAACCTCCTGGGCTCAAGCAATCCTCCCACCTCAGCCTTCTGAGTAACTGGGACCACAGGCAGTGGCCACCACACATGGCTAATTTTTTTTTTTTTTCAGCATCAGGGTTTTGCTATGTTGCCCAGGCTGGTCTCAAACTCCTGGGCTCAAGCAATCCTCCCGACTCAACCTCCCAAAGTGCTGGGATTGCAGGTGTGAGCCACCACGCTTGGCCTAGAATATGCTTTAAAACTTAATTCTTTATACAGTAGTAGTTTTTTATTCACATCAGAAGCATCAGTTTAGAAAGCTTAGCAAGATGACCAGAGAAAAAGTGAAAGGTGAGAATTGATGCACTGACAGTGAGAAAGAGGACTGGGGAAAAAAACTATTAAAACTTCTGGATTAAAGGACTAGATTGTGATTATGTAATGTAGATGCAAGTATCCCACTCTTAGAAAACCCTATGGGTATCACTTTATTACAGCGTTTTGCAACAACTGATATTAATAGTGATGACAAAGGCCACATAATTAGTATGAGTACCTGCTAGTTAAAAGCCAAAGAAATGATTAGTGCACATCTTTGGAACAATTTCCAGTAAAAAAAAGGTTCTTAAAAATTTTGGTGCTTTAAAGAGCAATTCTCTATTTGTGGTCCAGGAATATTACATCATTCTATATTTCATTCCTCATGGGTCAAGTTTTCTCTGCCTTAAAGGTTGGTACTAACTCCAAGCAAAACCTTTCTTTGTCTTCCCTCCCAAATTGAGGACACATCAGCTCAAGGGTTCTCCAAGCATAGTTCTGGGGACCTGCTAACAGACCTTCTCAGAGATATGAAAGTCCACTTGTGAGTTCTTTTTGGTGGCTGACTCATAATTCCATAGAACCTTACCACTTAGAGCTATTTTTTATAACTTCCTAATTGAGATATTAAATATAACTAAAATTTGATAATTTATGGACTAAAATTAGCAAGTTCTTTGAGTTTACTGAGAATTCTAAATTAGTATCTTTTTTAAATACAGCAGCCACACAAGGCTCTAACTTTACAAATACTCTACTGTGCATACACATACAGACTGGAAACTTTCCATTTGGGGGGACCAGGTACTTTGTTATTAATTTTTCCTTTTCGCTATCTTAAATTCATTGTAATTTGTAATTGCTCCCATTTTTTGCTTTTTTAAGTATAAATTACTTCTTGACCTGATCATGTTGTGAGTTGATTGGTTATTCCCACAGCGTGGTGAGACAGCTAGATCAGCAATTTTTCTGACATAAAACTTCAAATTACTGGCCTTTACCACATACATATTTTGCAATTCAAGCATGACTCACTTTCTATTACTAATACGTATATGGAAAATCATCCCACTTTTTGTTTCGTACAATGCCTGTGCATTTGCGTTGTTTATACCATGAAGTTAACTGTAATAACATTACTGGACTATTTTTTAAGTTTACAGAACACAATTTCATAATATAAAACCTTGCATAGAAGTTAATAATTTCACAGTAAATATTAAGCAATTCATATATGCTTCTACCAAGTTTATTTGTGTATTTTATCCTTCCTTCTTTGTTACCCCAAAGTTATTTTCTACTGAAGAGTAATAATGGGAGTTAGGGACAGGGAGGCTTTTGCCTACTTCAGAACGCTGAGATTAGGGCTGTGGGGGAAGGGGAGAACAGAGTCTTTAACCAAAAAACAAAACAAAACAAAAATGCCAGGGAGCCTTAAAAGGTAGTTCTCTAAGTTACCAAAATCATATTGTTCTCCAGAATATATCATTATAACTAAAACAGTGTTGCACATGGAGACCCATCCAAATTATGTTTGCCCATGAGCTCCATAAAGAAGCCAAATATGTGTGACTCTGTTGCCCTGCAACAGGCATCTCCTGACTCCTCTGGCTGGTCATCTCACTATGCAGAGGCAGATTTACATCCAGATCATTTTAATCAGACCAAGGTTCTCCGTTGGCCAAGGAAGTGTGGGAATGTCATTCCCCAGAATGCTGTGCATGGCTTCCTCCCCACCCTGGAGGCAGATTCTAGCTCCTTGCCTCTGTGTTCTAGACTGAGTCACAGGCATCCTCTCAGGCATCCTTGCTCCCTCTTGCTGCTTTTAGTTGCAGTGCACTGCTTTCTGCCTCATGTTTCATTCTCAGCTTTGTCTCTTTATCTTTGACATTATTAACAAAGCAAAACACCTTTCTCTTCGATTCATAACCTTAACTTGGGCCTGTATGTACCTTGAAGATCTTCCCTGGATAGTCCACTTAGCAGGTGGTTTAATCCACTTTTTAACACCTCCAGCAAAAGATCTGTTTTGTGGGTAAGGGGAATTGCTTCTAGTTGGGCTCTGGTAGTAAGTGCAAGAGCCACCAGTCCTGGGGCCGATTCTCTGACATGTGAATCACCATCACCAGCATAAATAAAAGCCTATCCTGTTAAGTATCTGCTTGAATACAATGTACCACTGCTAGTCTGGTTCTCCATTCCTGCTGAGTATCAGGAAACAATGTAGAAGCCTATGGCAGGGAAGGGCACCCACAGAGTAAAGTGATGGCCCCCAGGTTCTCTGGTTGAGTCAAATCATGGCTCTGAGTCAGGGGTCATAGAGTGGAGAAGAGTTTAAATGTCTTTCATCCTTACTTCCATCAATTTTATGAGCCAGAATGCTGTGTCTTAACAAGGTGGTGGGTGGGCAAGCTACCAGTTCTCTTTCTTCCATCTATCTCCACTAATCTTAACAGTTTGTGAAAATTCCTCAAAGATTCTGTCAGCTAATTTTTTTTGAGAATTATTTGTGTTTCTGCATCAAGTTTAGTGAGAAGTTATAAAAGGTCACGACTTTTTAAAGTATGTTTAACAAAGTATTTAAATTGAAAACAGGGACCTCCAATTTTAAAATAAATTTTTGACATTTTTCTCCCACAGTTCTATCACACTGACCAGAAAAAAAAAATTAGGCAGCTCTGAAAACGAGGATCACAGGCAACATTTTGGAAAGTTCTTAGATGTATTCCTAAAAATTACTACCAAGCATATTTAGTTGTGGCTGGATTGAAATGCAGAACAAGTTTGTACATGCTTTGCCCTTCAAAATATACGATTTCCCTTTACAACAAAGTAGGTAGGACGAAGGTTCAAACTTCCCTCACTGTCTACTTCTAGCTGGGACATATGTGTTCTGTAACTGATGGGAAAAAGAGAAAAAGGAAATGTGTATAGCCATTACTGCCGAGGCACTGATTTCTGACACACATATTTATGCTCATCAGATCCATTCAGTGCTCCACGAGTTATCGGCATTCCCTTTTTACATTTGTTTAGAGGTTCCAGTTCAATGGAGAAGCAGATCTGTTTCATGGGCGGAGCTTCCTGCCCACTCCTAAGGGGCAACTGCTTCCTTCAGTTCAGTTCCGGTACTAAGCTGAAGAGCAACGTAGCCCTACAGTCAATTCTCTGACAATGTGAATCACAGGCATCTACACAAACCCAGCCTTTGAAGTGAACTCTTCACATATGTGTTCTATGCCTAAGTAAGAAGCAGAAGAGAATACATTTTACCCACAGGCAGATAGTTCCTTTCACATAAAATGCTATGGGTAGGAGTCAAGATATAAAGATGCCTGGGACAGGGGACCCTGGGCTGGGAGTTTTCCCTGGATGTATATGTTGAAGAGAGTCTATACTTATATAAAATATACGTGTTTCCCTAATTTTGAGAGAACTGAGCAGAGAACAGGTGAATTTTCCAATTAAATCCAGAAGAATCATACTAGATGAATAATGAGAAAAGGGAAGTAATTGAGTGCATTGACCTGCTCCACTGCCTTCCATCTGGGAGAACTCTTCATGGACCCAAGTGCAGGTGCACAGGACCAAGGGTCTGGGGCAGGGGATTCTCACTATATTTAAGGATAATTAAAGAGAAAACAACCACAATAATGGTGTAGTATCTATGGAGGAAATACAGCACCACAAGGAAAAAGTATTATTTGGAAGTTTGGGAGGCACAGTTCACCTCTGGTAATTATTTTTGACAAGACACACGAGAACATTTCAAAAAAAGGCTGATTGGTGTTCCCAGTAGGACATAGGAATTTAAAGCTCTTGGGAAAAGGAGAATAGACTTCTGTGAAAAGATCAAAGATAAAGAAGAGATATGAAACCAAGAGCTCGAGAAGCAGACTGAGAGGTAAATTGATAGTAAAGCAATACTATTGCTTTATTTTGTATATGTATACATATACATACATATAATATATAATATATAATGCATAAAAATGGAACAATGTAAGTTAAAATACTAATGGCAATATTAAGATTAATAGTTGGATTCTTCATGATTTTCAGCATTATTTATGTTCTCAAAAGTAAGCATTTTTATAAATAGGAAAAATAAAAGTGATTAATAATAATGCTGTTTTAATTATAAAGACAATATAATAATGTAATAGAAAAATTTAAAAATAGTAAAAATGTATAACCCAATGACCCTGTTACCATTTTGTGAACCCTCTCCCTTCTTTCATATTAATATTTTATGTTTTAATAATGCGATACATTAATTTTGTGTTTTATGTTTTCAATTTATGTTATTTAAGGATTTCTGTTCATTTTATTTTGCCACACAATCTTTATAAGTGTTTGTGTCACAGCGGCAAGACATTCCACCAAAAAGCTATACAATAATCTGTTTAATGATTCTCTTATTGATGAACATTTAACAGACTTCCAAATTTTTGAATTACGAATGATGGAAAATAAACACCTTTGTATAAACAGCCTTTTAATTCTTTTAGATTAGTTGCTTAATTTAGATTCCCTGCAATAATTATTATTCTTATTTAATCCCAACAATAATTCTTCAAAATTAAATTTTATTATCATTTTCATTTTACAGAAGAGGAAATTCAGCCTTAGAGAAGGTAAGCATCTTGCCCCAAGTCTCACCACTGATGTGTGGTAAAGCCATGCTCACACCAGGCAGTCTGCAAGGTCAGTTCACACTGCCCTATTATTTCAAAGATTATCATTGCTAATAGCCATATCTAAAAGTTTCCACTTTATGGAATCCCTACTGGCTACTGGGTATTTATGTTACATTTTTGATCATTTAACAAGCAAGGGGGAAAATGATATGAAATTTTTGTCTTAATCTCAGCATGCTACACAAAGGCATTGTTTTCTTTATTAAATATTAAGATCATTAAGAGTATCATCTAAATATAGAGCAATTCCCTCTGAACAATGAGCAACTAGACTCACTCCTACTCATCATATTACAGATTCAGGTAAGTAGGATCTATTCAAAACAAAAATCAAAGCAAAGCTGGAGACAGTGGCTCATGCCTATAGTCCCAGTTACTTGGGAGGCTGAGGTGGGAGAATCACTTGAGGCCAGGAGTTCAAGACTAGCCTGGGCAATGTAGCAAGATCCCGTCTCTTAAGAAAATTAAAAATAGGAAAAAAAATCAAAGCAAAATGAAAAAAACACACAGCTCACCCTTGCCATGTGATGCTCTGTATCACCTGAGGACTCTGCAGAGTCTCCACCAGCAAGAAGGCCCGCACCAGATGTAGCCCCTTGACCTTGGACTACCCAGCCTCCCAAACTATAATAAATAAATTTCTTATTATAGTTTAATAAATAAATAAGCTATAATAAATAAATAAATACATATATAAGAGAGAGAGCCCAAAAGAATTTAAACTAAAACTAAAAATTCTTGCAAGAATAAAATTAATGTATTAAGAATAATCTATGTGCCACGTGGATACAATGTTGTTGTTGATTTTTTATTTTTTGAGACAGAATCTGACTCTGTTGCCCAGGCTGGAGCACAGTGGCATGATCTCAGCTCACTGCAACCTCTGCCTCCTGGGTTCAAGCGATTCTCCTGCCTTAGCCTCCTGAGTAGCTTGGATTACAGGCATGGGCCACCATACCTCGCTAATTTTTGTATCTTTAGTGGAGACAAGGTTTCACCATGTTGGCCAGGCTGCTCTGGAACTCCTGACTTTAGATGATTCACCTGCCTCTGCTTCCCAAAGTGCTGGGATTACAGGTGTGAGCCACTGGACCTGGTCTGGATACAATATTTTAAATATAAATCACTAGACTAAAAAGCTCAACAATTACTTCATGTGGTTATTCTCCATGGAAACCAAGAGTTTCTACAGGAAACCAACCACGTAATTTACATTTCCTTTGTACTCACCAGTATACAGTCTCATACCAGTAAAATCGGCAGAAGCTCACCAATATTTCATGAAGCAACTTAATATACGTACTTCTTTGCATACTCTTTATTTTTGTCCTCCAAGTCTTTATATCCCTATAGCTACAAGGCCATGATATTAATCTTCAAACGGATATAGTAGAGTAATTTTTGATTTGCATTATGCCTTTTCATTTTTTGGTTTTGAAAACAGAAATTCAAATATTATACTCCTAGATCGTTAAGAGAAAGAAAAGGTAATAAGCAAAACAGAGACAATAGGCAAGCAAAGGGAGAAACATTTGTGCTTATTTCAATGTGATTCAATAACAACGTATGGAGAAGGGTAAATCTCCATGGGTGCAATGGTTTTATTGCAGAAATAGTAGGTCTCCAGGAGTTCCATTAGTACAAATGCCACCAAGGTCCTTGGGAGAAACTTTAAAGGGAACCATGGCCCAGGCCACTGGATATCTATGTAGGGAAAGAGATTGGGGCTATAGAGCAGTTAACTTTGAGGAGGTCAGAGCTCACCAGACAAAGAAGAAATCTGTGGTAATGAAATCTGCACCAGCAAATGCTGCTGCTGAAAATCACTCAATAATTTTAAAAGCATACAGATAACATGCACAGCATGCATACTTTATGCCAGGCTGTTTGCCAGTGTATTCTAAATGCTATGGCAGGAAGGCATCTTGAAATACAAATGTCTGTACTTTTCTTCTCTTCCTTGTTCAGCTCCCATAGAACCTGAAGGAGAATGAGGACAGTTGAAATCCAGAGAGAAATAAATAGTCAGTGTTGGGTGCTAATTTCCAAAATAAGTTCTTGATCCCAGATCAGAAACAATACTTTTGAAAGCCCAAGTTTTTGATATGCAAGAGGAAGGTTTTTAGGAGAAGAAAAGGCTATTAAGAACCAAAAAGAGAAGGCCTTAGAGGAAGGAGGGCAGAACTTCTGTGCCAGGACAAGAAGCTGAAAAGAAGATGGAGGAAGACCAGACTCCCACGCTCCCCATGTGGACTTCTCCCAGACTCCAAGGCTGGGACATTCCCCAGGAGCAGTTGAAGGGGGCCTGGGAAGGAAACCAGCTGTGCATGCCAAGCCAAGGCCTACAGACCATGAGGATTCAGCAGTCCAGTGAGAATGGAAGCTGGAGACAGCCATCCACTGAGGGCTGCCAGAAGAAGCACTGGGATGGTGGAGAGGAGGGAGCTGTTTTTAACAGCCCGTTTGCAGTGGGTGCTGCAGTGACATAGTTGAGGGAGTGGTGCACTCCTTCACTATTGTGTGACTTTGAGCAAATTACTTACCCAGTGGGTTTTAGAAGCAGAGCTTCTTCAAAGCAAGAACGTTATAGGGGAGTTGTTCTCAGGTAAATCTGTACTGAAGGAAGCAGAATAGGATAGAATGGGATGTGATGGGATGGGATGGGATGGGATGGGATGGGATGGGATGGGATGGGATGGGATGGGATGGGATGGGATAGGATGGGATAGAAGGGCAGATACATGGCTGCAGCTAAAGTTAGCCTTGAGAGACTCCATCACTCACCTGAGAGGAATTTCAGAAGTACATGATAAAGGAAATGGCAGTGAGGCAGAACTTGATAGAGGGAAATGGCATAGAATTTATCAGAATTAAAGACATGAGTCTTCCTAGAACGTTAAATGTTTGTGGTAAAAATTAAAAGATAAATATTAAAAATAGAAAGACAATCTATAACTCAACTCTGAAATTAGCAGGGTGAGAAAAGTGAAAAAAAGTATTAATCACTAAAGTAGAGAAAGAAACAGAAGCAAAGGGAAAATATGAATAAAAATACAAAATGAGATAGCAGAAATAAGTCTGAATACATCAATAATCATAATGAATATCAATAAATTAAACCCACCCATCGAAGACACACTATTTAGTTGTCTTGGAAAAACAAAAACCAGAGCCAAATATGTTTCTATGTTCCTTATGTGAAACACTAAAAACAAATACAAATTCAAAAATAATAAGATGGCAAAAGATACACTGGAAAAATACATACCAAAAGGAAACTAGTGAAAAAATATTTGTACGGATACTGGAGAAAATAGAATAAGATGAAAAGTCTAACACAGATAAAAAGACATACTATAAAATGATAAAAGAAACAATTTTCCAAGAAGAACCAATAATTGAGAAATTGAATGCACTTAAACACAGAATCTCAAAGTATATAAAGGATTATGAAAGGAGTTAACAAATCTAGAACTAACGTGGAAGATTTCAGGATATCTCTTTCAGAGCATGATAGATAAAGAAGACAAAAAATTAGTAAGATTATAATCAATTTGGAATATGTGATTAGAAATTCTACTCCTGAAAAAGAGAACATTTGGTTCTTCAGGAAACGTACATAAAAACTGACCAATTATTAAGCCACAAAGGAAGACTCATGAATTCCAAGAAATTAATGTTCATGTGTAAGTTTTTTTTTTTACTGAAAACAATTGAATTAGATACCAACAATTAAAAAAAGGAAAAAATACTGTCTAAACTAAAAACAAATTTTTAAAAAGACATGAATTAAAGAGAAAATCACAATCAGAATTACAAAATATTTAGAACTAACTACGATCCAAGTGCTATGAAGCAAATTTTAAACCGTGTTCTAAAGCAACATTGAGGCCAGGCGTGGTGATTTACACCTGTAATCCCAAAACTTTGGGAGGCCAAGGCAGGAAGATCACTTGAGGTCAGGAGTTTAAGACCAGCCTGGCCAACATAGTGAAACCCTGTCTCTACTAAAAATACAAAAAAAAAAAAAAAAAAAAAATTAGCCGGGCATGGTGGTGCGTACCTGTAGTCCCAGCTATCAGGAGGCTGAGGCAGGAGAATTGCTTGAATCCAGGAAGTGGAGGTGGCAGTGAGCTGAGATCATGCCACTGCACTCTAGCCTGGGTGACAGAGTGGGAATCTGTCTCAAAAATAAAAAAAAAAAAAAAGCAACATTGAGAGGGAAAATTCTGTCCTAACATACATGTATGTGAAAAAACAGGAAATATGAAAACAAATGAGCTATGTGCTCAGCTCAGGAAGCTAGAAAAAGAACAGAGTAAGCCCAAAGAAACCAAAAGGAACAAATAACAAAGATACAAGTAAAAGTTTATGAAATTGGAAAAAAATAACAGATGTAGTTTAACAAACTAAAAGGCAGTTCTCTGAAATGACTAACGGGATAATTACCTAGAATCAATCATCAAAAAAAAAAAAGTTACAAAAGTAGAAGGAAGGAAAGATAAAATCACTGAAGCAAAATCTTTACTCTCCCTGCTAAAAGCATCAGGCCTAGATGGTTTGAACCCTCTGTAATAGCAAATCTTTAAGAAAAAGATAGTTCTTAATATTCTCGGTATTATACATATTGTGCCTAAGAATAATAAAAGAGTGAAAGTTGTCCACTCATTTTCAGATGCTACTGTGACTTGAATACTAAAGTTTAACAAAGAGAATATTAGGTAAGAAAAGTAGACTAACTTGTTTAAAATGGCAGACTGATCACATACATTTAACTTCTGTTTCTCCTAAAATCTCACTAAAATGTGAGAAAAGAAATGTTATAAGGTATTAACTCCCAAGAGTAAAGTGAGCAGGAAAAGACAAAGCGGACAAAAGGCTAAGTGACGTAGCTCTTGGGGTATTAACTTGGCATGAGACCAGTTGTCCTGCAAATTCCCTGAGAGGGACAGTGGGGCTGAGGTCCCTGCTGAACACAGAGCATTTGGCAAATACATAGTGGCTGAGAACCTTGGGATCCTTCCATCTAGGCACAGCCAGGGGACCACCTTCACCCCCATCCCATCCCATCCCATCCCCTAAAGAAAACCACAGTTTATTTCCTGGCAAATGGAATCTGAGAGGATCTGGATGTCTTAGTCAGCTCAGGCTGTTATAACAAAATACCATAGACTGGGTGGCTTAAACAACAGACATTTATTTTTCACAGTTCTGGAGGCTGGCAAGTCTAAGACCAAGGCGCTGGCCAATTCGCTTCCTCCTAAGGGCCCACTTCCTGGCTAGTGGACAACCACCTTCTCACCGTGTCCTTATGTGGCAGAGAGAGGACACTTGTCCCACCCTCAGGTCCTCCTTAAGCATAATCACCTCTCAAAGCTTCCTCCTCCAAATACCATTGTATTGAGGTTAGGGCTTCAACATATGAATTTTGAAAGAATGCAAATGTTTAGTCCACAAAATGGACTTCCCAAAAAGAGAATAAGAGAACATACACAAGTCAAGTTCCCCAGATTTTATTAATAATTAAACTCAGAAGTCCTGAAATCCAAAATGGTTGAGGGAAATGGTCCTTTCCTAACTGAAATAAAAATGAAAACTACTTACCCCTTTCTTACATTGTCTTTCTCTTTCGATTCCCCCTTCACCCACCTTTCTCACTCTCCTCCTGCACTCACTCGCACACCCTCTCTCTCTCCACCCTAGACCCTAGTGGCCAATTTCCCTAGTTAAGTTATTTTTCTTTCCTTTATCTGAGTAAAATTTGTTGCATTGAAATTTATTTTTATGACACTTCAAATTACGTGGAAGAAAACTACCAGGTAGCCACATGGTTACGGTATGTCTCATTACACTGTGTGCTACTGCAAGACAGAGAACATATCTAACACACAGTAGGAGCGTAATAAAGATCTTCTTAATAAAGAAATGCTTGGATGAAATAATTCGAGGGTGAGAGGCTGTTAACGCCCATAAATGCACAAAACTTAGTACTGCAGAATTTGCTGTTTGAAGGGCTGTCGGGTTTTTTTGTTTATGTGTTCTTACTGGCATATGTGAGTGAAAATGAGAAAAAATACAGGTCATCAGAGAATCCGGTGATTTAGAATTTTAGAGAGAATGAGAAAGCTAATATTAGAAAGCTAATAGAAAGCTAATAGGACGTCCCACCTGCAGCAAGAAACAAAGAACAAGCCTCCAATGACTGTCCTTTCTCAGGAGCCAGCAGGCACTCCTAGATGCCTTCCTTTCTTTGCCAAAAGAACTCTGATTGTATTGGTGTATCAGGTGTCAGTGTTCTCAGGGTTTGAGCCCTAACTGGCATTCATGGTAACTCCAGTGCCCTCTGCCAAGAGGTGGGTGTCATGTGGCCCACGCCTGGCCAATGGACATACTGGGAAGTCTCCTGATAGGCTTCTGAGACAAGGCCCTTCGTGCTTTTGGACATTTTTGGGTAGGGAAGTGCTGCTGGATGCCTGGACAGCCCATCTCATGACCATGACGAGACAGCCAACACAATCAGAGTGAAGCGATCCCAGCAGCCTCACATTGCTGAGCTGCCAGAGTAAGTGATTTTAGAATTTTTTATCTCCAGATTTCTAGGTAGGTAAGTTAGCAATAACCTCTGCAAATCATTTTATTCAGCTATTCTGTTTTGTTGTGGTCGTTGCTGTTTTTGTTGTTGTTGTTGTATGTTTCATAGCAGAAAAATATCCTGATATATGGGACAAAAAAGACTGATCTAACCCCACCAGACACTTGCAGCCTCTGCAGCATACAGCTAGGGGAATTTCAAAAGGCATCAAGATCTGGTGGGGTGCGGTGGCTCACGCCTGTAATCCCAGCACTTTGGGAGACCAAGGCAGGCAGATCACTTTAAGTCAGGAGTAAGAGACCAGTCAGGCCAACATGGTGAAACCCCATCTGTACTAAAAATACAAAAAATTAGCAGGGCATGGTGGCACGCTCCTGTAATCCTAGCTACTCCAGAGGCTGGGGCAGGAGAATTGCTTGAACATGTGAGGAGGAGGTTGCAGTGAACAGAGATCACACCACTGCACTCCAGCCTGGGAAACAGAGTGAGACCCCCTTTTCAAAAAAAAAAAATAAATAAAATAAGGTAAGAAGATGTTTATGAGTTCTTGAAAAATCAAAAGGTGCAAGAATGTACACATTGACCCACAGTGTCTTTCAACCCTTCCACCTAAGAAGCATCACAGCTCTCCCTTTTAGTTAACATAGGCACATAAACTTGTCACTGGCAAGGGGGAGGCACTTTCTTGTTATGGTAATGGACATGAAAGTGCCAGTAACTCCCTTTGAGCTCTTGTCATAGCCAGGAAAGAGCCTTTGCTTCTCTCATTTTGTATCTATAGTAAGCACTCAGAAGGCGTACACGAGACCAGCTATGCTGGATCTGCTGTTCTCAAGTTGCCAGGAAAGAGATGCCTTTGCCGTGGGTCACCATGGCGATGGCACGTGGCCCATCTGGCATGTATGCCTCGGATAATTACAGGCCCAGGGACCTGAAGAACACTCCTTAGTCTAGTTCCATAGCTCTCGCCAAAGACCATATCCTGTGGTATTAATCATTAAAAAAAAAAAAAGTGCAGATATTCTGGTTTGCCTTGCAAGGCACTGCTCTGTCTGGGGAGAAACACTGGGTTCTATCTTCTGCCAGTCAGTAGGAAATGCAGAGAAAATGGAATCCCTCTTAGGTATAAAGATAAATAAAATGTATGTAGCATGAATAATTTAAAAAGTAATGTTAGGAAAGTATCTTCAAAATTCTTAGGAATGGATAAAACAACAAAAAGGTATTTGGGCTGATAAATAAGGACCATTTCCAAAGTGTGAGTTTCTTTAAATTAATTCTTTAAAATGTTGCACTGTCATTATTTATAGAGCCATAAAGTAACTCTTAAACATGCTGAACCAGTGAGAGAGTCTGCCCCAGAAATTCTGAATTCACTTAGTGACTAGTTAGAAAACAAAGACTGGTCAAATGCAGTGACTCAGGCCTGTAATCCCAGTACTTTGGGAGGCCGGGGCAGGAGGATGGCTTGAGCCCAGGAGTTTGAGACAAGCCTGGGCAACATGGTTATACCCTATCTCTACAAAATTTAAAAAAATTAGCTGGCTGTGGTGGCATGTACCTGTGTTCCCAGCTACTTGGGAGCCTGAGGTGGGAGGACCGCTTGAGCCTAGGAGGTTGAGACTGCAGTGACCCATGTTTACACCTCTGCACTCCAGCCTGGATGACAGAGTGAGACCCTATGAAAGAAAGAAGGAAGGGAGGGAGGGAGGAAGAAAGGAAGGAAGGAAGGAAGGAAAGAAGGAAGGAAGGAAAGAAGGAAGGAAAAAAAATAAAAGAAAGAAAAAAGAAAGAGGCTGAAAAAAAAGAGCCTAGGAGGTTGAGCCTGCAGTGAACCGTGTTTGCACCTCTGCGCTCCAGCCTGGCTGAGAGAGTGAGAAAAAGAAAGAAAGAGAGAGAGAGGGAGGAAAGAAAAAAGAAAGAAAGAAAGAAAGAGAGAGAGAGAGGAAGGAAAGAAAGAAAAGAAAGAAAGAAAGAAAGAAAGAGAGAGCGAGAGAGAGAGGAAGAAAAAGGAAAGAAAAGAAAAGAAGAAAGAAAAGGAAGAAGGAAGGAAGGGAGGGAAAGGAAGGGAAGGGAAAGGAAGGGAAGGGAAAGGAAGGGAAGGAAAGAAAACAAAGACTGTTCCTTATGATGCCAGGGTCAACCCAGACTTCAACTCACTTTTCAATTCACTTAAATCTCTATCTTTAAAGAATACTTTATCAAAGCCAATCCTCTTTGCAGGGCACCTATAATCAGGCACTGCCTCATCCTGCAGTCTATGGCTTGCTGAATAGTAAGACCTAGTATAACTACTACACAAACTAATGTACTGAGTATATTAGTAAGGCCTAATATAATTATTACATTCATATAAAATATATAGTCTGACTTATGAAATCTTTCCTTGTTTACTTCTTGTGTAACTCCCCCAACTAAGTTTCATGAGAATGGGACTCTGGTTTGTCATTCCTGAATCTAGAACCCTGGCTTTGCATACAGTGAACGGTTAGTGGATAGCTGAGGATGGATGGATGGATGGATGAGGAGTGATCTGGTTTGGATATTTGAGCCTGCCCAGCTCTCATGTTGAAATGTAATCCCCATGCTGGAGGTGAGGCCTAGTGAGAGGTATTTGATCTATGGGGGTGGGTCCCTCATGGTTTGGTGATGTCTTAACAATAGTGAGTTCTCATGAGATCTGATCATTTACAATGTGTGGCACCTCCCCGCACCCCATAATCTCTCTCTGTGTGTGTGTTGTGTGTGTGTGTGTGTGTGTGTTTGTGTGTGTGTCTTGTTCCTGCTGTCACCATGTGACATGCCTGCTCCACCTTTGCCTTCTGCCATGATTGTCAGCTTCCTGATGCCTCCCAGAAGCCGAGCTGATGCCAGCACCATTCTTCCTGCAAAGCCTGCAGAACTGTAGGCCAATTAAACTTCTTTTCTTTATGAATTACCCAGTCTTAGGTATTTCTTTATAGCAATGCAAGAATGGACTAACACAGAGAGTATGCTCTAGCCATGCTGCACACCTTGTAGTTGCCTGAACGTATGGATTGTGAATATATAAATAGCACCACCAACTACCCAGTTTCTCAAGCCAAAAACCAGGAGTCATCCTTTATTTCACTCTTTCCCTCTCACTCTGCCCCCTCTCTATCAGGAAAATTGAGATTGCTGTCTCTACATGCAAAATGTACTCAAAATTCATTCTTTTGTTGCCATGTTCACTTCATTTCACTCAGATGCAAGCCAACATCACCTTTCATTGAGATACATCTTCTTGCCCTTCTTGTTTTTACTCTTGTCCCTGGCCCTTCATTCACTACGTTGTAGTTAAACTTTTAAACATGTAAATCAGACATACCACTTGTTTTGTTAATTATATAATAAAGAAAATGAACATTCTCACACCTTGCTCATCAAAATTCTATTGACAAGAGGTAATTGTTTAGTTTAGATTCTTGCTAACTTGTCCTATTTCTGCATAGGTATATACTTATACACACACATAGTATACATACATACTCTTTTAAAAATATAATACCTTTCATATGTGTTATGGTCATCTTACCAGAGAAGTATAACAGCTATTCAATATTTTGACAGTTGAATGCGTAAAATAATAAATGGACTCTTACATTGCTTCTATTTAAATACAGTACAACACGTGTAAGGAGCAGTGGGAATTCCAACAGATCTGTGAACATTCATGGACTTGATTCTGTTAGGGAGATTATTTGTAGAAATTGTCAAATGGTACGTAGATGTTCATTATATATGTCATTTCTCACCCTGCAGAAATTATCATATGCTCTAGAGATGCTCTAGCCAGTGTGATTTGCTACAAAATTGAATTCTATAATTTCTTTACTCCCTTCCAAGTATCTACAATGATCTTCCTGACAAATATTTTCTTTGGGGATACAGGCATTTTGAGTCAGCATTTTCTCATGGTAAATTTCCTAGTTGTTTTGTACATACACAGAACCAAACTACAGTCCTGAAAGGCTGCAACAGCAGATGCATACAATGCTATGCATACCACAGACAAAGCTGCTTTGCCTTAATACACAACAATGCAATGAGTAGAAGATAGATGCCCACAGGTTTATTTTTAAAAATTAAATTTTGTTAGCTGGATCCAAGCAATTTTGAGTCAAAAGCAAAGGGGAAGGCACTATATATGCTATTGATTTGGATCCTAAATGTCTTCTTTTGGTGGGTAATGCTAATTGTCAGAGATTACTGACTGCAGGAAAATGCAAGGTCATCTGCGTTTATCAAAAAAGACATGATCTCAAACCTTCACTACTTGCACGAGGGGTCACAAATAATTTTCTATCATGCAGAAATCCCTACAAGTGTAGACTGAATGCTAATATCATGTTCAGCAATAATAATAACAAAACAATACATTGTGAACTTACTATGTGTCAGGCACTGTACTAGTGCTTTATGTAAGTTATATTATTCAATCTTAACAGCAAAAGAATAAATTATAATTGTTGTCATTTTTGTTTTACAGATTAAGAAACTGACTTAGAGCTAGAGCTTAACTAGGAACAGCTACATTCTTAAGCACTTCTCTATAAAATGCCACTTAAAACAGAGTTCTAAGCCCTAAAGATAATGCTACCATTTACTGATGAAGAAAAGCAACCCATTAGATGTTTATATTTGTTGCATGTCAGAGTATGGTTGACAGGCTCATGAACTGCCTTCTTTATTTTACTTCACAGACACAAAAATGGTAGCATTTGTTTATAAGAATAATGTAGCAATGGTCAAAGCTCAGATTGAGTTGAATATTTGAAAGCATGCTAAAAACAACGAAACCGTTCCTTAGCTAAGCTTGGAACTAGATGATGAACAAGTTTAGGGTAATTTGACTGCTTGGACAATCTGTAATGTTAACAGGTGACCAAGGTGGTGGAGGTCTGCCATGGAGCCCATCAGCTCAGAGATAGAGCACATAAAAGAGTAAACAACAAACTAGTTCAGACAATTTCAACTGCAGTCTGAAAAATGAAACAGACAGAAAAAAGAAAACCCAAGCACATTTTCTGTGTGCCAATCAGGAAAGATAATGCTATGGGCCAAAAGTTTGTGTCCCCCCAAAATTCATATGTTGAAATCCTAATCCCCAGGATATGATTTGAGAAGTAGTGCCTTTGTTGGGTGATTAGGTCAGGAGGGCAGAGATCTCGTGAATGGGATTCAAGCCCTTATAAAACAAGCCCAAGGGTCCTCCCTCACCCATTCTGTCATGTGAGGTTACAGTGAAAAGATGGCCATTCATCAATCAAGAAGTCATTGTGGCACCTTGCTCTTGGACTTCTCAGCCTCCAGAGCTGGAGAAATAAATTTCTATTCTGTATAAGCCACTTAGGCTATGCTATTTTGTTATTGTAGCCCAAATGGAAGAAGAGAGTTATGGTGACATCTTAATCATGTATAGGAAAACCAAGAAGGCATTTTAACACAATTTGAAGAGAATACAGTAACTCATGGAGGGCAACAGATTCTGGATTCAAAATCACCTTCAGAGTATGAAATGAAGAGCCAATACAAAGATTAGACAGATGTATCTCTACACTCCTTCATTAACATTTATCAACAACAAAAAAGACAAAATCCTACTTGATTACAGTATATTGACCAGAGCTAAATAAGAGCAAAGTGTGCTAAAAATGTTGGTCATACAGGTGACAATATTTGTTTCATGTTCAAATCAAAATATAAAATAATGGTGCCCTGGATATCCTGTTTTTATGAATTCAGTATGTATAATACACAGAAGTGTACAAGACAGAAAACATCTGTGACCTCATGGAGCTTGCAGTCTAGTTGGAGAGACGCACATTAATCACATTATGATTGGGTTATACATAGTATATATAGCAGGTGTGTGTATAAAATCCAGCGTGTAAAGAATTACAGAGTGCCATAGACAAGGACATCACGAGAAAAGAAAACTATATAGTTCAATATTCCTCATGAACATAGAAAACTCTTTAACAAAGTTCAACAAACCAAATCCAGCAACATACAAAAAGAATTCTACACCATGACCAAGTGGCTTTTATCTCAGAAATACAAGGTTTGCTTAATATACAAAAAGCAATGGATATAATATACCATAGTAATGGACTAAATGATAAAAACAATAATTATCTTAATAGATGTAGAAAAAGCATTTGACAAACTCAGTATCCATTCATGATTTTTTTTTTAAAAAACAATCAGCAAACTAAGAATAGATTTATAGATTCTGATAAAGGGAATCTGTGAAATATCCACATCTAACAGCATTTTTAACAGTAAAAGACTGAATGGGACGTGCACGGTGGCTCATGCCTGTAATCCCAGCACTTTGGGAGCCCGAGGTGGGAGGATCACGAGGTCAGGAGATGGAGACCATCCTGGCTAATACGGTGAAACCCCATCTCTACTAAAAATACAAGAAATTAGCCACGTGTGGTGGCGGGCACCTGTAGTCCCAGCTACTCGGGAGGCTGAGGCAGGAGAATGGCATGAACCCGGGAGGCGGAGCTTGCAGTGAGCCACTGCACTCCAGCCTGGGCGACAGAGCGAGACTCCGTCTCAAAAAAAAAAAAAAAAAAAGACTGAATGATTTCCACCTAATATCAGGGGCCTGCTTTTGCTGCTGTCATTCAACATTGCACCAGAGAGCCAGTGCAATAGGGAAGAAAAAAAAAGAAAGAAAAAGAAAAAAAATTTAGTGGTATCTAGATTGGAGAAGTAAAACTCTCTTAGTTGCAAATGACATAATTTTGTATGTAGAAAATCCTAAAACCACTAGAACTAATTAACTATTTTAGCAAGGTTCAAGATACAAGATCAATATATCAAAATCAATGGTATTTCTACTTACTAGCAAAGAAAAATCTTAAAATAAAGTTTAAAAAATTGAATTCAAAATAGCATCAAAAAGAATAAAAATTTAGGGCTAGGTTTAACAAGTAATATGCAAGACATGTGAAATAAAATCTACAAAACACTGCAAAGAAAAATTAAAGGAGATCTAAATAAATGGAGAGAAATTCCATATTCATGGACTGGAAGACTCAAAAATAATATAACAGCTTTTGGAAATTGATATTTAAATTGAAGATAACCCTTATCAAAATTTCCATTGGCATTTCTGTAGACATTAGCAAACTGATTATAAAATTTATATGAAAAACAAAAGATCTAGGGTAGCCAAAACAATTTTGGGGGAAAAAGCAAATTTGGAAGCCTCATACTACAAAATTTCAAAACTTACTCTAAAGCCACAGTAAGAAATACAGTATGATATTAATGCAGGATAGGCATATGGATGAATGGAATACACTTGATAGTCCAGAAATATATCCTTGTGTTTATAGTGAACCTGTGCTCAACAAAGATGCAAAGACAACTAGAAAGGAAAAGGATAGTCTTTTCAACGATTGGTACAGCAGTCTTTGGATATCCACATACAGAATGATAAACTCAGACCCTCATCTCACATCATATGCAGAAATTAACTCAAAATTGATTATAAACTTAAATCTAAGAGCTAAAAATATAGAACTTCTGGAAAAAGTGAAGGGAGAAATTTTCAATATCTTGGGATGGGTGAAGAATTATTAGGTAAGAAACCAACACATGATCCATTAAAAAAAAAAGCTGATAAATTGGACTTCATCAACATTAAAAACTTTTGTGCTTCAACTGATAAAAAAGACAAGGCAAACTGGGAGACAATATTTGCAAATCATATATCTTATAAATTACTTGTGTCTGGAATATGTAAAGAACTCTTACAACACAATAAGATTAAAAAACATTAAAAATAGGCAGAATATTTTAAAAGAAATTTCACTAAGAAGATATGAAAATGGCTAATGAACACATAAAAAGATGCTCAAAGTCATTACTCACAGGGAAACAAAAGTTAAAGCCACAATGGGATACCGCTACACACTGACTAGAATAACTATAAACAAAAAGTGAACACCAAGTGTGGGTGAGAATATGGAAAAACTGGAACCGTTATGTATTGCCAGTCATAATGCAGAATGGTATGGCCACTTTGGAAAACAGTTCATCAGTTTCTTAAAAAGTGAAACATAACTCACCATACAACCCTGCAATTTTACTACTAGGAAACTATCCAAAAGAAATTAAGACATATGTCCACACAAAGCCACTTATATGACTGTCCATCGAAGCATTATTCATCATCACCAAAAACTGAAAACAAGCCAAATGCCTATCAATTGATGAGTAGGTAAACAAAATGTAGGGCATCTATACAATGGAATGCTCTTCAGCAATGAAGACGAATAAATACGCTACACATAAATGCACCACAAAACCATTATTTAAGTAAATAAAGCCAGATGTAAAAGACTATGTATTATATGATTCTGTGTATATGAAATGTCCCTAAAAGGCAAACTTGGATAGAAAGCATATTAGCAATCCTTAAGACTGAAGGCAGGAGCAGGAATTGATGCACGCAGACATGAGGGATTTTTCTTTTAGGTAATGGAAACTGTCTAAAATGGGATTGTAATGATGGCTGTACAACTATAAATCTACTAAACATTATTAAATTGTATACCTACAATGGATAAATTTCATGGAATGCAAATTATACTTTAATAAAGCTGTTTAAAACAATGATAAGGCTGGCAGTGCTATGAGAGAGTGTAACAGGATGACCAAATTAGATGGAGAGGGTCAGGAAAATCATTTTTAAGGAAAATACATTTATTTTTTTATCTGAAAGAAGACCATAATTTTGTAGTGTAGCATTAACAATAGGGTGAAGGGAAGATAGAAAGTGGGGAAGAAAAAAATAGCGTTCCAAACTAAAAGAATCCTATGCACAAAGATGCAAAAAAAAAAACAGAAACAGAAAAAAAAAGATGTAAGAGAGAGATAAATAGGCAGAGAGAAACACAAAGAGCAGATGGAAAAGTGGAAGGGGCAGTGGGCAGGTAGCAAGAGATGAGTATGAACCCAGGATCTAGGTTTCATTACAGGAAAAATTTTGAATTTTATTTTAAGAGCAATGAGAAATTATTGAATTATATCTGGCATTTAGAAAAATCACTCACTACAGGTCAAAGATCAGCCAACTTTTTTTTTAAAGAGACAGATAACAAACATTGCAAGAGAGAGATTGATAGGCAGAGAGAAACACAGAGAACAGACCGAAAAGTGGAAGAGGCAGTGGGCAGGTAGCATGAGATGGGTTTGAACCCAGGATCTAGGTTTCATTACAGAAAAAAATTTGGATTTTATTTTGAGAGCAATGAGAAATTATTGAATTATATCTGGCATTTAGAAAAATCACTCACTACAGATCAAGGATCAGCCAACTTTTTTGTAAAGAGCCAGATAACAAACATTTCAGGCTATGTAGGCCATATAATGTTCTGACTAAAGTCACTGATGACAACTATTGCTCAATCCATGACACATTTAAATGCTCTCCCACTTGCTCTCTCAGCAGCATTCAACCCAGTCGGCCAGTCAACCCTTTTGAAATACTCTCTTTTCCTCACTCTTGTGTCATCATATTGGCCAACCTATAAAGATAGGATTTTCTTCTATATTTTTGGCCACTCTTTCGCTATGGCCTCCTTCACCTGCATTCCGCCCACATGCTGGGCTTCAGGCTGTGAACTAGGTCATCTTGGTTTTCACCCTACATTCGTGCCCAAGGCGATATCCTCTATTCCATTGGCTTTTTTTTTTTTTTTAACGGAGTTTTGCTCTTGTTGCCCAGGCTGGAGTGCAGTGGCACAATCTCGGCTCACTGCAACCTCCACCTCCCAGGTTCAGGTGATTCTCTTGCCTCAACCTCCTGAGTAGTTGGGATTACAGGCATGCACCACCATGCCCAGCTAATTTTGTATTTTTAGCAAAGATAGGGTTTCACCATGTTGGTCAGGCCTGTCTTGAACTCCCGACCTCATGTGATCCACCTGCCTCGGCCTCCCAGAGCGCTGGGATTACAGGCGTGAACCATCATGTCCGGCCCATTGCTTTTAAATAACAACTACATTTCAGTGACTCGCCTTTGCCTTAAGAAAATCCCAAAAAAAGACTTGGAGGGTAAAGATCTCAACAATTAAACCTGTATCAAAATTCAGTCACTAAGTGATGCTCAACTCAAGGATCTTAGCGTAACAATCATGGCCCACATTTATTGAGTACTGAGGACAAGTCAAAAGCACTTCATGTGTAAAGTCAACTAATGTAAACAAAGGCCTAGGACCTTACAGATGAGAAAGCTGGGAAATAGAAATTTTAATTAACTTACCCAAAAGACACAGAGTGGGAAGAGGAGAAACTGGGATTCAAACCTAAGCAGTCTGGCTCCAGAGACTTCATGCTTAAGAACTATTTAATTCAGAAGTTCCCAATTGGTGAGCCATGAATGAGTCACAGATATGCCATCAGAAATTGATTCGTTCAGCCCTGGGGCAGCCAAGCTGGTAGCCTCAGGCTGGGAGCAGCCTTGTGCAGGGCTTCTCAAAGGGTGGCACAGCAGGTCTAAGGGTGTATCCCCATCCCAGGAGGAGGAATGGGGAGCCCCAACTAATGCCTGCTGCTCTGCTGCAGATGCGCTGAGCACACCAGGCTTGGATGTCTCCCCGAGCAGCAGCCATGGAGCAAGCCACTGTGCACTGTGAACAAGGTGCTTCTGGAGATGCTGGTGAAGTTCATATTCCAGGTGCACCAGGGGCACAGTGAGCCTCCCAAGATGCTGATGGTTGTGGGGCAGGAAACTCTTTCTTCACATAATTGAATACATCTGTCTGGTTGTGGATGACATGTCCTTTTAGTCGTGGCTCAGCTAGCTACAAGGCGTCTGCCCTAAAATTGCACGTGGTTTCTGCTAATGCAAGCTCCACCATTATCTTGAAATTATTTAAGACTATGATTGCTTTGGAAATCCTTTCTCGTTTCCACCTTTGTCAATGAAAGAAAAAGAGCTTTTAGACATTTTAATAATTTCAACTTTTGTACCATTTTGAATGGTTGCAAAATAAAACATTTTAAATGTTTTATTACCTGTCTCTCTGGTTGAAATTTCTCATTGATGGTGACTATCAAGACTTTTAAAAGATGGACATTAAAAACTCTTAATTGGAAGTTCCCTGTAACCATTTGAAGCCTAAAATCTGTTATATAAAAGTTATGTTTGTGGAAGCAAGCTCAAGTGTTTCACCAAAAATGTTAAAAAGATATCATTTAGAACTTTCATATACATTTTATATTAGTATCTTCTTTAATACTTTTACTTTTCTTGAAATAATTATATAATATAAAGAAAACGTAGCTTTCTCAGCAAGCATCATAGAGGTGACTCAAATTCTATCCAGCTTGCTCCAATAATCACTTTTTGTGTGTATAATAGTGAGAATAGTATTGAGGAGTCCCTCTGTGCACTATATGTTAAGTGTGTTCATTTCTTTTTAACTTTTATTTTAGGTTCAGGGGTACATGTGCAGGTTTGTTATTTATAAAGGTAAACGTGTGTCATGGGGTTTGGTGTACAGATTATTTCATCACCCAGGTACTAAGCCTAGTATTTTTTCTGATCCTCCTCCTCCTCCCGCCCAACACCCTCAAGTAGGTCCCAGTGTCTGTTGTTCCCCTCTATGTGTTCATTGGTTCTCACTGTTTAGCTCCCACTTATGAGTGAGAACATACGGTATTTGGTTTGCTGTTCCTGCATTAGTTTGCTAAGAATAATGGCCTCCAGCTCCATCCATGTTCTCACAAGACGTGATCTCATTCTTTTTTATGGCTGCATAGTATTCAGTAGTGTATATGTACCACGTTTTCTTTACCCAGTCTATCCTTGATGGGCATTTAGATTGATTCCATATCTTTGCTATTGTGAATAGTGCTGCAGTGTGCATTTGTCTTTATGGTAGAATGATTTATATTCCTTTGGGTATATACCCAGTAATCGGATTGCAAATGGTAGTTCCGTTTTCAGTTCTTTGAGGAATTGTCAGAGTGTGTTCATTTTTTGATGCAACTGTTTCATGAGTGTGGTTCCACTCGATCACACTAGATAACTTGCCATTACTTCTGAACACGCCATATTCTCCTGCTGTTTTCTCTGTGTAGTGGTTAAGAGTGGAGGCTCTGGAGCCAGAATGCCTGATTTGAATTCTAGTTTTGCCAATTATTGGCTGTGTAACACTGAGCAGGTAACCTCACCTCTCTGTTCCATCATGTAAAAGGGGATCATCATAGTAACCACGTCATAATTGAGGCCATACACATAAACATCCAGGAATGATGCCTGGCATGTAGTAGGAACCCCCAAATGCCAGCTCTTCTCTCCCTCTCCCTCTTTCTTCTCTCTCTGCTCTCCTTATCCTTCCCTTAGCCTAGTGTGTGTCATTTCCTCTGACTGTTATTTCTTTCCCTATCAAGCACAGACTAGACTAGAGCAGGGGGGTCCCCAGCCACTCCCCCAACTCCCCCTACTCCAGCTGCACAGCAGGAGGTGAGCGGCAAGCGAGCATTAGAGCATCGCCGCCTAAGCTCTGCCTCCTGTCAGATCAGCAGCAGCATTAGATTCTCACCAGAGCAAGAACCCTATTGGGAACTGTGTTTGCAAGGGATCTAGGTTGTGTGCTGCTTGTGAGAATCTAATGCCTGATGATCTGAGGTAGAAAGTTTCATCCCAAAACCATCCCTCCCATACCACTCCCCAACCTGTGGAAAAATTGTCTTCCAAGAAACCAGTCCCTGGTGCAGAAAAGGTTGGGGGCGGCTGGACCAGAGGCCCTCTTAGGAGTTCCTAAGGCCCAGTGTTGCCCCAGGACAGTACTTAACAAGGGCATGGTCACTTTTGTTTTCTTGTGTGTTGCCTGCCCCTTCTTCATTAGCATAAGCTTTCTGGGAACAGAAATTATGGTTCCATCAACTCATGAATCCCCAGCTCCCCACCATGCTTTTTCATACTTCCTGACTAGTACATGGGCGGATGCCTAAATTGAGGGGCCCCAGTCTGTCCCCTGTTTCTGTAGCAATGACTGAGGAAGACAGGAAGAAGGTAGGCAACTTTTCTAATGTGTATTTAGAGGTCTGATTACAGAGGTAAATGTCCGTGATATGTTCCTATTCTTTCGCCCTTTCCCAACTCCCCGCTGGCCTTTATGTGAAGGAAAATGGCAGCCCCCCCACCCGCCTTTTCCTCCATACAAATCCACCCAGCTGCCCTTTTGGCACTTCCTGTCCCTCTCTTTAGAGTTGTTGGTGACTCAGAGTAAGGTTAGAGCACTTTGGTGTTAGCCATGCACCAGGCTGTGCATTGGTGGAAATTTCCCAAGGCTCCAGCAATGAGGGGAGAATTGGTC
This sequence comes from Homo sapiens, assembly GCF_000001405.40. Taxonomy (NCBI): domain Eukaryota; kingdom Metazoa; phylum Chordata; class Mammalia; order Primates; family Hominidae; genus Homo; species Homo sapiens. The sequence continues at coordinate 42,250,590 of NC_000007.14, read as the reverse complement.
ATGGGGGACATGGCTCTGGCTGGTTGGAGGTCAGTTGGATTGGGCCCTGAGTCAAGGCCTGAGAAATGGCAACAAGTGCTGGGCCACACATCTCAGCTTGGTGATGACTCCCTGTGACAGCTGTGGAAGGCTCTGGATTCTGACTCAGTCAGCAAACTGAAGTCCATCTACCTGGAAGCAAGATGAGTTGGTCAAAGTTCTCTTCTTCTTGCCTTAGTTAATCACCCAAGTCCTCATATCTGTTGCTTCCTACATTTGGACTCCTAAAGATGTGAGGTTTCTTGTTTGTGGTTTGTTGGTATGGTTTTTTTCTTTTAAGGAGTGAAAATAGCAAAGGGAAAACAAATGGTCCATATTACAAAGAAAATTGATTTTCCAACCATCACAACCCAAGTCTTGGGTAAGCCTTCACATACTTCAGTGCTACAGTGGGTAACTTGGAAAGGGAAAAAGGAAAGAGATAAGAAGAAAAGAGAGTAACTTTTTTTTTGTTGTTGAGACAGAGTCTTGCTCTGTCACCCAGGATGAAGTGCAGTGGTGTGATCTTGGCTCACTGCAGCCTTGACCTCCTGGATTCAAGCAATCCTCCCACCTCAGGCTCCAGAGTAGCTGGGACTACAGGTATGCAACACCATGCCTGGCTAATTTTTGTATTTTTTGTAGAGTTGGGGTTTCATCATGTTGCCCAGGGTGATCTCAAACTCCTGGCGTCAAGTGATTCGCCCAACTCAGCCTCCCAAAGTGCTGGGATTACAGGTGTGAGCCACCGTGCCTGGCCAGTAACTTTTTTTAAAAGCAAAAAGTGTGTGTGTGTGTGTTTGTGCATGTACATGTGTATATGTACTTGTATGAGGGTTAGGAAAGGAAAAGGGAGGGAAGAGAACTAACATTTAAAGATCTGTTAGTCTCAGGGTCTATACTGGGCCCTCTATGACTAAGTGTTAGCTCAGTCGGTCTCACAAGCACCCTATGAAATAGATAGCATCACCTGCATTTACAGGTGGACAAATGAAGATAGAAAAGTTAAGTCACAACCTCAAGGCATAAACAAATTTTGAAACTAAATCTTTCTGGGTTGAACCTCTCACCCCTTTTCTTCCCACTAAGACAGGTTAACAAATCCACAGACTAAATATGGCCTTCCACCTGTTTTTGTAAGGTGACAAGCTTAGGATGATTTCTATATTTTTTAATGGTTGAGGGGAAAAAATCAGATAAGGAATAACATTTTGTGACACATAAAAATTATGAAAACTATATGAAATTCAAATTGTAGTGTCCATCGGTAGAGATTACAGGAACACAGCCCCTCCCATTCTTTCGTGTATGCTCTATGACTGCTTTTGTGATACAATGGCAGAGCGCAATAGTTCATGTGGATACTGTATGGCCTGAAAAGTTGTGGTCTTTTACATAAAAAGTTTGTAAAAGACTCCTGTACTAACGGAATGTTTTTGAGAGTCTGTGATTGCTTAGAAAAGTTTATTAAGAAGGAGAAAAGGGAATTTTTTTGTCCCTTAAAATACTCTCCTAAATTTCGATAAGGCCAGGCGCAGTGGCTCATGCCTGTAATCAATCCCAGCCACTTTGGGAGGCTGAGGTGAATGGGTCTCTTGAGCCCAGGACTTGGAGACCAGCCTAGCCAACATGGTGAAAATCCATCTCTACTAAAAATACAAAAACGGAGGTGAGAGGACCACCTGAGCCTAGGGAGGTTGAGGCTGCAGTGAGCTGTGACCACACCACTGCACTCCAGCCTGGGTGACAGAGGGAGACCCTATCTCAAAAAAAATAAATGAATAAAAATAATAAATAAAAAAATAAAAGAGGATAAGAGAATTATTAAATGATCTCAAATTAATATTTTATTATAATAGAAATATTAACATGTGGTCACATGATGGTGAAATAATTTTTCCATCTACTATATGCATATCCTCACCCTTTTCTTATCAGCATGTACCTGTTTAACTTGTGGGGGACTGCCAAGGAAGAACTCAGCAGAGGGGAAAGATGGAGCCACAGCCCTTTCCTGGCTCTACTGTTAAGTAAATTAAGCAAATCACTTAATCGTCTTTGATTTAAATTTTCTTATCTCCAAATTGTGGACTGGACAAGATAATCCCCAAGGTCCCTGGTAGTAATAAAATGATAGGCCTCTGTGATTTAGAACATAATTTTAAAATGTTAAGTGATCACTGAGGTTTATAGCAGTTATGGCTTTGCATTTATGGTAGATCGGTGGCCATATTTATGATTTATTTTAGTCCAGATTCTTAGTCAGTATCTCCACTCCTGATTATGGCACTGTCCCTATAGGAAAATATGAGCAACTTTATGATGATTTGCTTCTCAAGAAGGTTTCTAGGGATGCATTGAGGGAAAAACTGTATAAACTTTTATAGTTCTCTGGTTTATCACCAATTTGAGATATGGGGGTCTTTAGGAAAGGACTCGAAGGTATGCTGCTATTTTATATTTTTAGTTAAAAAGTACTTGTAATTGATAATAGGAATATTGAATCCCTTTTCCAGAGTGTTCCATCTATTGACATACCGATCCAAATACTGAAACAAACACTCATTGTATTTCTTCATGGTACATATTTCTATCAGAGATCCTTGTCTATTCTGTCTAATGGATCAGATAGGAAAGCTCAAAAGCAGCATTGTTATTCTACCTAGGACGAGCTCATTTTATTCTGCATTGCCACTGTGTTGCTCACGCAGTTCAGATGGAGTTGGAGTGACTGTAGAATAGTTTGCAAAGAGAAACTCCTTGTACAAGGAGCCAGAGCTAGGGCTCCTGACCAGATGCTACATCTACCTTCCCTGAAGAAAGAGCTGAGCAGCAGGAATGGGTGGAAGCATAGTGCAGTAGAAGGGTACTGCAGCTTCTGCCCATGGCAGGGTCAGTGGTTTCTAATTCCCTCCTAACACTTGGGCTTTCAAGTCAACCAGTCATAGAATGAAGTACTGGACCATGCACCACAAACTTACACGGAAGCAGAATAAGAAGCAGACGCCTGGTGGTGGACCGGAAAATGAATGGAATATTTTGCATTCTTCCTTTCTGTAACTTTGTTGGCTTTGATCCCCCTGAGATCTCAGGATGTTTACAGCTGCGGAAGAATTGCTGTCTCTCAATACACTAGACAATGACTGTACAGTGTCATGGTTAGAAGTTCTTAATCATCAGGTAGCCTGGAAACCCACACTGATCACCACATCAGTGGTGTTTGGGTTACAAGCCACAACCAGCCTCCGGCCCATACAACTGGGGGCTGGAAGAAGGACATCGGTGGTTGCAGAAAGCAACCAATTTGAGATATGGGAGTCTTTAGGAAAGGACTCGAAGGTATGCTGCTATGAGTTTATATTTTTAGTTAAAATGTACTTGTAATCGATAATAAAAATATTGAATCCCTTTTCCAGAGTGAACCACCACCTCCCAGGTTCAATGTTCAACCTTTCCCTTCTTCCTCCTGCATCTAAACACCTTGCCAACATCTGCCTCAAAGCAACATAAAACAACTGCATCTATCTCTAAACTTTGAAAAGCCAGACATTAGGCCTGCCCCTGTACAACCGGCTTAATGGAACCACCACATTCAAAGGCTGTGATTACAGACTGCCTTGCCTTGTTCAGGGTGTTGGCACATAAAAGACTGCAGTGCATATAAACCCATTCTCAGAAGGTGTCAAGGATTTCACAGACTTTTTTCAGAGAGTCCCAGCAGAAAGGATATCGTCCCTCAAAAAAAAAAAAAAAAAAAAAAAAAAAAAGATTCTATCATCCAATGAGCCTTTAACTCCCAAGGACTAAACATTTACCAACCGCCGAAAATAACAGCTTCAACAGTTTTGGGACTGCCATAAAGATATTATTTAGAGACAGGAACATAACCTTGGAGATTCCCTTGGTTGCAAGTCATGAGTCCAATGTAGTGTTTTGTTTTGTTTTGTTTTGTTTTGTTTTTCTGTATGTACAGTTCTGCTCTTTTAAAAACAATACAGCTTCATGATATGGCCAGTCATTCTTGCCCTCTTAGGAGTGTATATGCAGTGCTCAGAGACATCCTTGCCTAGTAGAAAGAAAGCATACAATTGCTAACATGTAAATAAATGAGAACAAAAAAACTTTCACATATGAGTTTATTCCCCCACATCATTCCTGCATACAGAGTATGTTGGGAGAGAGTTAAAACTGGGAAGATTGAAAAGCAGTGTCCAAACCCAGGAGTTGGGTTTGGCTGAACCCTATGAACATGTCAGGGGTGGGCAGATATCTGGGCCTGGCAGCATGACTGTCCATTCCCCTGTCAAGGGTAATGGGCATGGCATAGTCTTTCTACTCCAGGCACATGGATCTCAGGGATTTAGAGTTTATGAAATCCACAGCAGCATGTTATCGTGTGTTTGAATGCACAACTGCAGAACCACATGAGGTGGAAGTTGGTAAGGGAGGAGCTGAGAGTGAGAAGAGGGTGCCTAGCACAGTGGTTTTTCAGAGTTTCCTGCAGTGGGCCTCTGTCCAAGGCAATTCAACCCAAACTTGAGAGCAATTTTTCTGGATCTCTGAGGTGACCTGTATGCCACACAACCCTCCAGTTTCTATTTGAGAAGAATATTTAGCTTCATTTCCTTATGGTCTATCTCCCCTCATGGTTTCCTTTTTTTTTTTTCCTTTTCTTTCTTTTTTCTCTCTTTCTTTCTCTGTTTCTTTCATTTAACAAATGTTTGTTGCGATCCTATCCTGGAACTACTCTAAGTATCTTTAAAATAAGGGGTGATGAAATCAAGTTGATTGCCTATGTGCCTGGCATAGAATAAGTATTATTATATTTAATTCTCTAAATTATTTTATAAGATACATCTTTTTGTTTTGTTTTGTTTTTGTTTTTGTTTTTTGAGACAGAGTCTTGCTCTGTCACCCAGGCTGGAGTGCAGTGGTGTGACCTCAGCTCACTGCAACCTCCATCTCCCGGGTTCAAGCAATTCTCCTGCCTCAGCCTCCCTAGTAGCTGGGACTAAAGGTGCTTGCCACCAAGCCTGGCTAATTTTTTTGTATTTTTTAGTACAGGCAGGGTTTCACTGTGTTAGCCAGGATGGTCTCGAACTCCTGACCTCATGATCCACCCGCCTCAGCCTCCCAAAGTAAGCCTGGGATTACAGGCATGAGAAGGTAGATCTTAAAATTCCATTTTACCTGTGAGGAAACTGCAGCTAGGAATGGTTTTGTCATTTGCCCAAAAATATATGACTGAGAAGCGGCAAAAGTAAAATTTACTGTGATTCTGTGATTACAGGCTGTACTGTAATACTGTGATTACAGGCTTTGTTGTCAACACTGAGCTGAATCTTAAGGGCCAGGGAGCTTCCACACTGACTTGACAGCAAGGTGGATGGACTAAATACTTTCCTTCCACTATCGCCATCACTGAGATCTTCTGCAAATGGGATAAGAATGGGAAGGCCCAGTCCAGCATAAACCAGTACAGCCTTTTGTGAAGGCTCCTGGAAAGCAAGCTGGAGCTGAGTTTATGATTCTGGGACGTGAGTCATTTCCCTTGGGAAACACAAGTCTCCTTGCCCATTCCTGCTCCAGAACATGGTACAATTGACAATATTTTTAAAAGTCTCTAAAAACTCCTAAAACCTTGTCTTTAATAGAAGACCTATTGTAAAAGGTGCCTTGTCCAAGTGAAAGCCTTCTCTTTGGGCTTGAGAAATATGCAGGAGTTTAATTACTGACCAAGTCTCTCTTATTTGGGCAAGCTTGAATGAATTCTTCATGGCTGGGATCCTTCCTTGGGAAACTAACTTTGATGGCTATCTACCCAGCACCTTTCCAATCAACACTGTGATTATTTTACTTTTTTTTTTTTTAAAGGTGTTTTATTCTGACTTTCTGATGTAGCCTTCCGATAAGGCCAGAATCTGGATAATCCAGGCTAACTAACCGCTTTTTGGCCTTAATTGCCTGGCCCATACAAAGATAATTTACTCAATTCTCCACTTCATTTTTCATGTGTAGATGAAGTCTGACTGTAGTTGCTCAGGCACTATTAATTCAAGTTAACAAGCAACGAAGGCTGCAATAAATTTGTATTTCAGGCTCAACTTTGATTTTACTTACAAACTTCATACAAAAGTGCTGGTTGGCATGCCTGTCTCTGAAATGTGCTCTATAGGAAGGCACTACATGTAAACTTGTATCCTTATGTTCTAAAACATATCCAATTTTGGTAGAGCTTAAGAAGTTAGCAGAATGAATTTTTTTTCATTGTTATTTCAAATAAAAAGTAAGTGGAATATGTGTTTCTCTGGATGGTATCTACAAGAAACTAATTTCTCTTGGGGGAGAAATTGGACTCCCAAGAACCCTCTGTAAGAAATAGTCTCCTAAAATAATCTGGTGCCTTTGTATATTTCAGTAGAAAGAACTAGTCAAAATCTGCTGGGTGCAGTGGCTTTCGCCTGTAATCCCAGCACTTTGGGAGGCCAAGGTGGGCAGATCACCTGAGGTCAGAAGTTCGAGACCAGCCTGGCCAACATGGTAAAACCCCGTCTCTACTAAAAATATAAAAATTAGCTGGGTGTGGTGGCACGTGCCTGTAATCCCAGCTACTCGGGAGGCTGAGGCAGGAAAATTGGTTGAACCCGGGAGGTGGAAGTTTCAGTGAGTGGAGATTGCACCACTACCCTCCAGCCTGGGCAACAGAGCAAGACTCTGTCTCAAACAACAACAACAACAACAAAAGAATGAGTCAAAATCAATCACACTTTCACAGGTGAGGCAGAGCACAGACATAAATCTCCACATCTCAAGCATCCTACTTACTGTGTGTGAAAACGTTGTGAATGTTAACATGGGGCTCAGCTGGTTTAAAAAAAGTAGAGAGAAAGAAGAAACTTGCTTTCCTTGGCATCTACTAATCCGGATAGTAGATCCACTCCTTTATTTACACCATCTCACTTTCTTTTTAAATCACAATGACTCTGTGAGATGAATATCGTTATCTCCAATTCACAGATGGGCAAACTGAGTGAATTGATTTAGCAAAGTGACAAAGCTAGTAATGATGGAGAAATGATTTAAATCCAGGCCTGTTCTCTTTTATATGCATCTGATCAATATTAAAGCACCAAAGAAGTGAGGCTACTAGTCACTATCATAAAAAGCAGAACTGTATGCTACACACAATGGACAAAGAGAGAGCTACAGGTGGAGAGATAGACAAACTCCCACCTACCAAATTCTCTGTATAATTTGTGCTACTTTTCCTAGTCATGCTGGACCATGAAAGGGATGCTAGAGTAACAAAGGTATAGAAACCATCACTGGCCCTTGGCTCCACGCTATTGGAATCTTGTGCCTCCGAGATCCTATGTCCTTCCTTTCCCTTGCTAGGAGTCTCTTTGGTGTTCACTAAAGTTCTCGCATGGACACTGTAAGCTCTTTACCAGTTCACCTGGTCTTGACTGGCTTTGCTGTAGTTTTTTCTGGAAGGTGATCATTTTTCCTGTTATCATTCATGTTAACCTCTCCCTCTGATCTCAGAGCTCCTCCTGTGAATACCACAGAGGTTGGGGAATGCCCTTTTCCCAGGGGTACTGTGGTTCCCAAGCTCATGACCACTGCTTCTTGTCTTTCCTTGAAATATCCCAAACTCTCCATTATATTCCCAGGTGGGTGGCCCCCATTTTCTCCATCTCTTTTGTAACAAAATAGAGGAGGTTGTATTCACCAAAATTCCTCATAAGAATTCCTTATAGTTTTTGGAAAAAAATAAATTCACAAGCTTCTAGGTGTGGGGACAAGGTGACTAGGGGTGAAACTTAAAAGACAAGATCAACTAGTACAAGATGCTGTAAACCATCTTCTAAGGAAGATGGGTCCTGCTAACTGGAGGGCTCTTTGTTTTTCTGCATACTGGAATCTCTCAGAACACAAGGTTTGGCAGGACAGATATGAATTGCTCTGCCTAAGGGAAGAGAAGTCAGTGGGGTTGGGCACTGAATAGAAGGACAGTGTAAATAAAAATATCCCTACGGGGGCATGACTAGAGAAGGACAAAGGACAGACATTCTAGTGGGGAATGTCGGAGCTATTTGCTGTGATGTGTTTGATGTCACATCCTCTCCTTTATAGGCTGTTTTCGGAAAGATTTGGTAAAACCTGCAGTTTATGTAAGTGGATTGTTTAGGGCAAAGGTAGCAAACCTACGTTTCCAGGAGTGAGGCAAGTTATGTAAACAAGTGATGCTGCAAGTATAAGGCTGTAGGGAGTGGTAGCGACTGTGGCCAAATGAGGAGTACAGGCTTCACCTGAAGGCATGCAAAATTTACTGGTGCATATCAAATTAACATGCATTGGCAGATGACATTTGCCCTACAGACCACTGCTTGTTACCCAGCTTTAAGAAAACTCAAAGAAAGACAGAACATTGCTGCCAGGTGGATAAGAGATGGTCATGAAGGTAGTGGAGAGGCCTCAGAGGGATAGAAGAGACAGGTGAAACCACCAGGTCACATAAATAAGTTCCTAGGGAAGGAAGGAGAGACCTCAAGAAAACACTGGTTACTGAAGTGTTTGGTTTGAGACAACTGAGAGAAAATTATTTTATTTAGAAAAAGCGGGATACAGAAAATCATCTCTAGGCTGCCTAAATGATGAGTAAAATCCACCATGCTCACCTCATGCCCGCTGTGAGCGAGTTTCCAGAAGAGCAGGCAAGGATCTGAGTATAGGGTATGGGTCAATGTCACACAGCATCCACAGGGGCTCTGAAATTTGCAGAAATCCAAAGAGAGGGTTTTAGATCTTCCCAACTTGTGGGATTGGCGGAGGTCCAAGCCAATTATAGCTACATCTCCAAGGTGAAGAGGGACACAGCAGACATCTGGGTTACATTTATAATCCCAATGTTCCAGGAAGATGGAAGAACAAGTTACGCGGGTGCTGAGTGAGAGACCCCAAGAAGGGCCCCGTGTGCGATGCACTTAAAAGTATTCTCCTTCCTGGCAGCTGGCCAGTCAGCGTGGGGAGGCTCAGGCCCAACCACTCTTCACCAGAGTGTTTCCTTTCCCAAGGCACTCCTGAGAGATTCATGTGGCCAGGGATCTACCTTTGTTCCCTAGTACTTTCCTTACATGCAGGCTGGCTGGCAAAGTGTGTGCAGAACACGCAAAATCACCAGGACCCAGGAAAGCAGAGTGGGCAGGAGGAAACCTAGAGAGGTGAGCCTGGCCAAGGGGAATATCGGATCCACTTGGGAAAGGTCATTATTTTCTGGGAATGCAAACTCTCAGATTGATTATGAAAATGCAGCTGCCTCTGGCCACCTTCCTCGGTTGCCTAAAGAAACTTTGTATGAAGTGTGAATAAAGTGGAGCCGAAAGATGAAAACAGAACCCAGTAGACGTTATTGGAGCCCCTAGATCCTGTTTTGCCTAAAGCATGCCTACATGTTTCTGGACTTTTTTGTCAATAAAAACAGCCACCCAATCCCTCTGAAGTTTAACTTAAGTCAATTGGAGGTGGAATTTTGTCCCATGCAACTTGAAGTTTATTAGTACACATGGACTATCCTCCTGGAATTTTCCAATAATTAACTGGGTGCTACTGTGCAGGGAGATGGAAGAACTGCCATGGTAAGTGAGGGGAGAAAAGTATTTGTATAACATCGGCCCATGGTAGGAATCAGAGGAGCACGTGAAGTTTGTTTCCAGGTTCATCCTTTGTTCTCTCTCTTGCGTATCCTTCATTCCTCTCCCACTATCTTTTGCAGTGTTGTTAGGAGTTGAATTATGTCCCCCAGAAGAAAATGTTGAAGTTCTAACCCTAGGAACCTCAGAATATGATCTTGGAAACAGGCTTGTTGCAGATGTAATTAGTTAAGATGAGGTCATTCTGGAGTAGGGTGGGTCTCTAACAGAATATAACTCGTGCTTTTATAAGAAGAGAAGCCAGAGACAAAGGGAGAATGCCATATGAGGACAGAGGTGGAGACTGAAAGGGAGAAGCTGCAAGCCACGGGACACCCAGATTGACAGCCACCACCAGAAGCCAGTAAGAGGCAAGGGAGAAATTTCTTTTCCAGGTTTCAGAGGGAGTGTGGCCCTGCAAGACACCTTACTTTTGGACTTCAAGCCTCTAGAAACTATAGGACAATACATGTCTGTCCTTTAAGCCATCCAGTTTTTGGTACTTTGTTACCATGGCCCTAGAAAACAAATGCAAGTATCTTCAAGTATCTCCTACTTCACTGTTGCAACAACAAGAAAGAAAGTCTGTCTTAAAAGCTTAACTATTCTGAGGACTTACTATATTAAAATTTCTTAAGATATCTGCATTTGAAAAGAGAACTGATGAGAGATGGCAATAAGTCAATCTATGATAGAATTTCAGACATCAAGGAAGGGCAGTGCACAGAATCCTGTAAGTCTCTTAGTGCTGTGTATCACTACAAACAAAGGTTGTAGCATTGTCTTTCTGGGTGTCTTTGGGTTTTTACAGATGTCTCAGGAGCAACTGCAGGAAAGGGAAAGAGAGAAAGGCTTAGGGGGATTGGGCTCCGAGACCTCACTCCAATTTCAACCATAATAACTCTTCTATATTTTGGGATTCTACGTAAGATTTAATTTGGAAAGCGTTCTGGTGTTAACACAGAGAGAAAGTCACTGCATTATGACATTATTTAACCCACACTCAGGCAAAGTGGGTTTTTTACCCCTCCACTGTTTCTGCAAAATGTGCCTACTTATATGTATGGGTTTACCATTAAAGCAGAGTTGGACACATAAGAGACACAGCATTATTCTTCCTCTTTTTTGTTTAGCTATTGTGACGGGCATAGGGGGAAAGATTAGCTGCTTTTGCTTTGTTCTTGTCTTTTAAGAACTGAAAAATCAAGATCTTCATGATTCAAAATGTGCTATAAGACTGAAGTAAGAGTCGAAATATCTAGTTTATTCTATTATTTGATGATTTATTGGCTGTCTTTCTTTGTATTTATTTTTTGCCATTGGGTGAACAGAGTAGGCTATCAGGATGTACTATTTGTATTCATGTGATTGAGGCAGAAGCAGTACATGAATACTAAAAACAATTGTAACTGATGCTGGGAGTATATAAAGGAAAGAGTGGCTTGCAATTCTCTTCAATTGTAAAAGCATAATTCTTACACACTTGTAGCCCTCTATACTTTTCCATGTATTTCTCATTGGAAACCCTCAGCCATCCTGGGAGGTACGCGACCTGGCACTCCTAACACTATCCCCTAGATGGGCTCAGAGCCTATGGAGGCTCAGAGAATCCTCCCAGGCCTGAGGCCAGTTAGTGAGCGCGGAGATGGGGCTGCCACAGGGCTTCTGAGTCTCGTGCTCTCTGCGATGAGTCAGTGGTGTTTTGTTTTTTCCTGAGCCGTGAGGTCGAGGGAAATCTTAAAACAAATGGCTAACTAGGGCCTTTAGCCCCACCTTACCTCCACCACTTCCACCATAAAACCTTAAGTCTGTCTCTGCACTTGTCATGTCATTGTGACAAGGAAGGAGTCCCAAGAAACAAACAATGAATACCACCCTCAATTTCGTTAAAAGATTCTTCAGTTAAGCATTTGAATCTCAAAATGCTCTTCAAATTCTAATAGCTCATCATTCATCCACCCACACTCTTCCTTCAGTCAAGACACTTGGCGGCAACGCCACACAAGCAACCCGGAGCTCCGGGGCACTTCTGGCTGGGTGGACCCGGCTTAACCAGAAAGAGGGGATGTTGGAATGTCACAGGGGCTTTCTTTTCTTTCTTTTTCTTCCTGTGTTTCCCCCCGAGAACTCCTTTTTTAAGTTACATGTCCAGGTTGGATATATTAAAATGACGCAGATGAACAAGGACTGGATGGTCGAGGAAGGAGGCCAAATAACTTTTACTAGCATGGGCCTCTGAAAATGAAGCAGGGACAGAGACACTTTGTAGCTCAAGGAAAAGCGGCACGTTAGAGACCAGGCTCCAAGCCTGGGGTCTTTGTTTTTGTGTCTTTTATAAAGTGGCCCATAGGGACAGCAGGCTGTGTGGTGGGAGCTCCTCCTCGCTTCGCGGATTTGGCCCCGAGGGCAGACGAGTCCGGTGGAGAGAAAAACCCTGAACTTCCAAAGGCATCATCCCGCGAGAGGGAGTTTCGGGGATGGCTTTGGGAAAATGTAAAACAAGGAGATGGGGAGCCAAGGATGGGGGGCGGTGGTAATCAGAGAAGCCTTAAAAGAATAAAGGGGAGTCCAGCCCTTGAGCAAGAGTGAGAAAGAGAGGCTGGGTGGGAGAAGATGGGAGCAGACAGGACGCAGCACGAGTGCCAGGGCGCGCATTTGGGGGGTGTCCTGGCGGTGTGGAGAGAGAAGAGAGAGGGCGCGGGTGACATCACGCCCGGGCCCCCTTCCCCTCGCCGGGTGGGTGGGGCTTCGGCGCGCCGGGAGGGCGCGGGGTCAAGTAGGGGGAAGAGGAGGAGCAGGCATGAATGTGTCTGTGTGAAGACCGGGGAGGGGCGGAGGAGGAGGAGGAGGAGGAGAAGGAGGAGGAGGAGGAGGAGGCGGCGGCGGCGGCGGCGGCGGCGGCGGAGGGCGGGGAGGGAGCGCGCGCGTGGCTCGCGGCGCCCGGGCTCCCCCCCAGCCCCCGACCCCGGCCCGCGACGCGCCGCCTCCCAGCCGCCGCCGCCCGCCTCGCAGCTGGGACCCACTCCGGGCTTGGGGACCCGGCGGGCGGGAGAAGCGGGGGCTCCCGGCGCGGCCTGGAAGGAGCGAGAAAGCAAAAGTAAGGCGAGCAGCACTCCAAGTTTTCCCAACTTCGCCCCCTGCGGCGGCAGGCGTCCTGCTGCTCAGCGCGTCCCCTCCGAGCCCGAGAGTGGCTGAAAGAAAAGGGACTGGGCGGGGGCCGGGGCGGAGGAAGAGAGAGTGCGAGGGAGCGAGGAGAGTCCGGCAACATCTGTTAAAACTTGGGGGAGGAGGAGCGCGGGGAGGAGGAGGAAGAGGAGGAGAGAAGGGAAGGAGGGAGCGCGCGGGAGGGGAGCGCGGAGCCGAGGGACAACTTTTCCACCCCGTGAGTAGTGCAGGCGGTGCCAGGTCGGGGCGGGGGGCTTCTCCACCCAGCACGGGGCACCAGGCCGGGATGGGACCTTTTTCCAGAAAGTCGATTGGATGCCAGGAGAGGCGTACGGCTGGGGGTTTCTTTCTTTCTCTTTCCCCTCCCTCCCGCGGTTGAACCAAATCAGAACTGTCACTCAGGGCTTGTGAGTCAGAAGGGATCGGATTACACGATCCCCGAAACTGATGCCGGAGCTGCACGAGCGGGAGGGAGCGGGCAGGGGCAGCGCCACCGGCGCGCTCGCACACTCGCACTCGCGCACACCCGCCGCTCCCACTCACCCGCGCCGCTCTCCCGCCTTCCCCGCGCGCCCCGCGGCCGCCCGCGCCGCACCATGCCCGCGGCGGGCGCACCCCGCGCCCAGCCCGGCCGCTCGCGGTAGCCGTAGCCGCCCGCGGCCGCGCGGAGCGGGGAGCCGCCAGCCTGCGCCCCGTCCGCGGGTCTATGGGAAGTTCGGGGACTTGACAGCCGCTGCCGCCGCAGGTACGTCCCGCTCGAAGTTCTTTGTTTCGCGGACCCCGCAGCCCGCTCCTGCGGCCGCGCCCGCGCCTCCGGGGCCAGAGGTGGTCCCCAGCGTGGGGACGGGATGGAGTGAAAATGGCTGTCAAAAGGCGCCCAGATTTAGAGAGCCGCCGGTGAGGCGTCCGAGCAAGGCTTGCATTCGCTCCCTCCTCCTGGAAGGTCCTTTCCGAAGAGTCCGACCCGCGGACCGGCCGGAGACGGATTGGAGAATTTCACCTCCCGGAGGGGGGACGAAGTTTGCCGCAGTGGTGGCGGCGCCCCTCGCCTCCGCCCCCATCCAAAGGGTTCAGAAGAACTCCGCGAGCCCCGCACGCGCCTGGCTCCTTCCTTTGCGCGGTGGCGCTCTACGGCTCGGGCTTCGGGCGCGCACGGCGCTCGGGATGGGCGGAAGGAGGCGGGAGGCATGGTGGGTGCGCGCGGGGACCTCCGCCGCGGGGGCCGCCGCCGCTGGGGCTTCTCCAGCCCGGGCTATGCTTCGGAGGGCGGGGGTGTGGTGTGAGCGGATGGAGAGAGGCGCGCCTTCGTCGTCATAGAGGAAAAGTGAAAGTTGTACCATCTGTATATGATTTGGGATTCTCTTATTTCTTTTCCTTTCCAGGGGCAGCGCGCACAGACACACAAAGTAACCGTGGTCCATGCAATAATCATTTAAGGTGCCGCGTTTACACAGAGCAGCAGGGGACAGTTACTTTCTTGAGTAGCAGCGGGAAAACGGGCGGGAGAAGGCAGAGAGGGTGTAAATATTGATCCCAAACTTGCAGAGTTTGTGAAGCGACTTTTAAGCAGATTGTCCGAAGCGGACGCTCCACCCCGCACCCGGCCTTTTATCCTTTCCTGAACTTTGTGCTCCTGTCCCCCATTGCACCTCCTTCTGTAAGATGCCGTCCCCCGAGAGGCGCTGCACCCCAGGCTTCCCTGCCTGACCCCGCGTGGAAAGAGGATTAAGGAGGCTCCCTCCGCCGCTGGTCATCCTGCCCCAACTTCTCATCTCCCCAGTGCAGACTGCCGGGTAGATTCTGGCCTTGGGTACAGTGCTCATGGCCCTCTGCCAGTTTATATGTACATATATTTATGTAAAACATTTTCTCCCAGCTCTTTGCCAGCTGTTCCACATTTTCCAGCTGCCACTTCAGTTTGAAATGATGGACTGTCTGCGTCTCCAAGTCAAAGAACCCTTTAGTCAAAGGTATGGAGGGCCGGCCGCTGTGCAAATACATGGCAGTGCCATTAGCCGGGCTGGTATTATTAGTTCTAAAAAATACCTCCTGCTCCCCTTTTCCTCTCCTCCCTCTTCTCTCCAGTTAGGCTTTCCAGAGCACAGTATATACACTTTGCTGAAAATTCGAGTAATTAGGCCTTTCCCTCTTAAATGTGATTTTTGTACAGAATTTGGATGAGGCCGTTTTTTTAGATCCCTGAAATATGTGTCTGGTGGAAATAAATTAACTTTTAAAAATAAAAGAGTTTCAGCTTGAGCGCATTGGGCATGGCGGGTGGGGGGCCTGCACCCTGGCCGTCTGAAATGAGCTCTTTTCAGTCTATTTAAGGCAGGAACCATTCATCCTCCCCATGCTACACTTTTTGTGTTGTTTGATGTCTTAGCATATTATAGACCGAAATCTACAAGAATTGACCTAAAGTATTAATTTTGAGTATTTATGTAATTGCTCGGTAATTTTGAATAGGTGCCTTATTGATTGATTCCTGTAATTATTTCATTTAGGTTTTAGATTAAAAATTAATAGTAGTCTGACAGTTTCTTAATTACATGTGTCAAGATTCTTTTGAAGGAGGAAAATGCTATGTTTTAAAATAGTGAAATAGCCTCAAAATCTCTTAATTTTTCTAAAGCAGAACAGTATTTCAGTTGAGGGGATATATTAAAGCTGCCGGGACTGGTTTTAACAATGTAAACTCTGTGAAGTATCTGAAGAATTTGTTTATGTTAGGAAATATTGGTCTTAACGACCTGGTACACAAACACTTTGGCCAGTTAAACTATATTCAAACCTAAAACAAACATGAAATAACATTTAAATTAGTTGTAATAGCATGCTTATACAGAGTAGAGAGTTTATTTTATACTAAAAGCTATTTAATTAGAAACTCCCCGCCTAAGGGGAGATCCTTTCAGGGTATGCAATTCTTAAAGTCAGCCTAGGGAAGCTTTGGTTTAAGATGCATGAATGAGTCCAATGTGAGAGGTGTCTAGTGAAATTTCACACAAGCAGAAACACTTTAAAGATATAGATTGTATTATTGTTAGTAGGCTGGTAGGTCCAACTCAGATGCCTACCAATTCCCAGTGCCTTTAACATGCTTGTGTTCCTTGACTGAACCTTGATATAAACACATTTCTATTGTATATCTAATTTGCAAAGGACCATAGACAGAAATGAGAAAATTCAATACTGATGAAAAATGGCTCTGTAGAGTTATTTCATTAATTATTTAATGAAAGAATTGTTAATTTATCAATTCGATGTGCAAGCCTAAAAGTTGGACTTTCCTTTGTTTCTTGGCCAGTGAAGTTTCCTTAATTACCTGCATGCTGTAAGCATTTCAGACTTCCTCTGTGCTTAGCCATTTAGAGGTCCTTCCTCCTATGTAAGGTATCCTGCTTACTGAGACCTCTTCTCCCCCTCCATTTTTTGAGGATAGAGTTTGGGAGCTTATGAAAAGAAACAATTTAATGATCATTGTTGCATGCACTCACTTACATGGAGACAGTAATGTACTAAGAAAAACCAGTCTTGAAGGAAAAGTGAATCAATGAGTCATGAAATCCTCAAGAAAACCTTAGCAATGGAATGTTAATGCTTTTAGACTATAGTAGATTATCTTAAAAGTCAGACTTTTCTTCTTTATGCAATTGTTGTAAATCCCCAGCTAAAGAATTCTTTGAAGGAGGTTTTAGTTTTGCTGGCATTCATATTCTGAGGTCGGTCTGATTTGTTTTGGAAGATTCAGTAAATTTTCTGCCAACTTATATCATGAGAGGCAATTAAAATGCTGAAATGACTTTATAGGACACACACACACATACACACACGTTTGTTAAACAAAAGGTTCCACTCTAATAATGACTTCAGGTTGTCTTTTCATTAAAGCCTAGGAGAAGATACTGCCCTTCTCTTCACGTTGTCATTTTTCTAGATGAAAATTGATCTGTTTCTGGTTTCAAAGCAAATAAAGGGAGACAGAATAAACAACAACAGGGCAGGGGGTACTGCTGCAAACTTTTTCAAGTATTTTCAGTGTATTTTTCATCTTTACTTTTATTTGATGGGCCTGTGAAATAGAGCTGTAGACTGGCGAAGACTTTAAATGAAATTTCACACTTTGATGATTTTTTTTAAACTTTGATATATTGACAGCAAAAGGAGCTGCAAAGCTTTTATATAACTTGAGCAGTAACGCCAAGCAGCAGTCAAACGTCTCTATGCATTTGTGTTTAACTGCAGAAGAAAAACATGTCCATGGGCAGTGGAGGTTCTTATCAACCCCCTAATCCCAGATCCCAGCAAACCTTGAGGGCATGCCTCAGATCTTGCTGAAATCACTGTAGACTCTCACAGTTTGCAGATTAAATATGCTATGTGTTCCTGGCTCCAGCAACAGTTTTATGAGCTCACTAAGCTTCCTGTTTTAAGATCCTTTTCTTAAGTTTTTAGGAGCTGCTAAAGGCAATGCTGTCTGGAGTAAGTGGTACTTGTTAATTTAGAGCCACTTTAGATATTTCATTCTCTTTTTTAAAAATTGCCATAATTATTATTTTTAAATTGAAAGGCCAGTCACTCCAGGGAGAGGGAGGAGAGCTGTTTGAAAGAAATTGAATGTTAAATGTGTTTGGAAGTACATTTGATCGCAAACTTTACATGGTGTCTCAATTGTTTTATGGCACTTTTCTTTTGCCTGGCCCCTGAAAATGAGAGACTTTTTCCACTTGTAATTCTAAATGCGCTATATTTGAGTGCCAAATTTCTTCACTACTCATTACCTCTGTGAGTGTCTTTTGGTTTTTTTAAATGTGAAAGTGTTTTTTGTTCTGTGTGTATATATTTCAACCCGACAAAATGTCTCAGAAAATCTATGGCCTTCTAAAGAAGCTGAATGAAAAAGCCATTACATAGTTAATAAGGTGGCTTTGGAACATTTCAGCCCCCTCCTGAAAGGCAATATTGTGTTGAGCTCCACATCTGCATCTGTGGTATCTATAGTTGTACTCTCATATATGGCACTTCTGCATTTTGCATAGGAGTCATAATTAAAAAAGAAAATACTTACATCATTGTCCAACAACATGTCATATAATTCCCAAGAGAACGCTAGCCAGTTTTGTGCTTAAAGGTTATTCAATGAATGAAATTGTGAAAGCCCATTTGTCAAAGTACTGCATGGTTTCTGTTAGTGTTCAAGCCCCAAATTCATTGTCTGCCCGGGCCCAGCCATTAGTCATCAGTGTATTAGTGCTGCCTTCAGGCCATGCTGCCCAGCACTTCTTCACACCATTATAGCTTTGAAAGTGTACTCTGTCGACTTGTAGAATTACTGCTCTGATTTCCGCTTGACTGGGTTTGAGGTAAGTCCCCTCCCTACCTTCTAGCTGACTGTAATCCTTGCTTTCTTTTAAAGCTCCTTTCCAGAGATTTAGGGGAAAACTTTCTTAAGGGCCGTGTTGGCATCATACTGTGGTTTTGTTGTGGCATGCACTGTACATATAAATTGTACCTGCAGTAAATTGGATTGACTGCTGGCCTGAAACAGCTAGAGGGGCTTTTCTTTTCTTTTTTAAGAGGGGAGGGGGCTAGGTGGTGGGGGAGGGTGGCACAGGAGTACATTTTGACCACAAGCATTTGATTGTGTACTTCTATAATTCTTATGCCACAAAATTAAATTAATTAAGTAATGGGGGATAAGTGCACTTTTACTTAAATCTTTATTGGAGTAACTTCAGAAGGTAGTGTGACATTATATTGCTTATTTTCATGTGGAAATTTTTAACTTTTGCTACTTTAACTTTTTTTTTTTTTTGAAGATTGCATGAAATGCCTAGGAAGGCTCCAGAGTGCTTTACATTACAAACTATTGATTTGTACAAAGAGAGACTGAAAACTCACCATTTAGATGAAAGATAAGTTTCAAATTGCAGTAATGAAGGACTGAGATAGTTAAGCCCTATTATTGATTTCATTTTGTGATATTTTTAAAAAGAATGATTCAGTCTGAAGAAAGTTAGCAGTGTGTAGAGAAATTTCATCCAGCAGCTTAAGATTGAAGCCTTAATGACTCTGATGTATGGAAACCTGGAATCCAGTGGCCAGACGTGTGGAGCAGGCCATGCCACTTCAGGACAGTGTCTGCTGTTTGAACTGTGGATACTACAATGAAATTCCATATCAGAGAGTTTCATTGAGAGGGTGTGTAGTTTGGTGTAGGTTACACTGGCAGTTTTGTACATGCAAGGCAGAAAAATAAGACAGCTAAAGAATTCTGTCTGTGAACAAGCAAAGTTTATAGGGTAAGTGGACCATGGGGTAATTTTTACTGGATAATCCTTAATTATAAATGCTTAAATTCTGAAAGTATTGCTTTTAAATCTGCAATTAAGAATCAAGGATCAAAAGTTTAAAAGTTGGGAGGATAAAATATGGTAAGTAGTACTTCACAAAAAAATGTTAAATACCTTTGGGATAGCTGTAGATGATTTTAACATGCAACAGGTTATTGGTCTAATATTTGTGATGGTTTAAAAGTAAATTACTATTCATGGAACATACACTCTACTCCCTTATACTCCCTTAAGCCTTACTGTAAAGACACACATGATTCTAAGAAACCAAAGCTACACAAGTTCTATAAGAATAATTAAAGTTTTTTCTTCTGAAAATGTGTGAAAACTTTTAATTCCTATAAGCCTCAGGGAAGCGAGACAAGGGACACATCTGATCAGTCATGATATTTTTGTGATATATGTGGATTTAAGAGGAATACAGTTTTCATGAGCTTAGCTGATCTATAGACTGATAACTGACTTCCAGATCTCCTTCTCTGTCTGAGAAGGATTGCCTGTATCCAGCTAACCCCGTAGAAAGTGGGGGTGCCAGTGTGCTGCACATTATTGCTCATTTTTTAATGGCACCTGCTATGCATGCTGCTTCCTGCAGTGCCTAACCAAGGCACGTGGGACTCATAGTTTTACAGAACTGAGAAATGGTAACAAGTATTAGATGGAGACCTCATACTCCCCTCAAATGTTTCTCATCAAGTACTTCTGGCAACAGGGGAAGAGTAGCTGATGATCTTTTCTTTTAAATACAAATGGCAGAAAAGTAAAACTGGCTCACAGAAATGTTGTTTGTGATTTTAACTGCAGTAGCAATGATTACTTTCATGTCAAATAAGCTTTTCAGTGGTTGAAGTTAAATATATGGATTTCTTAAAAGTTTAGATAGTGTTAATTTACCAAAACCAAATTCACTTAATCCATAGCCAGGCAATTATTTCCCCTTAGAGTAATTTAGTTCCCCTTGGAGTAATTCCATTTGGGTATGTCTGTCATGAATACTGCTTATCTGTGATTAGGAGCATCAGAAATGTAGGAAAGAAAGATTGAAGACACTAGGCAGTGGATTTGGGGAACCCTGAGCTACCAAATGGCAAAGCGGACAGATAGAAGCTTTCCTATTTGGAGTTAAGATTCTAGGCTTTCCTGATTATGGAAAAATAATCATATATACAGGTAAAATAATTATACATGAAAAAATGGTTAAAAATTAATGAAGATTTCATTAAGAACTTATGAAGTTGGGCTTTCCACCCCCCCCCCCCCCGCCCAACCCTTGCAGAAAAAGGCAACACAGACAGGGAAGGGAGAGGAAATGAAGCCTTAGGAATCCTGGGAACTGCTAGAGTGTCACAAAGGTTATGCATATCTAATTGATTTTGCCCTCAGAAGATATTTTGAACACAAGGAAACATCAACCACATTAAAAACCTATAAGAGGTTTTCTGTGGTGCATGAATACATGAAATCCAATGAAATGTTTAAAATTCCCTGCATTTTGCTCATTGAAACTCAGACTATTTCTCACTTCCAGAATTGATCAAAAAGTTCAAATCAACATTAGTTTGTACTTCTTGATTCTGAAAAAAAAATTCTCTTTCTAAAGGATTTATTTATTTTTGAGAAATGGGTTATTAAATAGCTACAGGGAGGTACATATCTTTAATAGTAGTTTTACCTGGATGGTTAATCCGGGAGTAGCATCTTGAAGTAGCAGTTGATCTACTAGTAATATAAGTATGAGAGCAATGTCACTCTTCAGTGCTACAGGGTAGGTTGCCTCAAAAATCCTTATGACAAGCTGCTTTCTTCTGGATATTTAAAACAGCAAATCAAGATTATTCAGCTTATGAAAATACAGGCAGGTGTAAATAAATGTTATTTCTCTGGAGGAAAACCTTCTTCCACTGGAGTAATAGTTCCCTAAACTACACGGAATAATTTCTCACTTAAGGCTGAGCCATGGTGCTGTTAATAGCACTGCCTCGCCTGGAATGTCTTCTGTTTCTGATCTCTTATTGCCAGTAGCTGTTTTAACCTATCAGAAACAGATCGGGTTATCATTAAATAGGCTTTTAACTTAGTTGTTTTAAATCTTGAAATACACTAAGAAAAAAAAGAGAAGAGAGTTTTTGCCCAAGTTTAGGCAACTTAAACCAACTGGCTTAGGGAAATAAATGAAGTAGTCTGCTGTTCAGGGAGGATGCACTATCATGATTGAAGGATGCTGTTCGACTTCACCCTACATTAGAAAGTTGTTTTATTCACTTCAAACATCATTTTAAACGTTGGCTTTGGCATGGGTGCTTTATTTTTAAACATTTTAGTGTTTAAACGATAAAGGAATCCTGCTCCCATGGGGGTTAGAGGTTTCACTGCAGAGACTTGAAAGGAGAAAAGCTAATTTTTTCTCACGTTCCCACACTTGTGACTTTTCATATTTTCTATTTACTACAGAAAGCCTCTGGTTGTTGAGGTTGAACATTGGGACTCCACTCAGGGCCTCCCTGAGCTCAAGACAATGAGGCGATGTGTCTGTCTTAGCCATTCACAGCACTTGAATCTATGTATGGCAGCTAATGAAGAAAAACACATTGGGGGCCAGGTTCATAGAAGGTGAATTCGACGTTTTGTGAGCGAAGCACACACCTATTGGTTTTGTGAAGGCTTTTCAAGGGATCCCCAATGTTTTATTATAATGCGACACTCAGGGTGGTTGCATTGCAAAGTACCTGGAAGGTTGCAGCTCCCTGAATTCAGCCAGTTAAAAGAGCCCTCTGAACGCAACCAGGGCCGGCCCTTGCCAGTGTTTGCTGGAAATTTGGCTGGGCCAACTGTAGAGTTTGCAAATGCCCGTGAATATTCCGAGGAGCAGGGTGACCACTCTGATACGCCTTGATACAGACCGCTTCTCTGCACTGGAGGGAGACTGCCAGGCGCTGCTGGCGCTGGAGCTCACCTCCCCACCCCCACATGGCCCCCAGCCCTTTTTTCACTTTTCCCGCGGCCTGGCTGGCGGAGATGCATTGTCTCCCAAAGCCAGCTTCAGAAATGCGGATCAAAGCCGGGCCTGGGAGCACCCCTTCTGCCCCCAGACACCCAGAGCCGTCTCTGAGCAATCCAGCATGTTCTGTTTGCTGGCGCGCTGACTGGGGCGCGCCGGGGCCGGGAGAACTCGGCGTGGACTTCCCCGCGCTGATGTAATGATGATGGATGCGGCGACGCGGCTGCAGACAGCGCTGCGCGGGCCCGGCGCGCCCGCTAATGAACCCACCGCGCCGCCGCCGCGGCCTGGGACCTCGGGCAGGGGACGCAGGCGCGGGCAAAAGTGGTGAAAGGCGTGAAAAACATCCCTTGCCACCGTCGGAGGAAACCAGAACCTGAAGGGAACTCGACAGGAAAGCGCAGAGAAAGAGCGAGCTTTCAAACAAAATTGGCCATACCCGTACAACCTGAGCAAAACAATTACCATAATCAATGGGGACTCGCCTTTGTAATGGTGAAAGTTTCTGTTTGGGTTTCCACTGGTCCCCCGCCCCTTGCAGGTCTAAGTGACGACTCTAAAGAGGACGACTTGAGGCGTCTGTGTGCAAGTGCTGTTTAATATGTAGGTCCCGGCAAGAATTCGCCAAGGTGGTAAAGGTTGCGGTTCTCTTGCTCGCTTTCTGTTCTCTTGCTTACTTTCAAATGCAGACGTGCACTACAGCGTCACCAGGTCAGTGGCTCCAGGAAGCTTTAAATGCCTTGTGTTGTAAGAGGTTGACGCAGGTTCAGATTTATAATTTAGAAAGAAAAGACCCACCTGCAGGCAGGTTGCAAATAGGAGACGGATTAGATTTAAAATAGGGTCTGGAATTAATTGTGCCCTGGGTTTAGGCCTCGGGGAAATTACAAAAGGTTCAGGGATAGTTGAGTGGGAAAAAGCCTTGACTGTTTGCTTTCAGGAAGGAATGTTTATCCCTCCTTTTACCTATGAAACTTCAAGCTTTAGGAAGGATATACCATTAGAGCAATTTTCCTTGCGTTGCTTTTTTTTTTTTTCTTCACCGAGCTCCTGGGACTCAAACATCAGCTACAAACATTTTTCCCCTTAAGCATGAAAAGTCAAGGGGCATGCCAGCAAATCTTGCATGTAATGTTTCAGTGGTGAAAGGGATTGAAGGAGAACAGTGTGGAGTCGTAAGCAAGGAAACTATGTCGGGGGAAAAAGTATCATTTCATTCACATCTGAAAAACAGTGGCATGTTTTCCTCAGGGAAAAGTCTTTGAAGTGAAGCAGAACTTAACGTTTTCCCTTGATGCTTAAGTTCTAAATAAATTATACTTCATTATTTTTTAAACTCCAGGTTTTAAAAGTGTCGTGGAGCTACTGTCCTAGTGGTGTTTTGAGATTCCATGAGGAATTTCTACTGACCACTTCTATCCCGAATGCTTGAATGGACCAGCTCAGGAGTGACTTTCCAAGCTCCTGACTATTCCCTGAAAATTCCATCACCACAACTCAAAGCGGCCACCTTTTGCCGCTCACTGACTCTTCACCCACAGTTTGATGAGGTGTGGGCGTCTAGAATGTTAAACTTTCTTCTTTATAACTGACAGGGACAAAGTTGTAAAATAAGCTGATATAATTTATAGGAGTGTACAGGAAGCAGATGTCTGATTTGGCACATTGCCATCTTTATAGCCCAGTTCCAAGCATAAACCACACTTTTAAATAATTAGGTACTAACTAATGAGATCCAAAAATAAGTTGTCAAAATAGAAGGGGGTAGATTGTTGAGTGACCAAGGGCCTATTTTTAAAAAAATCCATTTCAGACGGGGGTAGGAATTAGTATTCTTTAAGACCATTAATTAGTGTGATTTCAGTCAGTGCCTGGAGCTTTACCTCTTCTCACTTGAGCCTCTCTCTATGGTGATGAGCATTGGGAGGGTTTTATTGCTTTGTTAAAATAAAGTCCTTTGCCTTGGGGGAAAAACCAACAACTCCACAAAAACCAGGTTTGTCAAGGAATTTTGGGAACTTGTCTCCTGATTCCTATTAATTAGCACCCTCTGCTAAGGAAGATACTTAGTTCTTACTAGGAATCCCATCTCTGAATGGGTTTTTTTCTGGTGCATTTGCATGTTTCAGTGTGCAGTTTTAACGTTGTAGACTCTACTCAAATACAGCCAATAAAACTGTTATGTGTGTGTCGAAGGGAACAATTATAGCATAGTAAATTCTTGCTTATCCCAATGGCTAAGAATGGAGTGTTTGGATCAATTAAATATTTCTGCTAAAGTTTTTAGTTTTTATAGAATTTGCCAGTTTTCAACGAAACACTGAATATGAAAAGAAAATGTATGTAGCTAAACCAGTGGTGATTGAAATTCAAGACGCTGCAGAGTCCTGTAAGTCACAGGGTCATTGATGCGATCATTTATGTACTCAGTAAACATTCTTACGTGAACTAAGTGCTGGGAAAGTAGAAGCCTTGTCCTCATGGAGCATACAGCCTGGAAAGGGGAGGTGGATGTTCAGCACAGACTTTTCCAGATGAAGGAGAGTTTATCATTGTGATGGGTGCTAGGATAGGTTTGTGTAGGGTGTTAGAATTCAGGATTCTAGAGTGCAGTTCATTCATTAGTTCATCAGGTCAGCAAAGACTTCAATGAGTATATACTGCACTGGGTATACAGCAGTGAGCAAAAATAAACGTGTAGAACAGTTGTTCAAGGCTCACGCCTGTACTCCCAGCACTTTGGGAGGCCGAGGCGGGTGGATCACCTGAGGTCAGGAGTTCGAGACCAGCCTGGCCAACATGACAAAACCTCATCTCTAGTAAAAATACAAAAAATTAGCTGGGCATGGTGGTGGGCGCCTGTAATCCCAGCTACTTGGGAGGCTGAGGCAGGAGAATCGCTTGAAGCTGGGAGGCAGAGGTTGCAGTGAGCTGAGATCACGCCATTGCACTCCAGCCTGGGCAACAGAGTGAGACTCTGTCTCAAAAGAAACAAAACCGAAAAAACAAAAACAAACAAACAAAAAAACAAGCTTTAGTGAATCTGACAATTAGTAACGCTTGCTAACATTGAGGTTCCGGGTGCCATCCTCCAAGGCAAATGCATTGCAGGAATCTGAATGCTTAGCAAGCACTGTAGAAACACTGATACAAATGGTTCTTGTACCAAGTGAGAAACAATGATGCCAATTGTATTGGATTATTCTTGTGGCATACTTTAAAGATGATATTTAAATCAATTTTCAAGGACCATTACAAAAAGTAATTATTCTGAGATTGTTAGAGCTAGAAGGGACCATCAAAGATTTCTCCTTTAAGGGTTCTCTGTCCAGATTCTTGGAAAAGCTTGGAAGGTCTGTGATCCCTTGGAAATTAAATGTATACTTTTAAGTTTAAGGGTATTTTCTGGGGAGAAGCTCTTTAACTTTTAACACCTTCTTAAGATGTTACTTCCTCCCGCCCAAAGTAAAGGTCAGATCTCACTGCCCGATTCTGTCATTTGACAGATGAGATCACTGAGGCTCAGCAACAGGTTGTTGGCGGTTGTGCACTGGCCAGCTAGCCCCAGGGGGCGCCATGCAGGTAGCCCTGCCCTTGGGACTCACGCACGGTGGCTGCACTCGGAAGGGAAATCTCAAGCCCCCTTTTCTGTTGTATAATACTTTGTCAGTGCCCTTTGAGGGGTGTCTCTGAATTTGGAGTGGATCTTACAATTGATATGTAAATTTAACTTAGTGCTTCTTTTTTCTTTTTTATTCTACAAAAGCTGTTCTTAAATAACTTGTGTGTTTTACAATGAATGACACTGGATAATCTCAGAAAAGAGATGGAAGTGAGTGGAAGAGCCGGTGCTACAGTGTGCCATGTGGCCTCTGGTTCTTAAGCATTCTAGTTACTTGAATTCCAGATCAAGGAGGAATTTATTATACAATGAAGAGCTTGCAGTTCCCTTGCAAATATGTGTTAAAGTAGACTGAAAATATTTTATCTTGTATTTTAACTTTTAGTTGGTCAAGCAGTTGCTTATTTCATTTCACTAACCACTGCTGTGATTGAGGATGTCGACATTTACTAAATGTAGAAAAATAAGCAAGATGGCCAGACCTAAGAAATGCTTTCCATGAATGTTGCAATCTAGATAACTTGAAGAAAACATGCTAGAGAGGGTACTTTTCCTCTTTTCTTGTATTCTTTGTAGGTGTAGAACATGACTGCAAAAAGGAACATGAACCAGAGTGAAAATTGATGAATGATGAGTTAGGGCGATTATCACATGAATGAAGCCAGTGAAAGACAGACCTACTGAACCTGCCTTTAGCTGAGTTTTGATATTTCCTAAGTGAGCCCAGTCTTTGCTAAGGCACCTTTCAACTTTTCCATGTGGAATCAAGAGCGTGTTGTTCTATTACCTTTGTCTTAAAAGTGTAACTTAAATGAACTGAAATATTCTCATGCTTTAAAGAGGTTAAAGAGTATAGCTTACCAGAATGAATTAGGATTAAGAGGTATATTGCAATTCAGATATCTTTATGAAAGAGGCAAAAATCACTGACTACTTGGCCTGAATTATCCTCTGATTCAGAATTTGGAGTAGGCCTTCGATGTTAGAAATTGTCGGACTCTCTTTAAAACATCTAATTAATAATTAAAAACCTTCCCTCCCTTTGGAATTTGTTCAAATGCCCCTTCCTGTAAAGTTGGCCACCTGAAGAGACATTTGCAGACGTGGCTTTAAAAAGTAATGTGACACTTGTTTCACATGATAGACACAGTTGCAAATTGAGATTTTTATACCGTTTGATACCAAACGCTCAGTAGGGATTTGGGAAAAGTACCATGTTATGGGCATTTCCCTCGGTTCTCTTTTTTGCTTGTGTAGAGTTTCACTGGTTTGTTAAATTTTGAGACTTTTTTTTTTGCCAGAAAACCTGTGGAGAAGTGTCATCCACATTTTGAATTTCCTAAAGCTCTAGGCTTTTCTCAGATGACAGGTGAAGTGGACTTTTGAAAGTTTTTTTTTTTTTTCCACCATTTTGGAAAGTTGATGGCTCTGTTGTTTTCTTTAGGGCATTTTTGGTCGAAGAGAGCTGAAGTAATGAGAAGACATCATGGAGGCCCAGTCCCACAGCTCCACGACCACTGAAAAGAAAAAAGTTGAGAATTCCATAGTGAAGTGCTCCACTCGAACAGATGTGAGCGAGAAAGCCGTTGCCTCCAGCACCACTTCTAATGGTGAGCAGCACAGGGATTACCAGCAGCCCAGCCTGGAGTCATTTCTGTGTTCTCTGCATTCCTTGTGAATTGAGCGTTTGCACCTGGACCAGTGTTTGTTCTAGGAGACGCTAAAGAAAGCAAATGGAGCAGGGGCGGGGGGACGGCGGGGGGACATGGAATGTAGTAATCTCTATTTTGGCACTCAACCTACACGTTGACTTCCAAACTTTCTAATTTGAGATGTAAATGTGATAGGTTATTTATTATCAGAAGTTCCTGTTTTGGCATTTTGGAAATCATCTTGACTAGTCTGGCAAGAGTTCAAAATGCTTTGTGTTGCATATGGATCATCTACACTACTCGGAATAATTAGTACAAAAGACACAAAAGTTGTCTTGTCAAAATTAGTGACAGGACAGCAGTCTCCTCCAACCCCAACTTTAAGTAGTCTACTTTAAAGGATTTTAAGAATTGTTAATGACTGAACCTCAAGGTAATGTTAGTATCTGAGATGCAGGTTTTGTTGTTAGCTTATAAAAATTTAATTTACTTATTTGTGTTCAGAGATAACACAGAGCCACTGTTTCTGTATTCTGTGTTTTTAAAGTTTAAGCAAAGTGTTGAGAGGCATTTCAGTTCAAGCATGGAGTGTTGAAAATAAATTCCAGAGCATCCCTGGTACAAACAGACTGAATATGTTAATGGTAACCTTCACTTCCTGTCCCTGCTGTTTCTCCATTGTGGGCCACTAATGCCTTTCCTTTTTGTAGATTTCATAGCCATTCTTGGCCTCCCTGAATTTCTCTGCTTTTCCATGGGCCTTTAGGAAGAATGAGCTGGCCCGTTTTCCTCGTTCCTGGACACTGCCTATCTGGGCACACTGATTTGTATGAGTCAACCTGCTATTCTTATATTTTCTATATTCCAAGACAGGTTTTACTTGATTGATTTACAAGTTTTTACATCCACCTAGAGAGTCAGAATCTCCTTTGGAAGGTAACTGCAGTCCAGAACATTAGACTCTAAGGGCATATACTTCCAAGCAGCCTGGCCACTTCTCTCTGGGTCCCTCCATGTCTGCTGAGAGCCTGTGCTTCTCACCTGCACTTCTTCACCCGGTTTCATGAGTGTGCTTTGCTGACTGTACTGGGTAGGGAAGGAGCTGGCTCTTAAACCTGCTGGCAAATGACTTCAGTTTTAAATTGATCCTGAGGGAGATATATTTACGTCTGAGTTAAAATAATGAATTTACATATATGTGAAAATATTTCCTCCTTTATTGATGGTATTTAAAGTCAAGACTGGAGCTTATTTTAATTGAGCCAGAATATTTGCATTTTTCATCCAATGTGGTTATAGAAGGCATTTCTCCTTAGAAATATGTTACCTTGGTTTCTTTTTTCTGGAATTGGTAAAATTTAGGCAAATTTATTATTTCAGAAATAGAATCAGTATATGCAGTGTTGGTTATTTGGTAATTTTTATGGTAATTCTGTCGGAATAAATGCTTCCTATGTACTTGGCTTCAGGAACATCAGCTTTTGGTTATCTTTATAGTTTGCGTGAGTGCACATGCCTGTGTGTGAGGGTGTGAGTGAGTGTGAGTGTGTGAGGATATGTGTGAGTGTAGGCAAATGTATGCGTGAGTGTGTAGGTGTGTGGGTGTGGGTGGTAGAGGTAACTATGAGTGTGCATGCGTGTGAGCATGCATATGTGTGAATGTGAGAACAGGCAAGAACAAGTGCATGGCAGAAGATGTTGCTGCACTGCATGGAGCCTGCAGAAGCGCCTGTCCTGTTTGTCAATCTCAGCTGCATGGCCACAGAGTCTCATTCTTATGAAGATGCTGTTGTTTGTGCCACTACCACACCTGGACACATTCTCAGGAGGTCTTCCACTGCAGCTGCATTTGTCTTGAGTTGGTCTTGGACCTCGGGTTTCCCTCATGATTCTGTTGAGGGTGATTGGGAACAGAACTAATCTGACCAGCCCCACAACAACCAGAAAGCCACGAGATAAAACTAGCCAGAGAAGGAGCAGTCATGATTTACAAATGTTTGTGCTGCAGTGTTAAATAATCACCTGTTTCCTCAACCACACTCCCCTGGCTTTCTGCCCTGATCAGCTTGTGCCCTTGAGCCCACATTTTCTCCTAAATGTGTATGAATCCTGTCCTGTTTGGGGACCGACATTGATTGGTCAAACTTGCAGGGCACATGCCTGAGTGATAGCTGTCCTAGAAATCTGGCGAACTCTGGCCAGTTTTTCAGTGTTCCTGTTTCTTCTAAGAGATTTACTGTTTTATATTTTGGGACAAAAATCAAATAAAAGAAAAATGGAAGTGGTGTTTTTAAACATGGATTGCAAGCCGACAGGCAGATTCTTGGAAAACAAATAAATCTAAAGAGAGGAACAAGTAAAAGAAAGGACAATAAACCCTTTCTTTGTGTATGTGATGCTAATAATTACCATGGTCTTTTTTACAGAGTCCTCTACAGTTTTCATCTAACTAGTTCAGAGCCTTTTTACAGTCCCAGGATTATGCTGAGGGGCGTGGATTGCTGGAAGCGCAGAGGCCCTTTCTTCTGCAACCTGGTCACCTGCTGCCTCTGCACTCAGTCTTGATCACAGGGACTGGTGTGTGGGCTTTGGACCTGGCCCTGTCTGGGTTTAGAGCTCGTGGGGTGCAGGATTTCCAAGTTGGGACACTATTCGTGTGCTGGCTGGTGGTTGACATCGCCATGGCCCTCCATCCTTCTGTCCATCCATCTGTCCCTCTGTCCCTCTTCCTATCTTTTCTCTTTTTCTCTATGAATATTTCATAAATGCTTGGACCCCTGCACTGACGCTATTCGTAGAAAGGAAAACAGAATCATATGGATGCTATAACAGGTAGTTTGATTGCTACTGTTTCCAGAAAGGTTCTTGTGCTTTCTTTAACAAAGCCCTGAACTATATCCATTTATAACTGAACAATTAAAAATGAGTTCAGTTTCGGCCAGGCCCGGTGGCTCACACCTGTAATCCCAGCACTTTGGCAGGCCGAGGCGGGCGGATCACCAGGTCAGGAGATCGAGACCATCCTGGCTAACGCGGTGAAACCCCGTCTCTACTAAAAATATAAAAAATTAGCTGGGCGTGTGGCGGGTGCCTGTAGTCCCAGCCACTCGGGAGGCTGAGGCAGGAGAATGGCGTGAATTCGGGAGGTGGAGCTTACAGTGAGCCAAGATCGTGCCACTGCACTCCAGCCTGGGCGACAGAACGAGACTCTGTCTCAAAAAAAAAAAAAAAAAAGAGTTCAGTTTCAAAAACCAAATGAATGTGATACCTGCATTTTCTCTCCTATCCACCATTTCATGATTAAAATCACACAAATGAACAAAAAGTTTTGTTACTGGCTGAGTTATTGGTGAGGTTGCTTTAATTAACTTTTCCAGCCATTCTGTGGTGCAATTTGTTCTTCATTGTGAGCTTCCCAGCCAAACCACTCACATTCCACTGCATGTCCTTGCAGATCTGTTTTCGTACTTTTCTCAGCTGAGTATCTGCTCCTGGAATAACATGCGTATAGAGTTTTGTTTAAACATACGCAGACCCACAACCAAAAGGTACAGTTCAGAAAACTTGAACAGCTTTTTAAAGAAGCATTTGCCACTTAACACTGAAATTTAAAATAATGCAAGTGAAAAACTGTGTTGTAGATCTTGTATGACAAAAAAAAAAGGCAAGTCAAATTTGATTTTTGTAACATTTAGGAACCTATATCAACATATAAAGCCTTTGGTAATCTTTATGCAGGAAGTACAGTGTACCCGTAGTTTCATGTGCCCATAGTCTGATTTTAAATTTTATTGTTATATTTGAAGTGTAAATGACGAAGGAGATGACATTTAGTTTTCTGAATTATTTAAATGCAATTGTGGTTTAAGTGATCATTTGTGGCATTTCACATATTGGCTTTCCCATAGAAAGTATGCATGCAGATCTTAGGTATAATTGTTGACTTTAAAATGTCCAAGTCCATTAATGTGTGAAGACTGTAAGTAAAATGCCTTAATAATCTCTTTTTGATGTAGATGCATTACTTCATAAGCTACATGTTGTGTTTTCTAAATAATAAGAGTTTTTTTCATCTAAATCTTCCAATGTTCTACATGTTCTCATTCTCTTATAAAATTTTTTTCAACAATTTGCAAATACTGACTTTTCAATTTGAAGTGTTTTGCCTCATTTTTGGCCCATGATTTCGTTTTAAAGGAGTAATTCGATAGTTCTTATTAATCTGCAACTCGGCTTTAAAAAAGAAACTAATGATAAACGTATGTAGGCTGTGGTCTTGGGGATCTTTTATCAGATCTGATAGTTATTGGGAACATACTTTAAAGTGATAGAAAGCAGAAATTATTATCCTAACGCTGATGCAATGTGAAACCAAAGTTGATAGATTAATGATGCAAAGGAAGTTCCCTGTTCACTTTGATTCTTTCAAAAACAAGAATTTGGTTCTTTGCTTAAAAAATTATTTTCTTCAAGGTTGGTAAGGGGAAAGTGTTATGGTCTGCAAATTCCTAAGGAGTTGCTTTTTTTTTTGCTTTAACTTTTGGTCACTTCTTGGCCTTGCAATTTGCTTTTAAATTGTCCATTGCATGGGTGTTGTTAGGTTGGTGCAAAAGTAATTGCGGTTTTTGCCTTTAAAAGTAATGACAAAAACCGCAATTACTTTTGCACCAACCACTGATTGTGATGTCTGTTGGTCTTCTAGCTGGGAGTCAGATGGCTTTGAGTTTTGTTGGAAGTTTGAAATTTATCTGCTATTCTTCACCATAAGCTCTTGTCTCCTTGACTTTTTTTTAATGGTAAGAGTATATGTGCCAGTTCTGCTCTGAAATGGGCAGGCAGTTCACGCCATAAAGAACATAGGTTGTGAGTTTTCGGTTTCTTGTTTCTATAGAGGTCCAACCCTTTTTCTTTGCCACATCCCATTTCCTGGCACATGACAGATACGTGGAAAGGATGTTCAGATAAAATGGATTTCAGATCATAGGATGTTCATTTGTAGCACACACAGGTTCTGGGATCTGAAAGCTTGGTTTGAGTTCTGGCAACACGAAGGACTAGCCATGTGAGTGTGAGCAGATTAACTTTTCAGCGTTCTAGTTTCCTCATCAGTTTCGGAAGACAATAGTAAGACCTACTTCACACTTCACAGGCTGCCGTATCATAAACATATAGGAAGGACTCTGCAAACGTTAGCCTCTGCTATTAGGACAAAGCATGTTGGTGAGTTAAACGTTATGAATCCAAAACAAAAAGATTCTGTTTTCTTGAACATACACGTCAGTTTTCAAATTAAGGGAAATATGTTTGCCAAAAGTAATGGTGAATTTGCTGGACTCAGATGTCTGAAAAACAGTTCAAGATGTTTCACAAATCCCAAATGTGACTAAGTTTGCACATCTTAAGGAGGGATGGATTAAAAAAAACAAAGTTTCTGTAAACTTCCTTGTAAATGCCTTCTTAAATCGGAAAATAGGGAAGATAATCTTGGGAAAATTTATTTCAGTTTCCTCAACCTTGAAAGCTAGTGTTGTACTGATTATATGCTATTGCATTAGAAGCAGCATATATACATCCTTTTTCTTGATTCTTTTCCTGGGTTGAACTGGTGGTTTGTGCTGTATTCGAATTAGATTTTATTTTTTATAGAGAGTTTTTATGTTTCTAAACCAACTAACTGATGACAAATATTCTGATTCTAATAAGAGCCCCGACTCTCTTGAGCTCCAAACTCACATGTCCTGAACTCTGGTTACCACTGTGTTCTTTATTTTGGCTAAGTATATCACCTTTCCTGTGGTCAGCCAGGCTTGAAACCGCACCATCACCTTTGACCCCTCCTTCTCTCCTGCTCCCATGTCCTACCGGTTTTGAGGTCCTGTTAGATTTTCCTCTGTAATTACTCGCTCGTGTGTCTCTTCAGGCCAACCTACTGTACTGTGTGGTGAAAACCCTCACACCTCATGCTTAGATGATTAAAATGACCCTCTGTCTAATCACCTTGCCTTTCATCTCCACTCTTGTCACGCATGGGACTTGCTCCTGCCAAATTAGGCTTATTACAGTTCTGCTTATGCCACAACCCTGCTCTAAAAGCTCCAGTGACTCCCAGCTACTTGTAGAATAAAGCTCAAAGTCTTTGACTTAACATTTAGATATCTTCTAAAATCTGGCCCCAGTCTGACAGTCCAATCTGATATGTTCAGAAGTAGATATGCTACTATCCCATCGCATAACCTATGCTTTAGCTAAATGCAAGGGCTCTTGGCCTCTTGTCCATAGAAATGTTTTGCTAACACCAATGCATGTTTAAATTCTCAAATGTGAATATGTCCCCAGTCTCTTTCTCTCCTCATAAGGTCTTGTGTCCTTTGGGGAACTAGCTTATAACACTAGATTTTTTTATTTTTAAAATTATTATTATTTTAAGTAATAGACTTCATGTTTTAGAGAGGTTTTAGGTTTACAGAAAAATTGAGCAGAAGACACAGAGAGTTCTCATATACCCCGTCATACATACTTTCCCCTCTTATTAACATCTTACATTAATGTGGTACATTTGTTACAACTGATGAACCAATATTGATGCACTGTTATTAACTTTCCATCATTCACATGGGGGCTCACTCTGTTGTACAGTTGTATGGGTTTTGACAAATGTATGTCACATATCCACCACTGCAGTATGCTACAGAATACTTTGAATGCTCTAAAGATCCCTCATGCTCCACCAGTTTATCCTGTCCCTTCCTTCACAGCACTCAAGTTTTACATTTTAGTTAAACTTCTTGAGAGTAGCACCTGGTTTTTCTACCTTACCCGCTCCCTGCTCACATTCAGTGTGTTTGCTGAGAGGGCCTCAGCAGATACTGAATAAACCTGCAAATTACAACACTTTGAGACAGGAGGGCAGGGGACATGTGTAACAGCATTAGTGTTGTGCAGTTAGAAGCCAGGGTTTGAGCCCTATCCCTACCACGTAATTGCTGTGTGATCATGGGCTAAGTACTTAACCTGTCTGACTCTGGCACAGAGAGTACCCAAACATGTTAGCTATTGATAGTAATAGTAATATGACTCTTATGGGTATAATTTGCCAGGATTAAATTTATTGATGCATTTCATCTCACTCCTTTCAGCATAACATCAGTTGTTAGTATTCTCTGAATGGTTCGGCTTTAGTCTGATTGAGGATTGGCTAATTGAGGATTGAGGATTGAAGGATTGGCTAATAGGAGATCCTTACATGAGGTTGGTTATCAGGTTCTAGCTTAACAGGCTAGAGTTAGGGAACAATATCTTAAATCACTGGTCCTGAAATTGGCACAAGTTGGGATTTTAGCTATTGGATTTCTCCTCAAAAAGAACAATTCCTGGGATAAATGAATATCAGATAAATCAGGAATAAATATCACTCCCATTTTTCAAATTTAAGAGCAAAAAGAAGTCACAGCATGATGTTTTGCTTGGATGGGATGTTTCTGGGTTGCCTTTGATTACATGTGATCATGGGGTGTGAACATTTCAAATTTCCAGAAACAAGCTGCTCAGAACCAGAAACAACCACCAAATAGTGGATGCTTAAGCGGCGAAATGGTGATGATGGGAGGAAAATCTCCCTCTGGAGAGGTAGTTGGTGGCCTCCCACCACCTCCTGCTCTGACCCCCAAGGTCGAGGAGGGCTTGCTTTTCCAGGCAGCTTTGGGGAGACTGGGTGATAGTAAAAGCAAAAAACTCCCTGTTACCTTGTTTACATAGAAACGTTTCCAGATATGTCTGCTTTAGTTTATTATTTGGTAAAATTCACATACAGTAAGATTCACTCTTTGTGGTGTGCCGTTCTATGAGTTTTGAAAATCCGTAAGTTCACATAGCTGCCACCACCATCGAGACACAGAACGGTTCCAGCACCTCCCCAAAATTTTGACCACCACTTGTGCTTTAAACTCAGCTCAGTAACGCATATGGTGTGAGTCCCCAGTAATGATAGAAAGCATAGGAACTTCAGTAGCTGCTTGATGCTGTGTTCATTTCACATTAAAAACAAACAAACAAACAAAAAACCTGTTTCTTCTGGGTCCTGTTAGCAAAACTTAGTGTTAGTTTCTTTCTTCTATTTAAATATCTTATGTCGAATTTGTAGTAGAACGAAAATCTTTTTGAAAACTGTTCAGAAATCTACAACCTAAAGCATCTGCTATTTTGAATCTTTTTTTTTTTTTTTTTTTAGCATCCAGTGAATGTACATTTTAGGCCAATTTAAAATTCCGTTTTATGTTTAAAACTACAAGACAGCCATATTAAAGGGCTTTTAGTTATTGTTTTTGTTACTTTAAATTAATTACATGAGAAAATTAGAATCTGAACACTTAATGCAGCTATAACCTAAAGGGAAAATAGCAAATGCTTTGCTATTTTTTTTTTGTCTTTTTTTTCTTTTTTTGAAGCATCTTTCCCCTTTCTTCTTTACTTATATAGATTGGACTTTGTCTCAGGTAGACAGAATTTTTGTATTAAAGTTATTCCTAGTGCAATTTAGGCTGTTATTTTTTTTTTTCTTGCTTGCTCTTTTTTCCCTTTCTTCGACTCTTTCCTCTTCCTGGTCTCTTTCTTCCTGTCTCTTTTTTTTTTCTTTAGTTGTAGAAAGTTGAGTTCCATCCCAATTATTAAATCTTAGGAGACCATTCCCACATGGTTCCGTAAATGGTAGCTTCATCCCGCATTCTTTCATCTCTTTCCCTGCTCTCTGGCTTGACAGTTGAAAAGGTCTGACTGTGCCACACAATGGTTTGATTGGTTTCTCTGGGGGAGACTTTTCCCTGCCTCATCATTCGCCAGGCAGGTGGACCAGAAAGTCTCTTGATTCTTTTGTTCCCTCTCAAAGTCCGAGGTCTTTGACTGAATAAATCTGCCGTCATGGGATAATTTGCTAAAACGAGACTGAAAGATGTGAGAGAAAAGCCTCACTACTTGGGTGCTGCATTAATGAAATAACGGGGCCTTGGAGTTTGCAATTGAAAAATCACCAGGAATGCAATGGGTGGAGACGGGCTTCTTTTATTTCCCATAATAAACTTTTAGTTCTATCATTTAAAGCATGCCTGTCCCTTTGCTCGCCTGCAGGCCCGAGTGTGTTTGCATTTGTACCCATGTTTAAGGGTTTCTGGGGACAGCCCTGCCCGGCTGAAAGCCGTTTGGGTGCTGTGTCTAGTTAGTCATTAGATTATTACTAGTGGGTGGAAAGAATTCCATATGACACAACTAAGGTTGAGTTAACACAGGACGAAAAGTAATTTACAGATAGGCTGTCCCCAGCCATCTTTGTAGCCCCTGATAAGGTTTCATTTCAGAATGGATAGGCGACATTTCCACTTACGGGCCCATTCTGCGACACCTGTGATAACAGCTTCTGGATCCTAATTGAAATTGGTTTCAAAATGGATTTTCACTTTTCTCTGTCTGTGGAAAATATTGAATGGACTCAGAGCTGCCACAGAGAACCCCAGACCTTGGAAAATGGAGCAGAAAGCTAGGATCATCTTTCATAACAGTGTCGATGATATGACAGTTTTGTTATCTGTCTTATTAATGAAATCATTGATCACCTGATGAGGGAGATAATAAACTACATTTCACCACCAGTCACGAAACTCAATTAGACTGCTATTACAAATAGGGAGGGGGAGAAAACAACCATGGAATAAATGTAGAAAAGGTCAATTAAAACTTTTCATTCCCGAAGTGACCATTTCAGAGGAGAACATGCTGAGTGACTGCAGTGCAAGTATTTTGAAATTGTAGTGGTCAGCATTATATTCAAGGACTTTCTTCTTGGCCAATGTAGAGTAGCTGGCAGTTTTATTAAGTAAAATTTTATTTCTCAAATATTACTTGTTTCATTATGTAAAATTCAGAAGTAGAAGGGGAAGTTCTGCTTTGTTTAAGCGCATCATAATGGGGAAAATGGGAGAAAAAAATCCACAGATTCTTTCCCTCCCCACATGGTGACGGGATTTGGGGCCAGCCCCAGGTAGGTATGTTGGGTAAGGAAGAACAAACTGAAAGGCTCGTAACCTAGGTTCTTTGAAAGAAAAGTAGCTTATCATCCCTTCCTCTCTTAAAGTGCTTTAGGAATCCTAGGAAGATGAGACGGGAATTAGGTTTGGATTTAATGAGGTGGCTCTATTGTTTGGTGTTGGGCTGCTCTGGAATGCGCTCTCTGTTCCCCTTGAAGGAAGGGAAGAGATGCTGATGACCTCTCATGTTTCACAGTGAATTGTATTCCTAGGTGTTTCTCCATTCTCTGTGCCAGCAAGGATCAATCCATCCCATCTGAGCTTGAAAGAGGAGCTGTGATCAAAGGCGCTAATGATGTCACTGATCTCTGCTGATTGATTAGGAGCAGAAGTTCTGGAGAACTCGGCCTTTCCTTATAATTTCAAATTCATTAGCGTCTATTAGGATTGCTAGCTCTCAATCCGCAAAATTAGAAAAATGAATGATACAGACAATAATTGTGTTTTTCTTCATCTATGACTGTTTTTTAAGCTTATTGGAACCATGGTTACATTTTATAAGCAACCTTTCCCTTTTAAATATATTGCAAAGAAATGGAGTCTTCTTTATAAATTGGGTTAAATATTTTGGAATTTGACATATAAATTGGGAAAAATATGTGGGTGTGAAGATATTTACATTGTTTCCAAAGCAGTTTAATCACATACAGATTACATGTTAGATAATCCTAAAATATATTTAAGTGTTTTATTAACTTGGACATTCAGGAGTTTCTTATGCAGATTTTAAAATCCTTTGAGTTATTTTTGTGGAACTACCTAATATTTTCCCCTTGTCATTCAAGAGGATGAGTCATTTCTGTGTGCATATTTATCTTTAAAAATAAAAACAAATGCATTTCATGCCAAGAGATGACAGTCTTACAATTGGGAAAGACGCAACTGGAAAGGAAAAAATAAAAAGCAAGAGGGAGAGAGAAAGAGCGAGATGTCTCTTTCTGGAACTGCTCACGACTGTAACCATTGGCTTACATCCACCTAGAGTAGGGATCAATTGCAAAAGCATTGGGAAAAATTCTGTTTTGGAAGGCACTGCAGCTCAAGAAAGAAAAGTTGAATGGAAAATGGAGAATGTAAATTATTATTAAGGTTACCATTACCTTATTGGTTTGCTGTTGGTTTTCTAGGACTCTTGCTTCATGCTTGCTTATGGCTAATTCCTTTCACAGCAAATTCATTTTGAGGACTGCTCTGAGCAGAACTGATAAATGTGTTTGTGGTCAAGGGTGGGTATAATAAAGAGAAGAGATGGTGCAAATGAACCTTTGGGAGGACATGGCGTGGCAGTTATGAATACTAGGCTTAGTTAATGTCGAAGACTCCCCTTTCACAGAATATTTTTTGTTTTAGTGGCAATGATAAGAAAAATAATCTGAGACCCTTACCTATAACCAAAAGAGAACTTCCAGAAAGATTTAGAACAATGGCATGGTTGAAATAATGGAACTTACATCAATGTAAACATTTTCTGGTAAAATATGAAGCTAATATACAATTGAAGATTTGTTCCAAGCATTTAAAAACCAGAAAACATACGTTGGTCCATTTCACATTAAGCTTAAATTCAATCTTTCCTAAAATACTAATGTTTCTAGGCTTGTTTTCAAATCCTGGCAAGTTTGAGAGCAGTAGAAAAGTTCCTTTCTTATAAACGTTGACAGCAGTTCCTGTGTAGGCTAACAATGTTTTATAAATAGAGTTTACTTAGCAAAAACCATGTGTAT
Source organism: Homo sapiens (assembly GCF_000001405.40). Taxonomy (NCBI): domain Eukaryota; kingdom Metazoa; phylum Chordata; class Mammalia; order Primates; family Hominidae; genus Homo; species Homo sapiens. The sequence goes on along the minus strand of NC_000007.14, from coordinate 42,211,290 downwards.
GCCCAGTGAAATAATCTCACATTTATTTACCTTTTGATTTATAGAAAACATGTGCCCTCTGACAAAGCCTTTCGGCTCTTTTCCGCAATTAAAAAGAATCATGCTTGAAAAAAATAGCTACCGTCTTAATGGGAAACTTTTTCACATAAATTCAAAGCACTTTCTTTGATCAGTTTCGTACAAAATTAGAATATTTTTATCCATCTGTTTGGCCCAAAAAACTGGATGACTCAGGGAAAAATAAAAGATACTTATAAATCTCTCAGTTGTCTGTCTACATGTGTATTCACACACACACATATCAGCATACATACTGGCTGAATATTGGGGAATCCAAGGATTAAACAGGCTGGTGCAGTGTTACAGCAGAAAAATTTCTCTTGTTGCTTGTTCTTGCCAGTGACTAGTGTTGGCTTAGCACAAGGTAGTTTGTTGGTTTTTCTAGATTGAAGAGGAAACATGGTCCTACACGTACCTATTGCTAGGCCTTCATCTGGATACATGCAAAGTATCTCTGCCTTGATTCTCTTCAACAACAACAGATTGTAAGGAGAGAGAGAGATAAGATAATTTGCAAATCTCTTGTCACTCCCCTTTTCTTGAAAAAAAAAGATATGATTTTTAAAAAGCATGTTTTATTTTCGTTTACTACTTTTTCAAAAAGTTCAGAGTTGCGAGTTAGGGGTAGAAGAGAAAAACCCTTTCTTAATAAAGAAGTGATAATATTAGCTGGGACCAGGCTACAAAATACTGCTGAGTCACTATTCCAGACTAGATCCCTGGTATTCACACTGCTCTGGGGGCAGGGAGGTTGGTGGTGGGGAGAAAGTGAGTCTCTATCAAATATAGAAACTTTATAATACTGGGGTATACTAATAATACAAGTACAAGTCTTACAGGTAAACGCCAGCATAACTTTGTACCTTATTTTAACTTGGGGGGGGGGGGGGGGCTTTCATTTTTGAATAGAAGTGAGGGATTATATGTGCTTAAAAACAAGAGTACAATTTTTATAGAAATTCTCTCTTGTGGTGATAATGTCAGTTTTCAAGCTCTAGGAAAGCCTAGCTCCTACCTCCGTAAACAAATACCATTGACCACAGTGACAACGACTTGAAGCCCAATATGAAATCTAAGGGAAATGAACCATGTTCGACAGCGGGGCGTCTTCACCAGCAATCCCAAAACCCTTGACCTTGATGGAGAGGCATCTGAGAATGGGTGAACCCCTTTGGAATTATTTTACATGGCACTTTATGGACATGGGCCTATGCCCTTTTTTTTTTTTTTTTTTTTTTTTTTTTCAGATTCTTAAAGAGATGTATGACCCAGCATTTGCCAGAGGCTCTCCTTTACAGGGAGTATTTGGAGCTCTAACTTTCACTTGGAAAATTTAGGTCAAATGATTAGAATTCTCTTTGGAGGAATGATGATCTGTAAGAGCAAGACTGTCTCAAAAAAAAAAAAAAAGAGAGAGAACCTCTCAGTGATTAGGAAACGTGGAGCTGAGTCTTTCTCATATACAACATGATGTGATCACATAGTTGTAGCCTAGCTAATTTTGTAGTTGGTTGCACATTAAGAATTCAAAAGATTCTGCCTGCACATCACTTTATCTGTGAAAACGAAGGACTTGGGTCACATGATTTAAAGAGCTCTCTCTCCCTTGATATTCTTGATATTCAAGTCTCCATGACAGGGGCTCCAATTTCCACAGGAATTTTGCAGAATGTTAAATGAAAGGAAAGATGTCCCATAAATAAGGGGAGCTGGAGAAGAATGAGTTAATATAATTTAAGTTTAGAACAGGAAATTCAGAATTCCTTTTAAATTAAGCTGTGTACATCACATGTATGGGTCCATCTTGGGTTAAAAGCCACTGAAGATTTTGTTTAGGCCAAAATGTACTATCACATTGTTGAGTCAAATACTATTCCAGAGACCAGGCATGGTGGCCCATACTTGTAATCCCAGCACTTTGGGAGGCCAAGGAAGGAGGATTGCTTGAGGCCAGGAGTTTGAGGCCAGCCTGGGCAATATAGCAAGACCCTGTCTCTACAAAAAAATTATTAAAAAATTAGCTGGGCATGGTGGCTGTAGTACCAGCTACTTGGGAGGCTGAGGTGGGAAGATCACTTGAACCAGGAGATCAAGGCTGCAGTGAGCTATGATCATGCCATTGCACTCCAGTGTGGGCAGCAGAGTGAGACCCTGTCTCTAAAATAAAAATTAAAAAAAAAATTGCAAGTATTTTGAAGGGTACTCTACAGATAAAAGTTTCAGGTACAAATTCAGGGAGATTTTGCCCAATTCTGGCTGAATTGCTGATAATTACAATTAGCTGCCACAACAGCAGTTGATCCTTTGAAATCTGAAATGTGTGTTTTCTTGATTTAGACTTGGTATTATTCATTACCCACCAGGCTTCCTATACTCATCTTCCTGGAAGAAGATGTGTGTGGCAGCCAGAAGGAACATTTTGGACTCTTGTGTGACTAACTCCTCCCAGATCATGGCCCTCTTTCAAACCTCTTGAACATCCTCATAGAGTGCTTTGCATAGTTTTCTGTTTGGCATCTGGTTTTATGTAGTTATAGTTCATCATGGCTTCACTTAGAGCTTTTGCAAATTTCTTTGATGCTAATTTAGTTGCATTAAACTTTTTGGAGTGGAAAAAAGAAACAAAACCAAGAGTACAATAAACTTTGATTACCAGACCCCTAAACACTGAACCTCTCAAGTAACCCATATTTGTAATTTATTCTTTCAGATTGGCATTTACAGGCGGGAGCTGGGGAACGTTGTTATTGAAAAGTTAGGCAGCAGCGTTCAGATGCAGCTGAAGCAAGGGCACTAAACTTTCACAGGGACACTTGGAGAAGGTGCTGCATCATCTAACGAAGATTAGATGGTTTATTATATAGAAATTATTAAAATAATTCATTTTAGAAAGAGTTCCAGTAAAAATGGAGCCTAAAGGAGCCCCAGGAATGCAGGACGCCTCTGACTTCACTGAAGGCCACATAGCCTGCTCACTCCAGCCTGAGACCTTAGACCCATCCATGCTATTCCCTGCTCTCCTCTGTCTTAAATGTGTTTTTATTTTTATTTTTATTTATCTACTTATTTTTTGAGATGGAGTCTCCCTCTGTCGCCTAGGCTGGAGTGCAGTGGTGCGATCTCGGCTCACTGCAACCTCTGCCTCCCAGGTTCAAGTGATTCTCCTGCCTCAGCCTCCTGAGTATCTGAGACTAGAGGCACGTGCCACCACGCCTCGCTAATTTTTGTATTTTTTAGTAGAGACGGGGTTTTGCCACGTTGGCCAGGCTGGTGTCAAACTCCTGACTTTGGGTGTTCTACCCACCTTGGCCTCTCAAAGTGCTGTGATTATAGGCGTGAGCCACCGTGCTCGGCTGTGCTTTTATTTTTATGAAAGGAATACTTGCTCATTGGGAAATTCAGAAAAGCATAAAAGAAAAACACGAAGCTGGCCTGGAATCTCACCACTTGGAAAATAAAAGTTAACACTTTGGTATATTTTCAGTCTTTCTCTCTGTTCAGGTAACCATATGCTAGGATCATTTTCTGTGTCATGAACCACTCTTCTCCAACTTGGCTTTAATAGCTATGAATTTACTCAATCAATCCCCTATCATTGGACATGCACATTTTTTTTCAATTGTGAATAATGATGTGATGAAATTCCTTCCAAAAAAACTGTGTGCTTTGACTACATCTTACCCAATTAGCTCCAAGAAACACAGCAACTTATATTTCCATCAGCTGTTTATGTGAGTGCTCATTTTCAGAAACACGTATCAACATTAGTGAAATATTTTAAAAGAAGATAGGATAGGTGAAAACCTTACCTCGCTTTTTAAACTTTTTAATTGAAATACAATACACAGATTAAAAAGTCACATAGCATAAGTGAGCAGCTTGATGAATTTTCTCAAAATGAACACACCATGTAAACAGAGCCCAGGTCAAGAAAGAAACGCTCTGTTGATCCACGCTACTGCTGATGGGCATTTGGGTGGCATCCAGGGTTTGGCTGTCAGGAACATTGGCTGCCAGGTAGCTGTCTTTTGGTGGATCTGAATACACATTTCTATTGGGCATAAACCTAGGAGTGGAATTATTGTCTCCTAGGGTATGCATATATTAGCTTTAGTAGACACTGCCTAATACTCTTCCCAAGGGGTTGTATAGACTTGCTTCTCATTCGTGTCAACACTTGGTATTTTCTGTATTTTTCACTGTAGCCCTTCTTTGGGCTATGCAGTGGTATCCAGTTGTGGTTTCATTTGTCTCTGATGACTGAGGGACTCAAGTATCTTTTTAAGATATTTATCGGCCGTTTGGATATCTTCTTTTCTGAAGTGTCTGTTGAAGTCTCTTTTTTAAAAAATTTTTTAGTTCTTTGTGGGTAGATAATTGTTTACCAGTTTTTCTATCACTGATTTGAAGTGATACCTGCATTGGTTACTGCCTTAATATATATTTTAGGTTCTTTTTCTGTAAAATTTTATTGTATGATCAACCTGTCTATTCTTTTGTTGTACCATACTCTTTCAGATGTTATACACAGAGTACATTTTATCTGATAATGCACATTATCTCTTATTATTCTTCCTTTTCAAATGGCTCTTGGCTTCTATTCGATTTTTTCTTCTAGCTGAACTTGAGGAACACCTTTGTAGAACTATGTTACTTATTGAATTCATATGTATGAAGTGAAAGTATAAAAACATGCATGGATATAATCATTTCTTTAATAGTGGTTAACTCTGGGGAGAGTGGAAAGGGAACAAGATGGAGAGGGTTCAGCTCTATCTGTATTATCTTATTTCGTTAAAGAGAAGAGGTTTTAAGCAAATGTAACAAAATATTAACATGTATTAAACCTGTGTGGCGGATACCTAGATGTTGCTTATGTTATTCTCTGAAATACGTCATGATTAAAAGTATCCCTTTAGAATTTATTATTATTATTATTGTTATTATTATTATTATTATTTTTTAGATGGGGTCTCGTTCTGTTGCCCAGGCTGGGGTGCAGTAGTGCTATCTTGGCTCACTGCAACCTCCACCTCCCAGATTCAAGCAATTCTCCTGTCTCAGCTTACTGAGTAGTTGAGACTACAGGCATGCACCACCACGCCTGGCTAATTTTTGTATTTTTAGTAGAGATGGGGTTTCACCATATTGGTCAGGCTGGTCTCGAACTTCTGACCTCAGATGATCCACCAGCCTCAGCCTCCCAAAGTGCTGGGATTACAGGCATGAGCCACTGCACCTAACCCCTTCAGAATTTAGTCTGGTGTTATATTAAGCTAACTTATTGGGCTTTATTGTAATTATATTGGCTGTGGGAAGCAATCTTAGTCGTTTTTCTGTGGCATTCTCACAAGGTTACTCTCTTCCCAGGCGTATATCAAAGCCACACAAATGCACACTTGCTTTGGTGTTTACATTTTGCATTTATCTTTAGAAGTGTTTTAAAAAAATCTGTCACTTATAAGAAAATACGTAGGAAATAACAGTTGGCAAGACCTAACAGGTGTTTGCTGTGTTTTCACCTTTTATACTTTAACATGTTCTGGAAGCAATTTAGTTTTACTTTTGTCTCATCTGTCTTGAACTGAAAGTTGCAGGTACGTTGATGAGTACTCTGGTTAATGTAAACACCTCTTATATTGGCTCAGGAAAAGTACGATTCTCCAGCTTCTCTACAGTGGGCTGCATGCTTATTAAGTCACACCAGCTGCCCTCTCTGTTCTTTGAGAGTGGCATCTGTTGTTTGGTGACTTTTTCTTCTGAAATCTGTCAGTGCCAAGGACAAGGATTAGGAGTGGGTTGAGGCTGTTTGTTATTTGTTTGTTGTTGCTGGGAGTTACTTAATAGTGGTGGAAAAGGCCAAAGGAATATTGGAGCTCTTACCCTTGACCTTAAGTTACCCTAACTTTAGGGTAACCTTAGTCAACTAATGACTTACAGGTGCCAGACTTAAGATAATGCTGGTTGTCAAATCAAAGAGAGAAGGTATGTGTAGGATGTGGTCTCAGTTCCGTACATGGTATGTTGCTAGGATGCGTATGTATGAGGTGGATTCTTATAAAAAGTATCACAAACACCTTTAAGAACACCACATAGCAGGCTATACATCCCTTCAAAGATAAGAAGTGTCACCGTCTGAGGTGTAATTCCAGCAGTTTCTTAAGCCTCAACTTCGTACACTTGAAAGCACACCCACAACCTGCTGCTGAAAGCTTTTGGAAGTCATTGAGAGACATGGCTCTTGTTTATTCTCCAAATTTTAAATCATGCAGCGTTTGGTTGGCCTTTTGTCTGAGGAGATACAAATTTATCATAGCCATGTCAATAAGTACAGAAAATTTGCCAGCCCACAGAGAAATTTGAACTTCCTTCCTTTCCCGAAGGAGAGTCTCGGGGAAGTCGTGCATACAATAGAACTTTTCATGTCTAGACCTGGTCCAGGAGAATTCTGTCTCATAAGAACTTTTCTTTTTTCCTTAGCATACTCAAATGGAATCAAGCTCAGAAAGAGGTTGGGGACAGAATTTAGGGAAATAAAATATAGAAAACCCTGGACCATCTATTTTCTGAACTCCTTTGCAGTTATAAGTGTAAGGATTATTTTTACTGATGTGCTTCCATAGTCAACAAACACTTATTGAGGCTGTGCTAAGTGCCAGGCACTTTATTTGATTGTGAGGATAACAAAATGTGGGGCCTGCTGTTAAGATATTTATAATTGGATAAGTAAACTAGCAAAATTCAGTACACTTATTAAGTGCAATGTAAACAACATCTATAGAGTATGAAGGAAAGTCTCACAGAAGAGGTGAGGAGTTAAATCCTTCACATGTCAATAGTGATGGCAGGGGGAAGACAGGAGTGGGAACTGGGGGCTGGAGAAAGGCATTGTAAGTTGAGAGAGCAGTAGAAGCAAATACTTAAAGCATGAGCATTCTCGGTGGTTTGGGGAAATGGTACCAATCAGGGTAGGTTGCTTGTTGGATAGGCATGGTTTGGGGAGAGGAGGATGGAGGCAGAGAATGTGAATGGAGAGGTATATGAGTCCTATTGGTGGAGGCCCATGAAGGCGATGCTAGACACTTTGGGCTCCATCCTTCATGTGAGTGGGAAGAGCAGAGTGGTGGGATACCATCTGCTTTAAAAACTACCCTTCGGCCCTAGTGGGAAAAATGGTTTGGAGTGGGGAGAATGAATGTGATCAGGAGGCCTGGGAAGAGAGTAATATATATATATTTTGAGATGGAGTCTCACCCCAGGCTGGAGTGCGGTGGCACGATCTCGGCTCATTGCAACCTCCACTTCTTGGGTTCAAGCGATTCTCCTGCCTCAGCATCCCAAGTAGCTGGGATTACAGGCTTGTACCACTACATCCAGCTAACTTTTGTATCTTTAGTAGAGACAGGGTTTCACCATGTTGGCCAGGCTGGTCTCAAACTCCTGGTCTCAAATGATCTGCCTGTCTCGGCCTCCCAAACTGCTGGGATTACAGGCATGAGCCACCATGTCAAGCCTCAAATCAATATTTTAAAGAGATATCTGCAGTGCCATGTTCATTGCAGCCTTATTCACAATGGGCAAGATACAGAATCAACCCATGTCCATGGGCAAATGGAGAAAGAAAATGTGTTATATACATAGTGGCATACTATGCAGCCATTAAAAAGAAGGCAATCCTGTCATTTTTGACAACATGGATGCAACTGGAGGACATTATGTCAAGTGAAATAAGCCAGGCACAGAAAGAAAAATGTCATGTGTTCTCATCATATGTGGGAGGTAAAATTGAAGTAGAGAGTAGAATGGTAGTAGGTAACCAGAGGATGGGGCACTTGGGGGACAGGACTGGGGAGATGTTGGTCAAAGGATACAAAATTACAGTTAGGTAGGAGGAATAAGTTCAACAGAGCTATTGTACGGCATGGTAACTATAGTTAATGACCCTACATTGTATTCTTGAAAAATGCTGAGAGTGGATGTTAAATGTTTTCACCACAAGGATGATAATTATGTGAGGTAATGCACATTCTAATTAAGCAGAGTTAATTGTTCCACAATGTGTGTGTATGTATACTTCAAACATCATGTTTAAATAAATACACACAATTTTTTCTGTCAATTTAAAATAAATAAGTAAACAAACAAATAAATAAAACAATTTGTAGGAGGGAGGAAATCAGAGCCCCCTCGCACTTGTTCTTCAAGACTGGGGTGGGAATGTTCATGCCTCCCATGGTCAGCTCCTCCTTTCCCTAGTTTTTAGCATGAGATTGTGAAGGCTGATATGAATAGAAGAATTGGGTTTAGGAATGGTGAATATTTTGAACTGTCTTTGTGAGGAATGGGAAAAGATGCTGAGTGCATAAGAGTGGGACTTACAGTCATGTTGGGGGCCCCCTGAGGTTGGTGTGGTGGTTTTATGATGACGTCAGTGGGACCCCCGTCCATTCACTGCAGCTTCTAACAGAGCGGAGAAAACAGGAGGCTGTCCTAAGTTAAGGATGGCAGCCTGGGGGCCTGGAGGACACTGGCAAAAGACGATGCATTCACCTGGCTGCTCTCAGCCCATCAGCCTGGTGATGTGCATGCTTGTGAGGGCACTTAGCCATTTATTTGTGCAAGATGGCATTTACGAACATAGCTTTTGTGGACATGAAACCCATAACCTTGCCTTCGTTCTTAGTGATGCTACCTGATCATTGACATAAAATGAATACAATCGATACTGACTACTGCTCTGATATTAATCACTAGTTTTAGTGGAATTGCTGTCTTACATGTTTTTAGAACCAGGAAGCATGTTTAGTGAGTCTGTGTAGTATACTGATTTGCCCTGTGTGTGTGTGAGTGTGTGTGTGTGTGTGTGTGTGTGTGTGTGTGTGTGAGAGAGAGAGAGAGAGAGAGAGAGAGACAGATTCTATGAATTTCAGGTGAGGTCAGATTTTTGGAGAGAACACAGACCAAAGAGGGGCCAATGCCTCTATCTTTGGAATCCCATTATAATTTTCATTTACCATCAGTTTTAAGTATTAAATGTTTTTAAAAAAATGCATTCATGAGCCACATGAAGATGATGGATCAACAATGGACTGCATATATGACAGTTGTCCCATAAGATTATAATACCGTATTTTTTTTTTTTTTTTTTTTGAGACGGAGTCTTGCTCTGTCTCCAGGCTGGAGTGCAGTGGCGTGATCTTGGCTCACTGCGACCTCTGCCTCCTGGGTTCAAGCGATTCTCCTGCCTCAGCCTCCTGAGTAGCTGGGACTACAGGCGCACGCCACCATGCCCAGCTAATTTTTGTATTTTTAGTAGAGACAGGGTTTCACTATGTTGGCCAAGATGGTCTTGATCTCCTGACCTTGTGATCTGCCCGCCTCGGCTTCCCAAAGTGCTAGGATTACAGGTGTGAGCCATGGCGCCCGGCCAATACGGTACTTTTACTGTACTTTTCCTATGTTTAACTATGTTTAGATACACAAATACCATTGTGTTACAGTTGCCTACAGTACTCAGTATAGTAACATGCTATGCAGGTTTGTATCCTGGGAGCAACAGGCTATGCCATACAGCCTAGGTATGTAGTAGGCTCTACTATCTGGGTCCATGTAAATGCACTCCATAATGTTCTCACAACAAAATTGCCTAACGACACATTTCCCAGAATGTGTTCCCATCCTTGCATGACAGTACAGCCCCAAAGTGACTTCTGGTTTCTTTGCGCTAGTGTGTCTGTCTATGTGTATGTGAGGGCTATTCTATATCATGATTTGTGGCCACCTACTAGCTTTGGGTCTTGGAATAAAGTACTTAACCTGTCCCTTAGCTGTGGCAGTAACAGTTTCTACCCGATGGACTGATTCTGTCAATTGCCCAGCAGTTTTGGACATTTATTACAGGAGTCCCTCCTTACCCAAGGTTTCTATTTCTGAGGTTTTAGTTACCCATGGTCAATCATGGTCCAAAAATAAGTAAGTGCAGTACAAGAAAATATTTTCAGAAAGAGACAGAGAGAGAGAGAGATATATCACATTCATATAACTTATTACAGTATATTGTTGTAATTATTCTATTTTATTATTAGTTATTGTTGTTAATCTCTTACTGTGCCTAATCGATAGACTAAACGGTATCGTAAGTATATATTTATAAGAAAAAACTTAGTGTATACAGGATTCAGGACTATCTGTGGTTTCAGGCATCCACTGAAATGTATCTGTGGAGGATAAGGGGGGACTACTGTACTGAATTTTAATATTACTTAAAACTAAATTGCACATAATTTTATTGTTTAAGTCCTAGAGTGTGTCCACTAGGCAGCATTCTGTTCTCCTAGAAATGGTTTTCATGCATTTCAGTCTGTCCTGTGTTTTTGCACAGGCTCAGGTTTAACCAATCCACATATAAATGCCTATTTTTTTTTTCTGAAAAGTTTTGACTAAAGGAGAGTCTTCTGTCTCATGATTTGCCCACAGTGCCCAAGAAGTCGTGAGGGAGCTAGGATAAGACTTGAAGCCTGACCTTCCTTCTCATAACAGGAATTGCCAGACCAGCCTGTCCAAAATGAGAAGCATTTGTTCAGACACAAGAAAACTGTTTTTGCTGGCTTTATTTTTAAAATGATATAATTTATCACTCTTTCTTGTGTGGGGCAAAAATCTGCCTCCCCATCACTTCAACACTGCCTGACCCCTCCTTGCCTGGTGTCCTTCAAAGGCACTTTAAAATAGTGGATACGGGAGGTAGTGGAGCGTTCTCTGGCTTTCTGCATCTACATGAGTTAGTGCTAATTCTTCTTCCGCAAGTACTTACAAATATTTGAAGGATAAGGCCTCAAAGTCTCTTTCCTTCATTCCTTTTACCTTTTTCCTGTCTGAGTTGGCTTTGAATGTTCACTGTCTGTTCACCTGGGCCTGGACATATGGTCCCTTTGGAAAGGATAAAGTGGGCTGCTTGGCATGGTGGATACACCATAGAGCAAACTATTCCTGTTAATGGGATAGATTGAATTAGGAAACCAGGTTTCACAGCTGTTTGACTCTCCGTGACCTCCATGACGGAAGGCGATATCCTAGGTATTCTTTCCTACCTGCTGCCAAGTCTTATTTCTGCCATTCTTTGCTGAAAATGACTTGAGTAGTAATTGTTTGGCCTTAGGTATAGGTCCTTTTTTGAGACAGAGTTTTGCTGTTGTTGTCCAGGCTGGAATGCAGTGGCATGATCTCAGTTCACTGCAACCTCCGCCTCCCGGATTCAAGCAATTCTTCTGCCTCAGCCTCCCTAGTAGCTGGGACTGCAGGTGCCCACCACCATGCCTGGCTAATTTTTGTATTTTTAGTAGAGACGGGGTTTCACCATGTAGGCCAGGCTGGTCTCGAACTCCTGACCTTATGTGATCCGCCTGCCTCGACCTCGCAAAGTGCTGGGATTACAGGTGTGAGCCACCACACCTGGCCAGGTATAGGTCTTTATATTTATCTTTATTAAATATCTTCTCCTTGGCCTCAGCCCATCATCACAGGATAAATCCGATAGGACATGGCTCCTGCCCTCAAAGAGCTCACCATGTTGTCCAGCTATTAGGCTAAGGTGAAAGGAGAGGACACACGTGTGCTCACACACATACACGCACATATATACAGTCTTTTGTTCACCTTCTACTTTTGCATGACAACCATTGCATATAAAAACTCACTGTAAAAACGAAAGCAGTTGAGGTAGAGCTGTCTGCCCCAGCTGGGACTGTAACCTGCTTGGTGAGACAGGGGAACTGGAAGGGGAGTCCTGCTTGTGTGCCCGTACTCTGGTTTTCTGCCTGTGTGTATTGAGGTAAATCAGAGTTCTAACGGGCTTTTAATGTGCTTTCTGTAAACTTATTAGAAATAGATATCTTGCCTGATGCCTGTTATTTACCTTGCATACTAATGTCTGTGGATCAACAATGGAAAATTTTCATCTGCTCCAAAGCAGGCTAGAGGCCTGAAAATCATTTTCAGAAATTTTAGAAATGTTAGTAACCCAGCTTTGCGGTGAGTAGCTAAAACCACATCTAACATTTGGATCCAGCTTTGTGCGTTTTCAAAGCCCTGCTGCTTCTTGCATGTCTAACTGGCATTTTTATAACTCTGTTCCTAGTATTCTCAGTGTATTCTTCTTTTGTTTCTCGTTGTTAACTGACTGCTTTATAGATGCCATTTGTTATCTATCATCATAATAAATTTTGGGGAAAAAATGCCTTGTCATTTTAGTTGGCAGTGAAATTGTCCCAAGTCTTTTCTTTTTAGTTAAAAAAAAAAAAAAGAAACTTTTTCTTAGAGTTTGAGTATTTTAAGTTATGTGTTTTTGACACCATTAATTATGTCTCATCTGGTTGTTTTTAAAGTGCCACCATCTAACATTTTTTTTCTGCAAGAGAGTTAATCTGTGTGTGCCGCCTGTGTGTTTGTGTGTGTGTGTGTATGTGTGTGTGTGCATATGCATCTCAAGGAGGTATCAAAGTTGCGCCCTAGAGGGAAGTACTGATTTTTAAAAATTTTAGATACTACATTAATCCCTTAAGGGAAGTTCTACAGTCTTGATACCTTTAGGAAGGTCACAGCCATTTGCCTAGAAGGCCCTGATTCCAGGTCTTGCCAAACCACCTTCAGATGAGGTAGAGGGTGTTTGGAAAATAAACAGAACTTGTCCTGGCCTGTGAGTACAGTCATGCAGTCCTCCCACATCCCCGGAGCTCAGCATCCCCAGGATTGGCTCTGCAACGGAGATCTCAGGACGGCTCCTCAGGCAAGCAGTGGAGTTGGGAAAGCTCACCTCATGGTGAGTGTTTTCTCGCTTGTGCTCCTGGATCCTTCTCACTCTCCAGCCTCAGACACTTGACTGCCTCTCTGAAGCTCCGAACCTGCCCTGGCCCAGGGCTTCCCGTCACATTTCCCTTCATTTTTCCTTTAAGGAACCAATCACTCAATGCAGTTATTCCATTTTTTGCACATTTGCGTGTTTACTTTCTGTCTCTGTGCAGAATGTAAGAACCATGAGCCTGTCCTGTGTCCTTCACATAGTGTCTCAGTGCTTGGAACAGGGGCCGCCACAGTGCAGGGGCTCAATAAATATTTGTGGAATGAATGAGTAGGTATAAAAATGACCTTAAGCCACACCTGGAAGAATTTAGGATAATTTTTACTCCCTTCAGGGAATAAAATGCTCCAGTCTAGCTTTGGGTTAAGATGCGTTTGCAGAGTAGATGCTTGGGCCATTTATTTGGGGCGGCCACACCTATATGTACCCGAATCATGATTCTCTGCTCCCTGCCTCCAGTCTGATTCACCATCTTTGACTGGTTCCCTTTAAACACATCAACGTGGGCTTCCTGAAGGTTATGTAGAGCGAGAGCCTTGCGTTAACGTGGACTGAATTTTCAGGGATTTGCACAGCTGCTGTGACGCCCAGACCATTGTTTCAGTCTCAATGCATGAGCAGGCGCTGACTCTCCTGTCTGGGGTAGCTAAGCCCGACACTGCTTTTAGGCCTGTGAGTAGCGAACTGTACCTCCCGCTGACCGGAACATAGCAAAGTGGTGAATTTCAGGTGACAAAGGCCCCCATCCTTCTCTGTACTGAGTAAGGGCTCCGTGCTCCAGTAGCACGACATTTCATTTGGTTTTCAAGTTACGTAATGAAGAGGAATTCAGAGTGTGCTTGAACATATGGCCCCAAGGCCATCCAGTGGTCAACTCCCCCTGCTCTCTAAGAGCAAGTTGTTTTAACTGTGATTGTGTTAGTCAGAGGATTAAAATAAGAAGAGGATGCCCAAGTTAATATCCTTGCATTTCTCTAGAAAGGGACCATAGTGTCAGAACTCTGTAACTTCTGCCGGGGCATCTTGGTATCCACAAGGTGAGGCCTATTGGTTGGTATTGGTGTATTAAATAAAGCCTAAAAATGGAGTGATTTTTATGTCATTACTCTTAGCTGCATAGATCTTGGATAGCTGTTGATAGGTTGTGAAGACTTGATTTTTCTAGGGACCCTGGGAAAAGCCGATTAAACTTGATGACGTTAAGAGGGACACATATAGTAGAGAAAAGCAGTCAGTAACGGGGGTCCTGCAGACAGCCAGACTCGGATGTGAGTTCAGGTCCTGCCCTAAGTATCAGGGGCCAGGAAGGCCTAAGTCAGGGCTACATTGTAGGCCTCAGTTTCCTTATTTGTAAAATCCAGAGGATAAAACTTCTTGAAGGGTTGCCATCAGGAGTAATAGAAATGAAGCACATGATGTATACACGACATTGTCGATTCCCTGTCCATGTCCTTTCTGTTGAGAAATACTACTTGATGGCTTCTTTACCATTTTGTTCCATAAGTAAACATGCTGCCAACCAATATTCAGATACATTTCCTTTTCTTCTTTTATCCTTTCTGCTTTCCTTCCCTTCTTTTTCTTTCCCTCTTGATTAGAAAGGTCCAGCATTTTTTAACATCTCAAGTGAGACATGAAACGGCTTTGAAGATGATCTCTTGTCAAGTGTACCAACAGAGATTTTAGAGGAAATTTGGAATCTTCATGTCAGAAGCAGTGTTGTCTTCACCAGGTTCATAAGGTGGAACTAAGATAAACTTATAGTGTGAACTTTAAGTAACAAAGGTGGTGACCTCTTTAAAAATCTATATAAATTTAATCTTTAATGCTTTAAAAGGGGATGCTGAAGGATGCTTTTGTGTAATATATTTTTTGGTGTTCTATTTACACGTAGATTTTTAAAAGATCTTTTTTGGGAGGTACATCTTCTGCAATGCAACGTTAATCAGGACGCCTTTGTAGGTAGAGAAAATATTTAGTCTCCTGTAAAGCTGGCCCCTCCCATCCACATTTTCTGCAGCTCTTATTTAACACTGGTGAGAATTAATAGTTGAAATTCAAAGAGCTGACTGACATTCTCTAGCCTAGATAATCCAACTATGTTTCCTTACCACTTTCTGCTAAAAGAGATTTACGATGTACCTGCATTGAGAGGTAGGTCCCTTTAAAAGATATTTCCCATTTTGTAGGACCATGAAAATGTCTTTAATCATGAGTAAATGAAGAGAGCCAGCATTGTCTTCTGAAGAATCTTGGGGATCCACCTTATTTATTTATGTACTGTTGGATATTAGTGAGGATAGGGGAGGCTGTTTTTGCTTTTCTCCCCATTAATTTTTGTGTTTAACGTTGTTTACCTTATTGGACACACTCCACCTGCACAACTTGGCAACAAAGTCATGTATGAAAAATGATCAAAAAAGGAATTACATTTAATTGTAGCATTCTAGTTAGAGCCAAGATACATAGAAACTGACACACTGTGTCTGCTCATTTGGCCCTTCTATCCTGCCAGAGGAAGATAGCAAACCAGATTTATTGAATACTTACTCATCTGTCCATCCACCCATTAATTCATGCATTCAGTAGGTATTTTTCATGTATGTCCTATGTGCCAATACTGTGCTAAGTACTGAGGGAGTGAATTAAACAAATAATTTCTGCCCTTAGGGAATAGATGGTCTGGTGGTGAAGCTTGATTATTAAATAAGCTATACTAATAAATTGTGATGATTGCCGCAATAGAGCAACACTGCAGGGATATGAGAGGACCTAGTGGGGGCACTGGCACCATTGGGAACAGAGCTGGGCATCTGGGGACATTTCCTGGAAGAAGAGGTATGCAAGCTGAAACTTATGAAAGAATCAGAAAAAGCACTGTAAAAACAGATGTGAGGAGGCAGGTACAAAGGGAGGTTATGTTCCAGACAAACGGGGTTGTTGGGCAGACTTTCCAGAGGTAAAAGGGAACCTTGTATATCAAGCAATTGAAATCACCTTACTGGGACTGGGGAATGGAAGTGGGAGGTGGTATGTTTTGACGAAGCTGGCTAAATAGAGTCTAGCTTATGAATGCCTAAGAAGCCCTGTTTCATTTTATCCTTAAGGCAGACATGACAGTGTTCAAGGATGGGAGATAGGTTTGTATTGGTGTTATATGACTCAAGCTACAGTGTATGTAATAGGTTAGTGGGGCAACACAGAAGACAGGAGACCATTAGGAGGCTACTTCATTAACTCAAGTGCAGACTGGTGATGGCTTAGACTTCATTGGTGGCAGTGGGGGTGAGATAAGTTGACGCATTAGAGGCCAGGCACAGTGGCTCATGCCTGTAATCCCAGCGCTTTGGGAGGCCGAGGTGGGCAGATCACTTGAGGTCAGGAGTTTGAGAACACCCTGACCAACATGGTGAAACCCTGTCTCTACTAAAAATAAAAAAATTAGCCAGACCTGGTGGTGGGTGCCTGTAATCCCAGTTACTCGGGAGGCTGAGGCAGGAGAATCGCTTGAACCTGGGAGACAGAGGTTGCAGTGAGCCGAGATCATGCCACTGCACTCCAGCCTGGGTGACAGGTGACAGAGTGAAACTCCGACTCCAAAAAAAAAAAAAAAAAGAGACAGAGAGAGAAGTTGATGCATTAGAGACATGTTAGTTTAAAATTGACAGGGCTTAGTAGGACTCTGGGGATGGAGGAAGGAGAGTCAAAGATGCTACCTGGTTCTCTAGCTAGGGCTTCATGGGTAGATGGAATGCCGTTCGCTAAGACAGACGGGAGTAGAGCAGATTTAGAGACAATGATGACCCCAAATTTGTCAGGTTAAGCTGGAGGGCATCCAAGTGGCTGGATATAAAGCTCAGAAACTTAGAAAAGAGACTTGAGTTGGAACTGTTGATGTTAATTGGGAAAGGATGAAGTCCAAGAAGCAGAGCCAGAAAAGTTGGATGTAGGCCTGAACCCCTTGGGACAACAATGCCGAAAGCAGATAGAGCAAAAAGTGCTGCCTCCTGGGAGCTTGGCTAACTGAGAATATGGTGACTCTTCCTAGACTATACACATTAAAGTTTGGCCCTGTCCTTTCTTAATGTAAATATTGATGAGTCTGTTTCATTAATTAATTATCCTCTAAGCTTATTGTCCTCATTTTGATGTGGTCTGTGTACCTATGATGAGGTTGATCAATACTGGGACAAATAGAGTTGGTGTGAGCTGAAAGGTTTTTCTGCAAGCAGTTTGCTGTATGAAATGGATATGGGCTGGGAATAGGGGCAAGGAACTGTCCTTCAGGCATTTTTACAATACAAAAATCGATACTATCATCATGGGCAAAAAAGTAAAAGCGAAAGTCCACAGGAAATGTACATACTGACTTACATTATTTGCTATTTTTGTCCTTCTGGAGAGGGAGGGAGTACGTTTTCAGGGGACGGAGGAGGGGAGCTTTAGCGGTATCTGTTTTATTTTCTTTAAAGTTATCTGAGGCAAATATGGGAACATGCTAACATTCCTTAAATCTGAGTTGTAGGTAACGTGGATAACTAGCATGTCCTTTTTAGTACTTTTCTGTATGTTGGAATATTTCGTAATCAAGAGTTATTTTTTAAAGAAATAAAAATAAGATGGGATGGGGTCTGTGCTGACTGCCTGTTTGATTTATATCCAGGAAACCATGAGAAAACCACAGGTAATATTGAGTTAAAAAGGAGCTGCATTCAGAAACCAGGCCTTGGGTGGATGTGGGTGTTCAGATAGTTCTTCATCAAAGTCATAAAACACAAAAACCTCTGCTCCTTGCTGGGCATGGGAGAAAACGTCCCACCTGAGAACAAATTAATTTTATGTGGAGACTTTTAATTTTCTCTCACCTTTTGCTACCAATAGAATTCCTGAGTAATTTGAGTCAGGATTTTTTTTTTTCTTGGAACTCTAGATCAAAGGTGTGTCCTTCCGAGCTCAGGCAGAGTGTGTTCCTGGAGGCCAGGCTTTCACAGGCAGGAGGAAAGGGAGAGCAGCTCTCTGGGTGGAGGAGATAGAAGCTTCCTCGAGGGATTTTTTTAAACCCCTTTTGAATGGGCTCATTGTTTATAAGAACAGCTCCTTAATGGAAAAACAAAAAGGCAAGAGGGTCTGTAATGTGCTCTCGGCTTTCCTTTGCTCAGCTTCATTGTTTATTTGATTTATCAAGTCTCAAGTAGTTGTGCCTCTCTGTGACCTTCCTTGAGCTGTTTCTCTAGAGTATCCATTTACTTTATTTAGAAACATAATATTTAAAAACTCTGGAGCTGAGTCAAAAAATCGTCACCTTTTTGATGTGGTCGTTTCCCCCCTTTTTTGAAACCCTAAACTTGCTGGGGCCATCAAAGCCCTGGATTGCAGTCTCTTAATCATCAAGTCTTTCTGGGTGCTGGGCCCCTGGGGCCTGTGGTCTGTGCAAGGCTGGAGACAGGCTGGCCTCAGGTCCTGCTGGTTCTCGTTGCCTGTTTGCACGTAATTAGAGGACAAGATGCTAGATAATTTGGTGCTAAGTGGTAGAGAAGGGACTGCCAAAGGCACGAATTCAAGGTGGTGCTCTAAGGGGGTGGCCCTGAAGTGGACCCCAAGGTATGCTTAAGCAGAGATTAGGAGGCCTTCCCCTCCTGTTTTAACACAGCTGCAGAATGATTCCTGAACCTTGATTTTCCAGATTAAACATTTTCAACAGAAGAAAGAATGTTGTAAAATTAGAGTTTGTTTTTCACATTTATCATCCTCTTTCCAGCGCCCCCATCTCTCTTTGGTTCTTTTTTGTTTTGTTAGACTTTTTATGATAAGGACTTGTTAAAGAAAGTTTGAAGGCCAAAGAGTAGATGTCAAATATAATTTCATCACTTTAATACATGAGCTGTTTTAAATTTTAGCATCTTTTCTTTTGTCTTTATCTATACCTTGTCTCAGGTTTTGTTGGTTCTTACGTATTTTATTTTTCTTAAAACTAAGGAGCCACCAAAGGTGTAGGCAGAACTCTGTTAGGAAGCTGATGGTCAGGAAGAGATGCTGCATGGACCCAAGTGTGGAGATTCCAGTGACTAGCATCTTAGAGGACATTTTTGTATCTATGATTGCAATTTCTTGGCTGGCTACTCACATTTTTACTAGATGAACTTTAGAGTCACCTCATTAAACTCCGCCTCACTCCAAGCAAAACACAGCATCAACAAAAATAAATGCTATCTCTATAGATTGCGATTGGAATTGTGTTAAATCTATTATTTTTCAAGGGGATTGACATTTTTATAAGGTACAATTTTCCTATTGTGAAATATGACATGTCTCTGTTCAAATAGGATTTTTTTTTTCTGTGATTGTAGAAGTTTAAATTTTTTCATGTTTTTGCATGGGTCGCATGTCTTTCTTGGCTATTGTTTGGTTTATTCTTGGCAGTTTAGCTTGTATGACCTTTTGGCTTAATTGGGAGCAGTATGGTAAAATGGATTCTCATGAGGACTCTGCATTCACACTGCCAGAACCTACTACTGGTTCTGTTGTGGCTACCAGTGAGACTTCGGGCAGGATATTTAATTCTTCCAAGTCTTGGTTTTCTCACCTTTAAAAGGTGGACAGTAATGGTATCTACTTCATAGGGTTATTGTGAAAAGTAAGTGAGTTAATATGTTAAGGGCTTAACACTGTTTCTGGCAGTTAGTATGTGTTCAAAAAATATTATATATATATATATATATTTTTTGAAACGGAGTTTCGCTCTTGTTGCCCAGGCTGGAGTGCAGTGGTGTGATCTCGGCACCGCAACGTCTGCCTCCCGAGTTCAAGCGATTCTCCTGCCTCAGCGTCCCGAGTAGCTGGGATTACAGGCATGCACCAACATGCCCAGCTAATTTTGTATTTTTAGTAGAGATGGGGCTTCTCCATGTTGGTCAGGCTGGCCTTGAACTCCCAACCTCAGGTTATCTGCCCGCCTCCCAAAGGATGAATCAATGAATTCAATGGATCAATGGATTCATTGAATGAATCCTTGCCTGGGATTATAGGCGAGAGCCACCACGGCCGGCTATTATTATCTATTTTTATTGACTGGTAATTGCTGGTGAACAGAAAAGCTATGGATTTCTGCATGTTTATTTTCAACTTTATGGCTATACTAAATGTTTTATTTGTCTTATCGTTTTTCTGTTACATCTTCTGTGCTTTCCAGATTAGTCTATAATACTATCTGCCAATAATAATATTTTTATTTTCCTTTCAGTTGCTGTATAGTGTATTTCTGTTTTATGTAACATTGAACTGGCTTCAACTTCCTGGATAATAGTGATTAATAATGACCATAACTATCTTGGCTGTTACTTTAATATTATTTTTTTTATCAGGTTAAGGAAATGTCTTTCTAGTTTGGGTTTCATTCTTTTTTTTAAAAAAAGTATTAAATTTTATCAATTACTTTTTATCATCTCTTGCTTTTATGATATATAATTTTTCTCCTTTGACCTATTGATGATCTTTGTATGTTTTTTCATAATATTTCTAATCATGTTTTCTGGTATAAGGTCTATTTGATTCTAGACTTTGGTATAACTTGATATGCTAGTATTGTATTTAGTATCTTAGTATTTTTGCTGTGTGTCCATACATAGTTTTGACTTTTAGTTTTTCTTTTTTGTCCTCACAATACTAGATTTGGTATTGAGATTGCATTTGTTTTCAAAATGTATTGCAATTTTTTCCATATGTCTTAATCTAGAAAAGTTTTCACAACATGAAACCATCTGCCCCTTGAGTGTTTGAATAAACTCACACACAACGCTACCAGGGTCTGAGTCTGGAGCCTTTATTGGAAATAATTTTGAAGAGCTATTTCAGTTTCTTCCATTGTTATTGAGTCTTTCATATGTTCTTAAGTCAATTCTGGTCACTTATATTTAATCAGGATTTTAAAATTTAATTGCATAGAATTTTGAAATACACTTTTTTAAAAAGCAAACAACTCTTTCCTGTCTATGTTTACACCCCATTTTCAGTTTGTGCTTGTATTGTCTGTCTTTCTAATCTTGGGTGGATTTGCCCGTGGTGTTTTAGTTTGTTGTGTTCCCCATCCTCTAAACAGCCTGCTTCGGGATATATTTATAAATTCTAATGGTTTTCATTTTTTCCAGATCATAACTTATTTTTGCCATTGTTGTTATTTTCACTTCTTACCTTTTTCAACTTGTAAAAATGATTCCATATACTGTTTTTTTTTTTTTGACAGTAAGATGATATTCATGCCGCTGACTTTGTTACTGCATAAAATGACTGTTGGTAATATTATTTGCAAATGTTAATACCTTTAAACATTTTCCCTATGTAATTGCAAAATATAGTTCTCTGTGTGTGTGTGTGTGTGTGTGTGTGTGTGTGTGTGTGTGTGTGTGTTGAGCCCATGCACACATATATGTGTTGCTTGGGCATGAATGTTCATTATAGGATATATCCGAATCTATCTTGGTATAATATTAGATGATGATAGATTTTGAAAATACTTCAAGAGTAATTGATTCAGACTTGCTTCTTATAATCCAAGAAAGGAAATGATTCATCCTGTTGTTAATAATCAGCAGAGAGGAAGAGAGACTCCTGCTATCCTTGCTAATTTACTCCAGCACTCTGTCAAGTTTTGGTAAGAACATTCTCACTTCTGTGTCATCAGGTCTTACTTGCTGTGTTTTGAGCCTGTTTCCTCCCCTTTATTCTTCAAAGCCATCAGAGTACAAAGTGGGTGTTCTTAGTAATCTTTTACATGCTTGAAGATACATGTTAGAGTATCTGAACCTTCCATATTTTATTTCTTCCACTGATAGTTTTATTTTGATTTTGGCTGATTACAGCTTTTCCTGATTAGCTTTTAAAAATGGAGAACAAAAGACTCCTTGCTTTTATAAGGGTATGATTAGTACTCAATACAGGAAGGAGTTCTGAAATGCTAACTATTGATGAAGTCATTCACCTTAGTGGTTTAATATCTGTTTCTATCTTGTTTTTAAATAGGGTGACTTTCTACAACCATCTCCCTGTTGTGTGAATGTGTTTAGGATTTTTGTACGTTGCATGTTCTCTCTTGATTGATGATTGTTCTAAGTTTGTTCTTTTCTAAACATCCCATTGATTGGCTGGATTATAGTTTATTTTATTAGTCCTTTATTGTTGCTTATTTAAGGCATTCTTTTTAAAAAATAGACTATTTTTTAGAGTGGTACTGGGTCCATAGCAAAATTGTGTGGAAGATACAGACATTTCTTATATGCCTTCCTGCCCCCACACAGCCACAACCTCCCCCACTGTCAACATCCTCCACCAGAGAGGTACATTGGTTACAACTGGTGAACCAACATGGACATCGCATTATCACCCAAAGTCCATAGATTACTTTAGGGGACACTCTTGGTGTTGTCCATTCATTCTGTGGGTTTGGACAAATGGATAGTGATGTGTATCTGCCATTATAGTATTATACAGAGTAGTTTTATTGCCTTCAAAATCCCCTGTGCTCTACCAGTTCTTCCCTTTCTTCACTCATCCATTCCTACCACCCC
This sequence comes from Homo sapiens, assembly GCF_000001405.40. Taxonomy (NCBI): domain Eukaryota; kingdom Metazoa; phylum Chordata; class Mammalia; order Primates; family Hominidae; genus Homo; species Homo sapiens. The sequence continues at coordinate 42,188,814 of NC_000007.14, read as the reverse complement.
TAGCAAACAGTGATCTCCACAGTTTTGCGTTTTCCAGAGTGCCATATATTTGGAATCATATAGTACATAGACTTTTTATACTGCCTTCTTTCACTTAGTGATATAAGTTTCCTCCATGTCTTTTCATGACTTGATAGCTCATTTCATTTCAGCACTGAGTAATATTCCAGTGTCTGGATGTATTTATTTATTACCGACTGAAGGACATCTTGGTTGTTTCCAAGTTTTGGCAATTATGAATAAAGCTGCTATAATCTCTGTGGTGTGTTCATGTTTTACTTTTCTTTTTACTGATATAAAAGCAGGTGGTGGTTATCCTTGTAGCTGATTTTTTGTTCCTATCTCTGATTATTTTTATAAATTCCTTAAAGTAGAATTGCTGGATCAAGAAATAGTTACATGTTAAGGGTTTAATACATATTCAGAAGAGCTAACTCAACTTACCCTTTACCAGCGGTGTGTGTATTTATATTATTAGTCGTCTTCAATACAATAGATGCCAGGATAGAGACCTTTCCACCTAGTTAGTTTACCTAGGCTGCTATAACAAATTACCACAAACTGGGTGGTTTTACTCTCTCCAGTTCTGGAAGCCAGAATTCTGCAACCAAGGTGTTTGCAGGCCCATACTCCCTCTGACGGCTCTAGAAAAGCATTCTTCCTTGCCTCTTCCATCTCCTGGGAGCCACTGGCCATCCTTGCTATTGCTTGGCTTGTAGATGCATCACTCCAGTCTTTGCCTTTATCTTTACATGATGTTCTCCCCTCTATGTGTATTTTAGTGTCTGCTGGCCTATTTTTTTTTTTTTTTTGAGATGGAGTCTCACTCTGTCGCCCAGGCTGGAGTGCAGTGGCGCGATCTCGGCTCATTGCAACCTCTGCCTCCCGGGTTCGAGCGATTCTCCTGCCTCAGCTTCCTGAGTAGATGGGATTACAGGTGCCTGTCACCACGCCCAGCTAATTTTTGTGTTTTTAGTAGAGACGGGGTTTCACCATGTTAGTCAGGATGGTCTGGATCTCCTGACCTTGTGATCCACCGGTCTCGGCCTCCCAAAGTGCTGGGATTACAGGTGTGAGCCACTGTGCCCGGCTCTGCTGGCCTTCTCGTAAGGACACCACTAATTGGATTTAGGGTTCACCTTAATCCAGTATAACCTCATCTTACAAATTACATCTGCAAAGATGCTGTTTCCATATAAGGTCGCATTCTGAGGTCCTTGGTGGATATGAATTTTGGGGAGGACACTATTCAATCTAGCATGATTGCCTGATTTTTATTTTCTTTTGTTACTCAGCTTTAAAAAATAATGAAAATCTTATTAGAAAATTAATAATACCAAGCAGCAGCCACAGGAATGATGATAAATGAACTTTCACCCTTTCCTCTTATGTTGCCATCATCTTCAGTGATAAACTTGATAAACTTATTCTTGATTTCTTCTTCCTTGTTAATACAAATATTAAACAATAATATCCTAGATATCAAACTTCACTGTAACATTTTCAAAAGAAAATGTATTTGGGGTTTACTTAGATATGGGGTGAATAGCGTTTTAAAATAATTTTATTGCTAATACTCTTCTTCATGTTTTTTTTTTTTTTTTGAGACAGGGTCTCACTCTGTCACTCAGACTTGAGTGTAGTGGCATGATCGGGGCTTACTGTAGCCTCAACCTCCCAGGCTCAAGTGATCCTTCCACCTCAACCTCCCAAGTAGCTGGGACCACAGGCCTGTGCCAACGCACCCAGCTAATTAACTTTTTTTTTTTTTGAGACAGGTTCTCACTATATAGCTCAGTTTGGTTTCAATCTCCTGAGCTCAAGCAATCCTCCTGCCTCAGTCTTCCAATGTGCTGGGATTATAGGCATAGCCACAGCACCCAGCCATCATGATCATTTTTAATGCTATTTTGTCAGGTTTATTCTAGATGGCTCCAAAACATTTAAAAGCTCACTTTAGCCATTATTTTATTTAATCCCAAAATGTAGATATCATGAAAATGAGATGTGGTGGTTTATAAAAGTTGATCTGGTGTAGAACCAGAAGTCTGTTTGAACTAACTGAAAATTCAGGCATTTAGATCTAGGATATATTATTTTCAAAGATGATGTTTGTCTAGGTTTATTTAGGCAACTGGATTTGTTGTAAATGTTGTGGGCCTTCCAGTGACTAAGGCCTGAAAGACCCTGAATTTTGCGTTCCATAGTGCAGTTGCACTGATGGTCAGGGGTGTTGTCCCCAGGCAGGGCAGTTGTCATTCCGCTGCTGTTGCCTCTGGGTGCTCATGTGATTTTTCAGGTGTCTCATCTGTGCCTTCTTGTGAGCACATGATCTTGTTTTGAGACTCTCAAAAGGCCTTTCAAATACTTTTTTTCTTGCAAAATCAAGAACGTCATTATTCTTTCTGTGAGTCTCTCATGGGTACCTGCTATACGCCAGGCACGGTGCTGGCCACTAGGGGTGCTAACCAAGGCGGAGAGGGTGGATTTTAAGGAATTCCAACTAGGGTGAAACGCAGTACCTAAACATTCAGTTATAATACCATGCCAAGAATATTATGGTTGAGAGACTTTGAAAGTGCTCTGGGGAGCTGGAAGGAGGAATATGAAATTATTTGATTGGAGGAGGGTTGTCAGGGAAAGTTGTTGAGAGGAGCTGAGATTTTACTGTTTTTCGTTTTAGACACCAGCTTCTGCAGCATAAGCCCATGGTAAGTTCGCTATTTGGTTCTCATATGCTGAGCCACGTTTTAAGGCTGTGTTTTATACCTGGGATTGCTGACGATATGGTCTGGCTTATGTGATCATTTGCATAATGCATGGTGACAGTGAGGCTAAGTTCTTAGCTGCTGGTCCAAATAGGCCCAGTGTGTGCCAAGAGTTGCTGAAATGGCTGCCCTGGCCCAAAGAGGGAGCCTAGCACATGCCCCATGACTCCAGGGACAGGCTGAGGCTCTAAGCTCTGAGAGGCTGGTGTTTGTATAAATGGTCAACCCAGGAAAGTGAGTACACACTACTGCTGCCAGGGTGTGTGTGCGTGTGTTTCTTAGATCACAATCTTTCATCCTTGATACTAATAGCACCAGTTGCAGGCTGGAGAGACTCACTGGTTGTTCAAGAAGACAATGCACATATACTCTGTAGCAGCACATCTGTGGTGCATAGGAGTGCACAAGGGAAGCTGTAGCACATCTGGGCAGCTCCAAAATGTCACGAATAAAGCATCTGGATATTTGTACTTCCTGAGAGCTGCAAGACAGAAGCTAGAGCTCATCTGTAGTATCTGAGAATTGCCCAAGAAATGGCTCTGAGCATCCTGCCATAATTATAGGAAAAATGTGGCTTGAAGAGCGTGTGGATCATACTACTACTTGAAAGCATCTCAGCATGTTTTGTGAATCCCCTCTGAATGGATGCAGGAAAAAGATGCGGGAGAGCATGAGTGGGTGATAGGGAATAAGAAAGCAGCCTGGAGAAGGAAGCGGTCTTTTAGGTGGTCCCTGGACCTCTTCCCATGAGTTGGGAGAAAACACATGGCTAAATTACAGTGGATTTGAATATGTGTGGATTCTGATGGACTCAGGAAACATGCCCTGAAACCCCCACAGTAGGGTGAATTAAGAGCCCTGGGTGCCAGCTTTGTAAAAGCAGTCAGTCCAGGTAGAGGAGGGGACCCAGTAGCACAGGACAGGAAGACACCAAACTGTGTAGATCTCCTCAGCCTGCCTGCCTGCATGCCCAGGTGGGATGGGAGCCAGTGTTCACCTTAACAGGCATCATGTGTGTTGCAGGTTGCATTTCCCAGGAGGCAGACTCTGAGATAGAGTTTTGTGTGCAGGATGTTTATTAGGGAATGCCCTCAAGACAGGCATCTGGGGAAGAGAGGGGAGGAGCAGGAAGGAGTACAGGGAGATGTCAGGATGCAACGAAGGTGCCATGCCAGCCTCAGCTGACCCCACAGGGGTCCAGTGGGGAGTAAGAGTTGTCCCAAGTCGTACTGAGACGGCTGGGCCTTCACACCTTCACACAAATTAGTTATTGATCTAATAATTCCTGGGGGTGAGGGCTGCCCCAGGAATGAGTGTCCCTCTGCTCAAAGCAGCTCTCTGTGGCACAGGCAATCCTTGCATGGGCTGAGCGCTAAAGGGTGTCTGTGTCTCTGGGTTGGGCATCATGATGTCACCATAACATATATTACATGGCTTCATTCATTCATTCATTAAAACAATTCACATTTATTGTGCTTTTCCTAAAATCAGTCACTGTTCTAGGCCCTGAAGGGAGTGTTGAAGGAAACAGATATGGTGTTCCTTCACTGTAGGAAGAGCAGGCCCGCCTTCTAGTCAGGAGACAGTCGGTAAACAAGGCAGTGAACATGAAGGTACCAGGTGGAATGGGTGCTCTGATGATCATAAATGGGCTGATGAGATAGCTGGTGATTGAGGGACCCTGAGACACCTGAAGGTGCAGCCACAGGGAGATCTGCGGCAGGGGCCTTGCAGGTCAGGGAACGGCAGCGCAGAGCCCTGGGGCAGACCTAGGCATGGTGTGTTTCACAACAGAAACAGAGACTGGCCAGAGCAGAGACGAGGGGAAGGAGATGAGGCTGAGGCAGGAATTTTAGTTTTATTCTAAGCATGACGGGAGGTAGAGCAGAGGGGAGCGTTCTAGAGAGGGCACCTCCTAGAGAGTGCTTAGCATGTGCTCATCCCATTCTGAGTGTTTTGCATGAGTGACGCATCTAATCCTCGGTAATCCTATCAAGTGGCTACTGTCATTATCCCTCCCCATTTTACAGAAGAGGGAACTGAGGCAGAGACATGCCTAAGGCCCATGGCCAGTGTCGGAGCTGGGGACCCAACCTGAGGAGGCCAGGCTTACATTTCTGGCTCCCGATTTCCATGCTGTGGTCATTGTTTTGAAAAGGTGGCCTGGTCAACATGTGGGGCAGGAGGAGAGCTAGGAGGTCATTTAGGAGGCTACTGCAGCTTGGCTGAGTCCGGGTGAGAGGGGGTGACGGTCCAGCTCTGAAGAGGGAGGGAAGTGGATGGACTCAGCCTATGTTGTGGAGAGAGGAATCCAAGATGACTCATCGTTTTTTGACTTGAGCAAATATAAAACATAAATATAGATATAATATAGGACATCTTACTTGTTCTTTATTTGACGGCGGTGTAGGGATTGGGAAGTCTTCAGGCTGTCACAGGTCCTTCAGTGACCTGGAAAGAAAACTAAACTCACTTCCTGTAAGGGGCATGGATTTCTGACTAGGAACCCCTTCCTATCTGCTGTCCCCAGAAATTGTCCACTTTTCAAAGCTTGATTGTCCTGGGCCCTTGCTATGGCCCTGGCTGGGGTAAGATAAGGTAATGACGAGGTGCCTCAGGCCCCTTCCTGATTTGCCCCCCACCCAAATAACAGCCTGGCACATGAAAGTTCATCAGCATTTAGCCTGTTGCCACCTGTCCTTGTGCTGTTTGCTTGCACCTGGTGAAAAGCAAATATGGAGGTTGGCATCACCAATATGATAGTGTTTATACCCTGAAAGGATGAGAACGTCAATATTAACAGTGATTTTTTTTTAATTTTTTGAGACAGAGTCTCATTCTGTCACCCAGGCTGGAGTGCCATGGCGCAATCTCGGCTCACTGCAACCTCTGCCTCCTGGGTTCAAGCGATTCTCATGCCTCAGCCTCCTGAGTAGCTGGGACTACAGGTGTGCGCCACCATGCCAGGCTTATTTTTTTGTTATTTTTAGTAGAGACGGGGTTTCACCACGTTGACCAGACTGGTCTTGAACTCCTGGCCTCAAGTGATCTGCCCACCTAGGCCTCCCAGAGTACTGGGATTACAGATGTGAACCACCATGCCCAGCTAATTTTTTTGTGTATTTTTAGTAGAGACAGGGTTTCGCCATGTTGGCCAGGCCATTCTTGAACTCCTGGCCTCAAACGATCTGCGCACTTTGCCCACTTCGGCCTCTCAAAGTGCTGGGATTACAGGCATGAGCCATCACGCCTGGCCAAAAGCAATTTGTTTGGGACTCTTGTTTGCCAAAAAAATTCCTCTGTGTGTGTGTGTGTGTGTGTGTGTGTGTATTTATATGTGTGTATATATATATACACACATGTGTATATATATATATATATATATATATATATATATATATACACACACATATACATATGCATATAAAAATGTGTTTTTTTAATACTATGTGAGGCCTTGTCTTCCATTGAATATTGGAAAGTTGGTAATAAGCTTAGCTGGTCAGAAGTGAAATGTGAGGTCCTTTGGCGAAAAAGTTTAAGGAGAAACTTCGGCTCTTTGGGTAAAGAGCATGCGTTTACAGGGATTATTATTATTATTTTTTTAATTTTAAAGCAAGGATATAAAGCAGGGTCTTTGGTACTATTTGGAGAATTTAGACAGAAAAGAAGAAAGGAAAAGTAGTACCTGTTTACATTTTCATTTCCATTTTTTCCCCTAAAGCTGTCCTGCGCAACATGGTAGCCACTCACCGTATTTGACTACTTATATTTAAATTTATGTAAATTAAAATGGAATAAAATTAAATATTCAGCCCTAGTCATACTGGCCGTATTTGAAGTGCTCACCGGCCACGGGTCTACTGGCTGCCTTGCCAAACGGAGCACCTGTGGAACACGCCATCAACACAGAAAGTGCTATTGGACAGTGCTGCTCATAGCCTTAGAATCCAAGAGATTCCTGGACTCTTGGAGGCCCGTTGTAAATCGTAGGGCCCCAGGAACCTAGGAGAGAAAGAGTTCTTACAGACAAACTTACAGATGACCCTAAACATGAAACAACAACAGTAACAAAGCTAGCTCATCTACAAGGACCACTCTGAAGTCCTGTAATCTGAAGATGGAAGTCTCATTTTACTGGCCCAGGCAACTAGTTCCTGGAAAGTTCGGTACATGGATGATTTTTCTAGCTAGTTAGTGCTTGATGTTATTTACCAAGATGTATGAGACCTTGTTCCTTCGTGTGAGTATTTTAACCTAGGCCATTATCTTTTTGCAAAATGGGTATAGTCATCTTAGGGGAATGTAGTGTGGGGCAATGGAATGTTTTTATTACACCTCGAAATCACAGTTGAATGGTATTTATAGAGTTATACTAAAAACTATATGAACTGGCTTTGGAAGTTTTTGTTTTTGTTTTTGTTGTTTTTTTGTTTGTTGTTGAGATGGGGTCTCGCTTTGGCACCCAGGCTAGAATGCAAAGTTGTGATCATGGTTCATTTCAGTCTTGACCTCCTGGGCTCAGGCAGTCCTCCCACCTAAGCCTCCCATGTAGCCGGGACCACAGGCATGCGCCACCACACTGGCTAATTTTTTTTTGGATTTTTTTATAGAGACAGGGTTTCATCATGTTGCCCAAGCTGGTCTTGAACTCCTGGGCTCAAGATATCCACCCACCTCATCCTCCCAAAGTGCTAGGATTACAGGGGTGAGCCACCGCGCCTAGCCTGGAAATTCTGCATAGGCTGAAATTTAAGTCATGTTACCCATTGCTGTCTGTGATGTATCTGGACCTTCCATTTGTTAGGCAGTAATATTTTTAGTGTAGGTGAGAAGTTCTGATATTCTAATATAATCCCTAGAAAGTCTGTTTTCTAGATTATAGGAGTTGGCAAACCATAGTTGGAGGGCCAAACCCAGCCTGTTTGTGTAAGTAAAGTTTTATTGGAACACAGCCACTCCATTTGTTTATGATTGTGTGTGGTTGCCTTAGCCCTACTATTGCAGAGTTGCAGAATTACAACAGACTGGCCTGCAAAACTGAAAATATTTACACTGTAGCCTTTGACAAAAAAAGCTTTGCCAGCCCCCAGTCCAGATACTGGGTGAACGATTGGAACGCCTTTCCAGTAAGGAAACATCTGTGCAGGTCCAGGTTTGCCAGAGGATTTTAGAGTAGATGTGAGATTTCCTTATTCTTGGGCTATATAATTTAGTAGACAATAGAAAGGGTAATTACACATTATACCTTTTTGGATGTCAAAGACTTTTTTGGATGTCATTTCTCAGCGATAACCTTACTTTCTACTTTCACTAAGGAAATCTTGGAGTTTCACTCCAACAGGAGATAATTTTCACCGACTTCTCATCTGCCAGGGTCTGTGCCCACTGCCTCCCACAGATGAGCTGTTCGAACTGTTTGGCTGCTGTCTAAAGGCAATGCTGAGCGCATCCTGGGTCCTACCCTCCAGCCTTTTCCAGGCCATCACTCCACCTCTCTCCCGCCTGTGTCACCTGATTTGTCTTTCTGCTGGATTGCTCCATCAGGATACACATGTCCATCCTCTGAAAAGAAACAGACACTCAGTGACCATGTTCATCTCACCAGCTGCCACCTTCCCCTGGCTCCTCTGTGTGTAAGCTCTCTTTCACAGGGCCATTGGAGCTCGCTGTTTTCACCCTCAGCCATTCTCTTTTGAACCCACTCTAGTTTTTGCCCCAGTCACTTGTTCCACAAAAGCTGCCTTGTCCAGGCCACTGTTGGTCCTCTGGTTGCTTAGACCAGTGGTCAGTTTTCAGTCTTCATTATGCTTGACATGATGACAGGGGTCTTCCCCCTGCTCCACCTGGCACAGTCTCTGCATGATAGCTGGGCCTTCTCTGTTGTCCTCCGCCCCCACCACTGCCTGTCCTCTGCAGGCCACTCCTCGTTCTTATCTCCTGCACATGGGAGAGCACAGAGTTCAGACCTGGGCCCTCTTCTCCCTCTGTACTTATTCCTTGGGAGCTCGCAGCCAGTTTTATGAATTGAAATACCACTGATTTGCTTATAACGTCCAAATTCATTCTTCCAGCCCTGCTCTCTCCCATCCAAACTTCACACTTGTGTATCAGCTGCCCATCAGACACTTCTGTTTGGATATCTGCAAGACATCTTAAACATGACATTGGCGAAATGAGCTACTCTCCACCCACTTCAGGCTGCTACACCTTTTCTAGCCCAGGTGATGGCAAGGCCATGCTTTCAGTTCTTCAGGCTCCCAACGGTGGAACATTGGAACCATATTCCCCACTCCCTCACCTCTCCGTCTCTCTCTCACTCTCTCACACATACACACACCCATACCCCCTTGCCACACACACATCCCAAGTCTAGCTTGCTAGGAAATTCTGTGGACTTTTCTCTTCATAAAGCACCAGAATCTGCCCCCTGCTCACTGCCTTCCTAGGAGCCACCATCAGCTCTTTCCTGGATTGCACCAACAGCCCTCAGTTTCCTCACCACCATCCTTGCTTTACTAGAGTCTGTTGTCAACACAGTGAGCCTTTACAAATATAAGTTGGATTATGTCACTCTCCTGCTTAAAACTCACCCAAGGGTCCCATTTCCCTTGGAGTCAATGTCCATACAGTGGCCTTGGGCAGCACACTCTGTCCCTCCCGTTACCTGCCCACCCACGCCTTCCCTCTGCTCCAGCTGTATTAGTCTGTTTTCACGCTGCCAATACAGACATACCCACGACTGGACAATTTACAAAAGAAAGAAGTTTATTGGACTTTCGGTTCCACATGGCTGGGGTTGCCTCACAATCATGGTGGAAGGTGAAAGGCACATCTCACATGGCAGCAGACAAGAGGAGAGTTTGTGCAGGGAAACTCCCCTCTTAAAAATCATCAGATCTCGTGAGACTTAATATCACGAGAATGGCATGGGAAAGACCTGCCCCCATGATTCAATTCCCTCTCACCAGGTCCCTCCCACAACACATGGGAATTCAAGATGAGATTTAGGTGGAGACACAGCCAAACCATATCACCAGCCATACTGCCCACTGCCTTTTCTTAAACACACCAGGAACATTTTTGCCTTGTTGCCCTGGCTCTTTCTTCTTCCTCTTCCCCTGTGTCTGTTCTCCTGACTCGCTCATGTCTGTCAAGTCTGTGCTCAAATGTCCATTTTTTGTGTGATCCACCCAGATCACCTTGCTCTGTCTGCCTGCCTGCCTCCTGCCTACCCCCGGTTGCCTGGTCCCACTGAACACCACTCTACTTTTATTTTCCCATAGCCGCTTGGTAACCTCTAACAAACACTATCCTTTCCTCCTGGTAAACTCTAATCTTCCAGTGATGGGGATGTGTCTATTTTGTTGATTGCTAGAGTCCAAGTGTCTAGACCAGGGTCTAGCTACTAGTCCCCAGTACACAGTAGGAGCTCAGTACATGTTTGCTGAATGAGTGAAGGGGCCTGATTCAGTCTAGTGCAGCCCTTCTTTGTAGCAGTGAAGGAATAGCTCTCCTTTCTTCTTGAAGGGGGGTGATGAGTTCCTTGGAGATAAGAGGCAAGGCCGTTTAGCTTTAATTTGTTTTTCTGTAGGTGGTGGGAGTGGGCTATCTTTTCAAAGACACATATTCCAGAATGGTCAGTACCATGGTATCTGCCGTCCTGGTCATTGCCCGAGGAGCTTTTACAATGACTATGGAATTAAGCGCCTGCATCTGGGTGGCCTGCAGTTTGCCTTACTGATATGATGGTAAGCTGGGGTCTCAGCAGAAGCTGCAGGGATGATACACAACTTTGTTGGCACTTTAGGTGATGCACATTTTGTCCTGACTGTCTTCCCTGGAGCTTTCTGTTCTAAGCAGAGCAGTTGAGTGTGTGGACATTTGTTGTGTGCTGCTTTTGGCCGACATCTCAGCTGGGACACAGCTGGGCCCTTGGGCCCAGAGGCAGCACATTCACTGTACCCCTCAGATTCTCAGCTGAATAGCACCTGAAGTTCTTGTTAGCACTGATTTTTTCCATGTCAAGTTTGGCTAGTGACTGAGATCCATGAAGGCGAAGCCATTTTATCATCCTTGGTGCACCAGGATCCAGCTGGTCCCCACACTTAGCGGGGTTGCGTGAATGTTCATGGAGTCGTGAGTGATACTGCCCCTAGCAAAGCCTCTCCAGACATCATATGTTAGACATCCCAGCAGCATGTGAGCCTCTGCTATTGTCTTACTGGACGAGCCCGTCGAGGAGACAGGGTGCACTCTTGCAGAGGAGCACACTGTTGTTTGCATCAGCTTCGCTCTATTAAACCTTCCCCTTGCTTATCTCTGCTGGCCCATCTATGTTTTTTCACATTAATTTACTCTTCCGTTTGTCTTCAGTCCCCATAACCTTTGAATAAGCTGCTTACTGATGATCTTCCTTCCATCATATTTAGGATTTTGAATATCTACATGTTTTTAAGCCATAGAAATGTAGAACTGGAGCTCAGTGGGCAAAGGCTTAAGTTCTGGATCAGACTGATGGGGCTCACAAACCAACGCTGCCATATGCCAAGTGTGTTCTCTTCCTTTTTGCACTTCATTTTCCTCACCTTTAAACAGGTGATAATTGTGGACTCTGCTTCATTTTCCGCCCTTATATGACCTTTTCAGTTTCAGTTCCCTTAGCTTCTAAAAGGCCAAGGTCATGAAATCTTTCTCTTTATTTGAAGTTACAGTCCTCTTTATGTTTTTGATCATTGAATATGTGACCTCCTGCTGCCTCCGTCTCTCCTCCCCACTCTGCATCAGGGGATATTTCTCAATATTTGATGTGAGGGTCCCTGAGGCCTTTGCTGACACTCCTCTCCACCTCTGGCCACTCTCTTTCTATCACTCTCACCCACCCCTACTAGAATATGGGCTGCAACTAGGACATGTAAGCTCTCAAGGGAAGGACGGAGTGTCCCTATCACTGGAGCGTCAGCACCTAGATCAGCCCCTCCTGTAACAAAGTGGGTGTTCAGTAAATAGGTGAATTAGACAGGGATGGATAAATCAATGAACAGAGTCCCTTCTTAGCTCCGTGAGAAGGCCACTTCCCATTCCAGTCTGGCTCCTCAGTTTAGTGTATGCCTTCTATTGAACAGCTTGGCCCCCTGCCTGGAAATTTGGGGGCTAGATTTAAAAAGTGCCTGAGGGGAGAGGGAAGCGATCCTGTGCTCTTCCTTGGGTTCCAGCATTGCCTGGTTTCCCAGGACCCTCAGGCAGGGCTGCACTGAGGAGGGCTGGGCTGTGGACCCTGGGGATCAATATCCCACCTTCACTGACCTCCAAAGGAGAGCAGCAAAACTAGGTGAAGATTCAGGGAATAGTTTCTTTGAGGGAATGCTCACTGAGTTAAGTTGTGGACCTTGTATTTTTCTCAATAGCCTAGGGCTAAAGAAGCAGATTGTCTTAGACCCATAAAAGATGAGGAAGCAGATTGTTCTGGCAGAGTTCAGACTGGGGTTGGCAATCCCGCTATTTGTGCAAGCCATGGGCTTGTGCCTCTCTGGGCATCTGTTTGCATGAATTCATGTCTTGTTCTTCTGACTGCAGAAGGAACAGGCAGGCCCCTGGAGAGAAAGAGAGAGAGGAACCTGGGTGGCGTTAGAGAAGAAGGTTTAGAAACCTGAGCTGATAGATCTGTTTTCATGAAGGACTTCATGTGACCTATGGGCCTTCACAGGATTTGTCAGGACTTGTGGGGAAAGTCCTGTACAGAACTGTGGAGGGGGCATTCTCTGTACCTCTGCTTGGAATCCAGCTGCCTTCTGGCATCTTGGTGGATCTTTGAGGATATCTTTGGGTCAGCACCAGCATATGGGGACTAAAGTAATGGGGTATGAGTAAATGTTAATCAAATTGAAATAGGGCTTCATGACAAGCTGGCCAGGACATCAGTCCCTGTTTCGGTCACCATGCCTGACTTGTGTGACAATCCTCCTTTATCATTCTGTCTGTGACTTGGAGCTCAGTTGACAAGTTCAGACTTGGTGCCAGTAGGAGGGTGGTTTTGGGCCCTGTACTGTTCAGAGTTATGTGCGTGGGCTGTGGGATCCAACAGACCCAGGCTTAATTTCTGGCTTTGCTGTGTGGCCTTAGGGAAGTTTCTTACCTTCTATAAGCTTTGGTTTTATTTATTTATATTTATTTTATAAAATGGAAACAATAAGCTCATGGTGAGGATTTAAGGAAATCAAAGAGATAAAGGGTTTTGTACAGTCTGATATTCGGTAGTTGTTACTGTTAGTGTTATTATACATCATGGTATGCAAGTTGGAATCCAGTTACTCCCATATAGAGTTAATGGTTTTTAATGTTTATGCTTTTTATATAAGTTTGTTTAAAACTCACTTTCAGCCGCAAAAGTTTTGTAAGAGAGACTACTGTCATTTCTTTTTTTTTTTTGGAGACAGAGTCTCACTCTGTCACCCAGGCTGGAGTGCAGTGGCACAATCTCAGCTCACTGCAACCTTTGCCTCCCAGGTTCCAGTGATTCTCGTGCCTCAGCCACCCAGATAGCTAGGATTACAGGTGTGTGCCACCACGCCTGGCTAATTTTTGTATTTTTAGTCGAGACAGGGTTTTGCCATATTGGCCAGGCTGGTCTCGAACTCCTGACCTCAAGTGATCAGCCCACCTTGGCCTCCCAAAGTGCTGGGATTACAGGCATGAGCCACTGTACCCAGCCCCTATTTCTCCAAATGAAGAGACTGAGCCCCAAAAGGGTGAAGTCTGTTTCCTCAGCTTATACAACTGGACCGAGGGATGGAAGGCAAGCATTTCGGGGGGACTGGCCCAGTGTACTTTATTCATGCTAGCATCAATGGTGAATCCCAACACTTAAAAGCATTTATCACTTTGTTGATCACAGACACACAGACACACCAAGTACCACATAGGTGGTGTGTTTTTGATCAGCTAGTCTCAGGGTCTCTCTGGGAATTTAATGGACTCAAACAGTTGCACAAGGTGCGACTGTAAGGTAACAGACGGCATTTACAGAAATCAGGCAGGAAAGACAATCCCACCGCTTCATAGACATACTTCATGTCAGCATGGGGGCAGAGGTTCTACTGAGAGCTGACATCTATAGAACACTTCCCCTGCGCATCCTCACTTAATCCTCCCGGCAAGCCCACTGCTGTTTCCACGTTTTACAGATGAGGAAATGGCGCTCGGGGAGTTCAGTGACTTGCCCGAGCTGGAGCTGAGTGTAGTGACAGAGCCAGGCCTTGAACCCTGGCAGCCAGACTCCTCGCCCGTGCCGTCACCCTCTGTGCGGCCCTGGGGGGCGGTTGATGAACACAGTTCATCAAAAACGAACTGTGATCCGACAGATGAAAGCCGAGGTCTGTGAACATGTGAATGTTCTTTTGTGAACCGAAATGTGCTTCAGTTGTTTTCTCTGTGTGTCAGGGAAGAGCGACCATGAACTCCCAGCTCGTTGGGCAAAGGGCTGATTTATGAGGATTTGCTCAACTCTAACCAGCTGGTTAACAACACGGAGCTTTTAACGTTTCCAGGGGAGGAAATGAATAAACAGGCATTTGGGATGAAGTCCACTGAGTCCGCGGGACTGGCTGAAAGGTGAATTCAGTTGGAAGAAGTTTTGACATACAATGCAGACATCTCTTGACCCAGTTTTGAATCAGAGTTCTCAGTAAACAAAGTCAGGAAATTAGAATTTCTGGGTCAATTCCACATTTCATAAGCAACGTCAAAAGAAATATTTATTTTGTGGGAAGGTTACCTGGTTTAGGTGGAATAAGTCAGACGGAAAAGCAAAATTAGTTACCCAGATGATGGGTGTTCTTTATTGATTTTAAATTCAGTAAAATTGCCATCAGAAATTCTCAATTATAACATTTATGTTTTATCTAGTATTTTAACTATAAATGGCTTGTACATATTTGAGAGTCTTTTATCCTATGGAATACTTGAAACCATGCTGCATTTAATTTAATTTTTTTTAGAAAATCAAATATCACCAGCTATCTGCTTTCCATTTGCCTTTTGGCCTTTTGGAAAAATACAAAATTAGGATATTTTGGTAGAATTAACATAGCAGGCCAAAATTTCTGTAATCCTTTAGTGATTTCTCAGAAATAAAAGCCATGTGGCAGTGGTCAAGCTTGTGCCCAGCATAAAATGACTAAAAGTGTAAACTGGTAAGGGGCTGATATAGACCAGCTCTGCTTCTGTTCTTGAGTTCTCTTAGCGTGTACTTTGCTTCCTCATCTCCCCTGGGTAACTCCCCTGTTGCAGGGAACATGGACCCTTCCTGAGAGCCAGTGGCTGTGCTAGAGTTGATCATGTTCCCAAAGAGTTCTCTGAGCTTCCTTCTGCTTTGGGGGAATGAGAGGTTCTGAAAGTCTTTTGTGCTCGTGAAAGGAGCCTGGTTTAGAAGGCTCTCATCAGACTCTGGCAGGATCATTCAGGTTACACATAAAAAAAGGGAAAGAGGACAGGAAAATACAGGAAAAAAATGACTGGAGAATATTATAATATTTATTTGCTTCTAAATCAGAATAAATGGGCAGCTTTCCACAAAAGCCAAAATAGACAGTACCCTCGTTACCTGGATCTGTGCAGGACATTCATCCATTCATGCTGCTAGTTTTATTGCAAAGACTGAACAAGTCATATTAATGCAATTTTAAAAAAATAGGGCCAGACTGGGCTTTAGAAATAAGTAACTTAAAGTTGCTTGGGACATGAGGGGACATGAAGAGAGAGAAAAGATTTCTGTCTCTGTGTTAGGCATTTCAACTGATTCTTTTAGAATATTTTTTGCCCGCCGTGTCTGTCAACGATGGCTTGGCTAATGCAGCCTAGTGCTCGTGGAGGTTGCATCTCTCCAAGTCAGCCAGGCATCAAGTATTTCACCAGCACTTATGGTACATCTACCTGTGGGAGAATGCAACATAAAAATATACCCGTCGTTGTGACAATTTGACTTGCAGGGAAGAGTAAGGTCTACAGTGTGCTCAGTGGGCTACCCTGCAGAGGGCAGGCACTACCGGGTAAGGGCACTGGACTTCTTGTTCACTTGTCCGTGGTCCTTTCTCTCTCCTTCTGACTGCTGCTTCCCAGGGATGGGGTTTGGGCTACTTCATCCCAAGTCTGTTTTCATAATTGTAAAATGTGGAATAATCTTCATAATTTGCAAGGTTGCTGTGAGAGTGATATTAGGTAGAAGGTGAATGGCTCTTTGAGAGTCATAAATGGCTTGTGCTTTGTTAAATAGAAGGTGATAATAGCCAAGTAATGAAATGTGTTAACTTTACTCACGGAAAACTCTCAGCTCCACTGCTGAAAACTCATCCCCTTCTCCCAGGCAACCATTTGGAGGCCCAGGCCAGAGGCTGGACCAGGAGGATTGGATGCATCCGCGCTGTCCATCCCTGCTGCTGCACAAACGACTCAGCCACAGATCCTCTTGGATGGGCTACCTTGAAAGGGGGAAGCTCCAAAGAATGCGTACAAACCCATACATTTACCTAGGTGCGGGATGATTGCAAGACCACTTTATTCATTTAATTCATTTACACTTTTTAGTGTAAAAAAGTTTATCCTTTTTCATCTTACTATCTAATTCTGCTTTTTGATAGAAATGCCAGCCATGCAAATTCTCCTCTACCACAGAGGCAGTGAGTTAAGACATGCGGATCCCTCTTTTCTGTTTGAAACCCATGGCTGAGATCTCATGGGTGAGAGCAGAATGTGCATGAATCCTGCAGGCACCCCCACCCTCTGCCCTTTGGAGCAGTTAATATTGTTTTATGTTCCCAAGTGAAAACTTCAAGATTTTTTTTTAAAACTTCTCTTATGAAGAGAACTACGAAGGAGATAACGGGCCTACGTACAGAAGAAGCAAATTAAAAAGAATTTCCAACTCCCATGTCACTATGTTTAAGCAATGTGAATACATCCAGGAGTAGAGAAAAGACTAGAAGGAAATATACTTTTCTGTTCAAAACCCATAGCTGAGATCTCATGCATGAGAGCAGAATGTGCACGAGTCCTATAGACACCCCCACCCCCGTCCTTTGGAGCCGTAAACATTGTTTTATTCTCAGAGGCAATGTGAAGGTACATTCTGTTCAATTTTGTTGGGAAACTCTGCCCCCAAATACCATTAAAATTTCTAAGAAAAATAGATAAAAACAGATCATGGCACAGTCTTGGGTCTTTTCTTTATTGTCACCTGTATTTTCAACCTCCACTATGGATTATAAATGCCAGAGGGCTGTCTGCAGTGACAGAAGGAATTCTCTAAGGACTCAGTGACTTAGCTTTGACCTACATTTGGAAGAAAGCTTTAAGAACTGTATAAACTTGAGCAAGTTGAGAAGCTGCAAGTCCCAGGGCCTTCGATTACCAGACGTCTACCTTTTTTCTCCCCGCATTTTCTGTGTCCTGTAGCATTTGATTATGGTTTCTAATAACAAAAGCAATAATCATTGTGGAAAGTCTGAAAAATATTGAAGAACATAGCAAAATAAAACAAATATTAGCCTTATTTCACTATTCATGTGTGGATGACAATTGTTAACATTTTAGTACATTTCCTTCTAGTCTTTTTTCTACTTGTGGATGTATTCACATTGCTTAAACATAGTGATGTGGGAGTTGGAAATTCTTTTTAATTTGCTTCTTCTGTACTTAGGCCTATTATCTCCTTAGTTCTCTTCATAGGAAAAGTTTTTTAAAAAATCCTGAAGTTTTCACTTGGGAAGAAGTGTTAAAATGTCTTGCTAAATGTCTATTTCGTGAAGCCTGTGACAGTGGACTTGTATGATAGAAAAGGCCATGAAATCACATCTCATACAGACTTCTGAACAATCTTGAAAATTTTTGCAATCAAGTCTAGCTTTGAATCTAACACTTATTAGAAGCTAAGGTGAGATGCAAGACAGTGAACTGATAATACAGTTCCTAGAGCTGTATAGAGTCAGAAGAGCTGGAAAGTGAGGTGAGTGGGGAATGGAGGACACTGCACAATTGTTATAGAACCCTATAATTTTACATAGAATGATTAATAAATAACTGTGTGCTGAGTCAATCAGATTGTTGCTGCAGGGAGAAGCCACAAAAAGCTCACAGGTTATATTTTGCCTGAGGAATTAGGGTTAAACTGGGCATGAGCTCACAGAATGTCTAATACCTCCTTCCCACCCCTACAGGGGATTTAGGAAAGAAAAAAATAATTCTCAAGCAAATACTTGATTGTGGCAATTGTGGTGAGAGTGCTGGCATCTCTTTTATTTACCATTAACTTGTATTTCAGAAAGACCAGGTACTTTCTTAAAAAGTCAGCAAGGCCAGACGTGGTGGCTCACACCTGTAATCCCAGCACTTCAGGAGGCCAAGGCGGGTGGATCACGAGGTCAGGAGGTCGAGACCATCCTGGCTAACATGGTGAAACCTCGTCCCTATTACAAATACAAAAAATTGGCTGGGTGTGGTGGCAGGCACCTGTAGTCCCAGCTACTCGGGAGGCTGAGGCAGGAGAATGGCTTGAACCCAGGAGGCGGAGCTTGCAGTGAGCGGAGATTGTGCCACTGCACTCCAATCTGGGCGACAGAGCGAGACACTGTCTCAAAAAAAAAAAAAAAAAAAAAAAGATCAGTAAGTTCTCTGTAAGAACTGTAATATTTAAGTTTGAAACAGCCCTGATAAAAACACATTTATTTCTACATTGAGAAGTTTTTAAATATATACATATGTGTGTGTATATATATATATATATATATAATTTTTTTTTTTTTTGAAACACAGTCTTGCTTTGTCGCCCAGGCTGGAGTGCAGTGTTGTAATCTCAGCTCACTGCAACCTCTGCCTCCTGGGCTCAACTGATTCTCGTGCCTCAGCCTCCTGAGTAGCTGGGATTACAGGCACGTCCCAGCACGCCCAGCTAATTTTTTTGTATTTTTAGTAGAGGCAGGTTTTCACCATGCTGGCCAGGCTGGTCTTGAACTCCTGACCTCCGCCTGCCTTGGCCTCCCAAAGTACTGTGATTACAGGCGTGAGCCACTGTGCCTGGCCTGATTTTTTTTTTTAATTTTAGCGAAATATTGGAAAACACAGTAAATATAAGAAGTAATTGAATATTACTTCTTATATTTCAATTGATTGTAATTGAAATATAAGAAGTAATTGAAATATAAGAAGTAATAAGAAGTAATTGACTTCTCACAGATAACCATCACTGCTAACATTTTGGCATTTGCTTCCTGTTCTTTTCTCTTTTCTCTTTGCTTCTCTTCTTTTTTTTGTGCTTTGTGGGCATTATTAATCTTCTATTGTTGGGCATTTAGGACTTTTACTTGCTCTATTATAAATATTGTTTCAGTGAACATCCTTTTAGGGAAGTCTTTGCATAGAACCTGAATTACTTCTTTGGGTATGTACCCAGCAAGGGGAGGATTGGGCCAACCAGTATATACATTTAAGACTTGTCCTCCATATCATCAAATTGGTGTATGTATATGTGAGTATTCAACATGCACCAATGCTATCCTGCTAATAACAGTGCATGCTCCTTATTAAACCTTTACCAGCACTTTTTCGTTTGATACCAAGACAAAAAAATAGCATCATGTTTCAATTTTATTTTTTTCATAACACAATGAAATACAACTATTTTTCATTTTCATATTGCACATTTAAATTTCTTCTTCACTGAATTGGCTGTTCATGCACAGTTTGAGGCGGCTTTTTTGATACAGAGTAACATTTTGTTATATATTGCATATGTTTGAATATATATTAGGCTGTCTAAAATAAACAGCTGTAAGTTTCATATTTTAGAAAAATAATGGTGCTTGTGAATGGGTGCACAGAGACAGATCTGAAGCAGACATTGAAGGGCTGTCTGGAAGTTTTTTGAATTGACACTTTCCATTTTATACCAAAGAGAATATGCATGTAGAAAAGGACACATCTCATAAATGGGCAGTTAGATAATTTCTCACAAACCAAACATTTGTGAAGCTAGAATTAGGCTCAAGAAACAGACCCATTCAGCACCCTCTAGCCCATCTTGATTTCTGACACCTAACAGCATGTATTTTATTTTTTATTTTTTTGTTTTTAATTTTTTTGAGACAGGATTTCACTTCATTGTCCAGACTGGAGTGCAGTGGTGCGATCACAGCTCACTGCAGCCTTAACCTCCCAGGCTCAGGTGTTCCTCCTGCCTTAGCCTCCCGAGTAGCTGGGACCACTAGTGCGTGCCACCATGCCTGGCTAATTTTTAAAACGTTTTTTAGAGATGGGGGTCTTGCTGTGTTGCCCAGGCTGGTCTCGAATTCCTGGCCTCAAGTGATCCTCCCACCTTAGCTTCCCAAGGTGCAGAGATTGCAGGCATGAGCCACTGTGCTCGGCCTGTTTTCGAACTTTATAGATTTGTTTTCTTTTTGTGTCTGGCTTCTTCTCCTTGGTCTACATTATGTTTACGAGATTCATCTACATTATATGTAGTTGTGCATGTTCATCCCCCTTGGTGTATAGTATTCCTTTGTGTGGCTATATCACAATTTATGAATCTGTCCTACTGCTAATGGACATTTGGTGGCTTCACATTTTTGGTTACAAAGAGCGATCCTGTGAATATTCTGCTACATGTTTTTTGGTGCCCCTGGTGTTGGGAGTAGAACAATATTTTCACAAACTTTCTTGTGCCCACATCTTTATTCTCTCCTCTCCCCTAACATCTCTTGAGCAAAGTAAAGAACAGCACAGACTTGGCAATGCACAGTGTTTTTGTCTTTCCTTGACGTTACTTTTAGGAAGGATGAGAGTAATGAAGTTTTCTTAACAAGGTACTGAGTTCTGATTTAAATTGTAGATAATGACTGTTGGCTTAAGACCAGGCTATCATTTCTAAGTGAAGAATTATGTCTTATGTCTTGTTATTTTCTTCTTTATCAGTTTTTCTTGATTTACTCTAGTAAATGGAAGGCTTTTGAATTGTCTTAAAAGGAAGGAGTTTATTAACTTGTTGGTCTTATAAGCAACCTTCCTAGGTTTACTAGCTTAATGAAAAACAATCTTTGGGGTAAGAAATTGGATTCAGGCCATGTGCATGCATGAGTTGAGTTTGAGAGATGTACCAAATCTGGATCCTGCTGCTGTGTGATCTTTTGGCAGAATTAAATAGAAGGCATTAAAAATTTTTATAGTTGCTTTTTACCAGCTTTATGTCTGATTTTTTCTCTCTCTCTAAATTCTTTGGCTGACATGAGTTTTGAAGTTCTGCCATATCCACTTATCAGCCTGTGGCAAATGCAGTCCTTACCAACATCAAGATGAAAGGCTGATAGTTAAGAGAAAAAAACAAAAGCATGTGCTACATAAAAATGCCCTACCTTTTTAAGAAATTGCCAGAGTTACGTTTATTTCTCTCTCTCTTTCTCTGTATGTATACGGAAAAAGCTAAATTGTTAAATTTTTATTCTTTAATCTTTCAAGTGTATATATACCTATTTAAAATTTATCAGTAATTCCCAAACATATCTAAACTGACAATTTAATAACTCAAGGAGGGCCAGATATTTGCTGGTGTGTTTCCAATTTTATGGGTATCTCTGTAAACTATGAATCATCTTGTACTTCTCTCATATGCATGGGCTAAATATTAACCTCCACAGCAACTCCCTTGAGCATGGAACAGATGGAAAATCAATGCTGGGAGAGAGGAATTCTGTAGTATGGTAGTTTGTGTCCATTTGTCTTGTCCTTAATCTGTTTGTTTATTTTCGTTCCCATTGCTTACTGTCCTTAGCATTTTGTCTTCCACTAAAGAACACCAGCCTTAAGTTGATGAATAGCAATATCATGTTCTTAGGTGATAACCTGGCAAGCGCTAACAGAGGCATAAAGAATCAGAACCAGGCCAGGCACAGTGGCTCATGTCTGCAATCCCAGCACTTTAGGAGGCCGAAGTGGGCGGATCACCTGAGGTCAGGAGTTCGAGACCAGCCTGGCCAACATGGCGAAACCCGGTCTCTACTAGAAATTACAAAAATTAGTCAGGCGTGGTGGCATGTACCTGTAATCCCAGCTACTTGGAAGGCTGAGGTGGGAGAATTGCTCAAACCCCGGAGGCAGAGGGTGCAGTGAGCCGAGATCACCTCATTGCACTCCAGCCTGGGTGACAAGCATGAAACTCCATCTCTAAAAAAAAAAAAAATTTAGCTGGTCATGGTGGCGTGTACCTGTAATCCCAGCTACTTGGAATGCTGAGGTGGGAGAATTGCTCGAACCCGGGAGGCAGAGGGTGCAGTGAGTAGAGATTGTGTCACTGCACTCCAGCCTGGGAGACAGAGTGAGACCCTGTCTCAAAAAAAAAAAAAAAAAAAAAAAAAAAGGAATCAGAACCAGGCTGGCAGAATGCTGCCATAAGAGACTTCCCTCTGCCCCCTTCTCCTCTGTTTGTTGTCCCTCCAACCCCCCAACTGGAGCTATGCTTTCACTTTTGGCATCTTGTTTCTTGGGGCCCCATTGCCAAGGCCCACAGGGATGCTCCAGTGTTATTCCCTCTGGGGCCTCATCCCGATCAGAAAGATGCCTGTTGTTTTGGCCACCCTTGGAAGACAGCAAGAACAGCAACAGCAGCAAACGTATACTGTTGCTTCCAGACACTCCCTGGAAGTCCCACCACATTCATTCAATTATTTATTCACCTGTAGAATACTTCACTAGTGCCTATGGTGTGCACATAAGAGATAGCAGAGTACTGAATTCCAGCGCCTGCCCTCAAGGATCTTATAGTCTAGTGATGGAGACATACAAGTGAATAGCTAATTACCAAACAAGGTAAGAAATGCTCTGGTAGACATTGGGTGGAAAGTTGAGCAGGCTCAGAAGATGGGACAGAAGGGGCTGAGGATGGTTCTTCATGCTCAGAGCCTCTATTCAGGCTGGGCAGTTTGGAGTTGGTCTTGCAGACACCTGGGCTTCATGCAAGGTTTGTGAGCCTGGAAGTGACATGTGCTTCTAGAAGATTTTTAGGAAGGGGAGCATACGGAACACCGTAACTTTTAACTTTGCTTCCATTTTCACTAATCTGTGACAAGTTGGCTTTTGTACTCTTGACATTAAGATTTAATATATGCGATTTTTGGATTTGCCAAGCATCTGTTTCCCAATGTTTTGGATTTTCATCTATGGTTTTATGGTTTTAACTTTGTTTGCAAGACTAGATTCTACATTTTTGATTGAATTATTTAGAATATTAGTATACTCAGTGACTTTACAAAATTGACTTGCCCACGTTTAAGAGGCATTTTAGATGTTTCTTTCTGTGGTCAGCTCAGGCAGGTACAAAAGAAGTTCAAGACTTGATATCACTAGCAGCTAGTTATAGACAAGGCCTAAACCCAGAACAAGTAGGGAATGAGACCCCCAAATGCACCAGCAGTCTATTTGATTTAATGGCATGATAAATTGTATGGTACAGTTGTGTCTTCATGACCCAATCAGTGAAATTAAACTAATTTGTTACTTCTTTTCTGATGTTTAAGTGTCCATGTGGAAAAATGTTTCCATACTTGGGCTTCAGGAATATGTATTTCTAAGGGGGTATTTTAAAAATATCCTCCCAGCCCCATGAAAACCCTGATGTTTTTGCATATTATTTGAACTCTTAAAACCTTCATGTAGAAAGATAGTTCACATTGGATAGGTAAGTATTATACCAGAACTTTTGCTGGTTTCTGTGGTTTCTATAGTAGGGATGCAGGGACACTATAATGCCAAAGATTTGTAACAGATCTGCTATAACCCACCAGAGAGCGCACCCTACTCAATAGTGATTTGTTTTTTCTTTTTTTTTTTTTGGACACAGTTTCACTCTGTTGCCCAGGCTCACTGCAATCTCCACGCCTGGCTAATTTTTGTATTTTTAGTAAATATGAGGTTTCACCATGTTGGCCAGGCTGGTCTAGAACTCTTGACCTCAAGTGATCCACCCGCCTTGGCCTCCCAAAGTGCTGGAATTACAGGCACGTGTCGCTGCTCCTGGCCCATGAATAGTGATTTAAAAGCCTCATTTCCTTTATGATCATTTCATTATTGCTTTCCCTTGCAATGTTAAGACTGTTCCTAGAATGAAAGATTTCATTACAAAAAAAAAAACCAAAACCCCCTTTTAGATTTTTTTAATTTTTATTTATTTATTTATTTATTTGACACATAGTCTCGCTCTGTTGCCCAGGCTGGAGTGCAGTGGCGTGATCTCGGCTCACTGCAAGCTCCACCTCCTGAGTTCATGCCATTCTCCTGCCTCAGCCTCCCGAATAGCTGGGACTACAGCCACAGGCCACCACGCCCGGCTAATTGTTTGTATTTTTAGTAGAGATGGGGTTTCACCGTGTTAGCCAGGATGGTCTCGATCTCCTGACCCCATGATCCGCCTGCCTCGGCCTCCCAAAGTGCTGGGATTACAGGCGTGAGCCACCGTGCTCGGCAATTATTTTTATTTTTATTTTTATTTTTTTTTAGACAAGGTCTTTATCTGTCTTTCAGGCTAGAGTGCAGTGGCATGATCTTGGCTTACTGCAACCTCTGCCTCTTAGGCTCAAGGAGCTTCCCACCCCAGCCTCCCAAGAAGTTGGGACTACAGGCCTGCGCCACCATGCCCAGCTAATTTTTGCATGTTGTGTAGAGATAGGGTTTCACCATGTTGCCCAGTTGTTCTCGAATTCCTGGGCTCAAGCAGTCTGCCCACTCCAGCCTCCCAAAGTGCTGGGATTACAGGTGTGAGCCACCATGTCTGGTCTTTAGATTCTTTAAACAGATTTCAACACGGGAATATACAACTATATTAAAACACCAGCTTTCAAAGCTTGTCCGTATATTGCAGGGGTATGGACAGGATGTGTCCTAGTGATTATTTTTTCTACTCAGCCATTAAATTAGAACCTGTGTTTTTGCATGCATTTTGGTGTTTTTCTAGCAATGAATTTCAAGTCTATCCAGATAGACCCATTACAAAAGGAAAAAAAAATTGCATAGGCTTGGAAAGTAATATTTTAAAACCATTCAGATTTCAAAGATTGATAAAGACAAGTAAGCAAAAGATTATTACTTGAACAGAGTGGCCGGAAGACTGAAGCATCAGCACAGTAAGGAAGCCATTAAATTGGCCAAAGAACAATCCTTAGAAACATTGTGGAAAACTTTAGGGGTCAAGTGCAAGCCAGACAAAGTCAAAAAGAGAGACACTGGGGTCATGAGATCTATGATGTGCCCAGTGGTTGTGATGTGTAAAAAATAGAGATGGTACATGGCCAGGCACGGTAGTTCACGCCTGTAATCCCAGCACTTTGGGAGGCTGAGGCGGGTGGATCACCTGAGGCCAGGAGTTCAAGACCAGCCTGACCAACATGGTAAAACCTTGTCTCTACTAAAAGTACAAAAAATTAGCCAGGTGTGCTGGCGGGCGCCTGTAATTCCAGCTACTCGGGAGGCTGAGGCAGGAGAATCGCTTGAACCCAGGAGATGGAGGTTGCAGTGAGCCGAGATAGCACCATTGCACTCCAGCCTGGGCAACAAGAGTAAAACTCTGTCTCAAAAAAAAAAAAAGAAAAGAAAATAGAGATGGTTCATTAGATAGAGGCAGCGTTGAATTCAACAAGGACTCAGAGTGAAAGGGTAGAGACAACTGCAGTTGGGGAAAAGGCAAATCAGAGAGAGGCAGCTACAGAGCAGAGGCCTGTTGTTGATGGAGATGAGCATTCTTTGGCAGTGTCCGGAGGGGTGTGACAAGCAGAGGTGAGATAGAAGAGTACTGTTTAATGTGGGGCAAAGAAAGGCAGGTGTATAGAGATAGATAACTCTTGGTTTGAGTCTGAGTAATTTATGAGGCCTTTGGCAAGGAAGACTGTGACCTGAATATTACAGAAGGAGGTCAGTATTGCAAAAGATCAGTGTTTGGATGGAAGATATCTAGTTTGTGAGGATAGTTGTTATTTGACAGGAAATTCCAAGTTTGCCGTGTAGATTTGAAGATAGGTTGAAAATACAAAAAAAAAAAAAAAAAAAAAAAAAAAGGTGTTTATTCCTCCTTCCCCTGGACCACTCCTCCCCAGGACTTCAGAGACAGTAATGCATAGAAAGGGAAACAGAAATGAATTTCCTTTAGGCAAGAGAGCTTTGTAAGGCCGAGCTACTTGGGAGCCAAGGAGAAGCTGCTTCTTTGTGACAAAGCAGGGGTTGAAGTTGCAGTGGTTGCTAATATTCTGCTGAATGAGCTCTGAGGTGCATTCATTTTATAGGAGGGGTGGTTTCGTTTTCTAGCTGGTCCATACTAAGATTTTTATTTTTGTCTACAGGCAGTAGAGTAGATAAGAGGAACTCAGTAGAATTGACAGAATTGTCAGGCACAGTAACACAGCCTTGATTATGTCTTTCGTTTGCCGTTTTCATCAACTCTTCTTGGGAACTTTCGTAGAACTGGCCCAGACAATGTGATTAGGATGGAAGAGTTCTTTGAATGACTTGGCAGCAGTGCAGTGCGAAATCTATTATTATTTCTCTTAAAGTTTTTCTGCCAAAAAAGTACATTTCCATTTGTGTCAACAAGATGTGAATTAAAGAATAAAGAAAAATGCAGAAAAAATTACATGTGTTCTCAACTTAAACCAAAGGTGCAACATTTTAGAGTATCAGAGTAGTCATTGAGACTGTAAAGTTCAGTTGAATCTATCCCTGAGGGGTTGGGTTGAGATCGCAGCCTCTTTGAAAATTTGAACTAGAGACTTTCCAAACCAATTCTTGTTCAAACCTCCTCTACAAAGGTAAGCCTGGTCTATCCCCCCACAGTCAAAACCTGAAGAAGAGGCCTTTCCTCTCCATGGCCTTTACCTAATGTTTACATTACTGCTTACCCTGTGTTAACCCTGTAGCCTCTGCGTCCCTTCTCAGGTAGTTTCTCATCTAGAAAAATCAGTAATGTGGGCCTTGAGGGCAGCAGCCATTCTGTTTTTACTCCCCTTAGAAGGTCAGGGTTCATGCTGGGACACACGGAGCCCTTGACATGGATGAGTCTGTATGAATTGAATGTGAAGAACCAACCTGGGCTGGTTTGTATTGTTTGTGTTGACTCAGCCTGCTCTAAACCCTATTACCCAATTTTTGACACAAGAGGTGGAAACACTCCCTCAGAATCCTGACTACATTTGTTTCTGCCTCTAGCAAGGAGTTTCCCAATTATGTGGGAAGAGGAACTCTCAAAACTTTATTCTTGGATATGCCTCTTTCATCCCTATTAACAAATGTATGTGCCACACTAGGTCATATAATTGTCAGGTTCAGAATCATAGGAGACTGATTTGATCCCTGACTTACTAACTTTGTGACTTTGGAGAAGTTAATTTCTCTAAGCCTATTTCCGTCATCTGTAGGATGATATTGCTGTCTGCCTCATAGTTATTTTAAGATTTCAAAGCATTCATATTAAATACTGTGGAGATGATAGTTACCTTATTTTTTGAATATTTTTCCTAGGTGTGTTTCATAGTTTTACTAATGGGTGTTGTTGTCATATCCTGAGACAAGGTAGGTCAGAGGACAACACGACTTTTCTGCAAAAGACCAGCTAGTAAATGTTTTCAGATTTTAACAGGCGATTTAGTTTCTATCACTACTCAACTCTGCTGTTGTGGCTCCAAAACAGCTGTAGACAACATGAAAATGAATGAGCCTGGCTGTGTTCCAACAAAACATTATTTATGGACCTTGAAATTTAAATTTCCTATCATTTTTGCCTGTTGTGAAATATTATTCTTCTTTTGGTTATTTTTCATCCATTAAAAAGTTTGAGATATATTTGAGCTCACAGGCTGTACAAAAGCAGTCAGAGGATACAGGTTGTCAGTAATCACCCTAAAATAATTTGCTTGATTTTTCTTAGTAAATATTGTTTATGGAGAAACAAAATGTATTCCTCGGGAAAATTTCAAGTGTCTCAAGTCACTGTAGAAAACCAAGTAGAAGGGATTGATGTTTTCAACAGATATTTGAAGAACTAAGCATACTTGTCTAGTAAATGTTGATTTGGGGCTTGACCAGAGATACGTTGAAGAAGTGGGTAAAAGAGATGACCAGTTTTAATTATAGATTATTAACTTGGAGCTTTTTTTCTGGTTGTAAAACAGCAGTTATTCCCTCCTAAGCTGTCTATCCTGATGCTTGGTGAAGGCGTCCACTGGTCTGTTGCCTTAGAGGTTACGGAGCTCTCTTCTGCACCATCCTTTTTCCTAGGACATCTATGAGAAGTTGGCTGAAGTTGATAGGAGATGTCCCATTTTATATAAGGGGAAGCAGCAGCCCAAAGAAATTCTGTGACTTGCCTAACATTAGACATTTCTAGCAGTATAGGTTGGGCATCCCTGATCTGAAAATCTGGAATCCCAAATGCTTCCAAATCTGAAACTTTGGGAGCACCAACGTGATGCCACAAGTAGAAAACTCTACACCTGATCTCATGTGAGGGGCTGCTGTCAAAACTTTGTTTCATACACAAAATTATTAGAAATATTGTATGCCGTGACCCCAAGGCTATGGATATGAGGTGTATGTGAAGCATAAATGAATTTTGTGTTTAGACTTGGGTCCTATCCCCAAGATATCTCATTATGTATATGCAAATATTCCAAAATCTGACAAAATTTCAAATCCGAAAGACTTCTGGTCTCAAGCATTTTGAATAAGGGATATTCAACCTGGACATCCAAGGCCTGGAAATCCAATGCCTGGCCCAGGGCTCAATTATCTTGCCACCCTGTTTTGCATTATCACACAGATTATCAGGTTAGTGATAGTACCTAGCTTTCATAAATGCCACAGTTTATAAAGCTCTCTTTCATATGCTATTATGTTTAACCCTCACAATACCCTATGAAGTAAGAGGGGCAAGTTTTACTATCTGCCTTTGGTAGAGGAGGCAGCTGACAACCTGATATATTTTAATGTACCCTGGGTCACATACCGATTAAGTGCTAGGAGCAAGTCTGGGAGCTAGGTTTTCTAACTCCTTTTATTACACTGTGCTGCCTTATTATACTACATGGCAGTTGATGCCATTAATACCCAAACATTAAAAAATAAATTGAAAAAGAAATAACATCCTGCCATGGTTCCAGCCCTTGGCAGTGATTTTTAAGTGGAGGTTTGTGTTATGAGAATTTTTGCTTTCAAAATACTGCATGCACCTCCTGTAAAAGGTTGAATGAAATGATTTTAGTTTTGGTAAGTGGCCCATGCACGTTTATTATTTATTTATTTAGGTCTTTTTTGCTCCAGCTCCTTTGGCTAAATGAAGCACTGCTGTATTTTTATTGCATACCCCATCATTAAAAGAAATTGAAAAGACGCTTGTTAGTTTTAATATCGCATGGATGGAAATATATCTGGCACATTTAGGAACAGTTACAATTCCTAATAGTGCATTTTAAGAAGTAGTCTGGTTTTGTTCTTGATTAAAAAAAGAGAAAACTTTCTTAAATTTGCTATAATTCGATAATCATCTTTAGTTGGGAAGGGAGAATGTCTCTGTGTTGTATGATTCTGACTTTATTGACTCATTTAGCATTCCTTTCCAGCCAGTGGGAAGGGATTATACTCTTGGGCAGCATGAAGGGCCTTTCATTTGTTGGTAAATAATCCAAGCAAAGCTGCTTCCAAGTGCAAGTCTTTTTTCCTTTTTCTGTAAACCATATGCTTCTTTAACTTTTGGACATATGCCCCTTTCAATAAACTATGTGCGGCTCTAACTGTTGGAGCTATTGTTAAGTTAAGCACAAGCCAAATACTTAGGCTGCTTCTTGCATCTAAGCGTTCATCACAGTCCCCCTGAAGACAGTGTTTTTTTTGTTTGTTTGTTTTGTTTTTTTGCAAAATAGCTATTCAGAACCTGGAAACCCTATAGAAATGGGGAGGTGTGGGGAGAAATAGGGTGACAAGAAGATAATTTAGCCACAGCATGAGAGGTGTCATTTACACTGCAAGATACTAAATGTGCCCAAGGCCTGAGCTTGACAAAAGTAACAACAGCGACAACAGAAGTAGAATGAGAAATTCGAAGAAGTTTCTGAACCATGTTTCATTCATGACTCTGGCTTAAAGTTTACAGTTAAGTTCGTTTGATTAAAGTCTGTAGTATTCTTCCTGACGGCCTTTAGAGGAAGAGGCAGAATAATTTTAACAATGAAAATAGTCTTCAGCTGGGCGCGGTGGCTCACATCACGCCTGTAATTCCACACTTTGGGAGGCCGAGGCGGGTGGATCACCTGAGGTCAGGAGTTCAAGACCAGCCTGGCCAACATTGTGAAATCCTGTCTCTACTAAAAATACAAAAATTAGCTGGGTGTAGTGCTTGGCTCTCTCTCTCTCATGCTACTCAGGAGGTTGAGGCAGGAGAATGGCTTGAACCTGGGAGGCAGAGGTTGTAGTGAGCTAAGATTGTGCCTTTGACCTCCAGCCTGGGCAACAAGAGTGAAAGTCCATCCCAAAAAAAAAAAAATAGTCTTCACATGTACAGATAGAACAGTGGCAAGCAAATGAATGCTCTCAAAAACTCCTCACAGAAGCCACATTTTAGGGGTTAATAGTAATTTATAATACAAAGGAAAGTCATGCCAAGCTGGGCACTTACCTGAAGGGTGACTTTAAGCCAGTCGCTTAATCTTTGTTAAACCTCAGGACGTTTAGCTGAATAACTGGTTGATGATACTGCATCCTGGACAGGTCTGTGAAGATTCAGTGGGATTAACGCATGTGGAGCACATAGCACTGGCCTGGCGTTTAGTAAGTGCTCAATAAATGTGAGGCGCAGAGTATAGTCTAGTGTTGTTAACGCATTTCCCATTTATGCCTTTCCAGAGTGGGCTGGTAAAAGCTGAGTTAACAAGTTTTCAGGGAGGGACCTTAGGGTATTTTTGACATTTTGGGGAGGTGTTTGCATATGCATAGGAGATAATTAAAATGATATAATTTTACATAGGCTAATTTATCAAAATGATATAATTTTACATAGGCTAATTTTACATAAAATGACATAATTTTACATAGGCTAATTTATCAAAATCTTTTAAAGTCCTATACCAGCGGGGGGTGTTATTAATATGTGCACACCTAGCCTCCTGTATCTTAGCTATGTTCTATTGTTTCAAGGGATGGAATAAATAGTTTAAAGCAAGGCTTCAACAGATAAACTTGTGGGATAATTTTTCAATTTGTATGTACTTAATTTGAACTTCTTTAGATAATTATAGTAAAGGTCATACATAGAATTAAAAATAAAAGACAAACAAATCAGCTTTTTCTGTACTCTAAATGATTGAGAAATATAAGTTAAAAATCCATACAAATATTTTTATGCTAATTGGTGCATTTCCTTGACATTTTTCTTTTTGTTTAGAAATTTTGTATAGAAATAATTATATATTTCTCTTCCTCCCACTTCCTTTCGTCCAAAAATTCGAATCCTTAAACAATTTAGAGACATGGCAGCCTGGTGGCTAAGTGAGTGAACTCCTGGGGCTGTGGTGTGAGGAAGGAGAGCAGCTAGCGTCATGTCTGTGGCCATGAAGGTGTGCTTTGTGAGAGGTGAAATTTTGTGGCCTTTCTCTCCTCCCTCATAGGCAGTACCTGAGCCATTATCTGAGATTTTGTAAAGGTACAGACTTTTGTGGCTAACTCACTAGAAGCAGGCTGCTTAGATACAATTGTGAAGAATCAAAAGGTGGTATTTTCATTTGGGTTTCTCAAATGCACATTTCATAGCTGAGGTCAGTGGGCCATAGCTAAAGGGGGTTTCTGTTGCAGAAACCTGACCCGGGCAGCACCTGGCCTTTGCCCAGAGGCTGATTGAGTGTAGGTGAGCCTTGCTGTCTGTCCCTCATGGGGGTCATGTGGCCTCTAGCTCCTTTTGGTACAATAATGGTATTATCGTGATATTTAAATGCACTCTCCAGGAGCGCCTGATTCCTGCAAGGGCATAAGCATGGTCTCTAAAATGTTATTAAAAATATAATACCACCATATGCTCAGGCTTTCTCATTCCGTGATCTTCTAAAAACAAAAACATGCAACATAAACACACCAGATGCAGCCCATTAAGTTTGTGTTCACTTCTGCAGTTTGGAAAAATGTTAGAAAGGTTAGGAAATAGAACTTTGCTGGTGATGGGAGGAGGGTGTGGACCTGGGAACCAGCATCTGAAAGCACTGCCAAAGGAAGAAGCTGCTGCACACAGAGGTTTATTCCTTCGTGCCTTTAAAGGAAAACCAAGCTGTAAGTCCTCTGGCCACACAGGGGCTGGGCCAGATCTCCAGAGTGATAGGATCATTCCCATCGGAGGATGCAGCCAGGTGGCAGCAACCTGGACACTCTGGCCTTCTGAACAGGCCTGTCATTGTTTCTGCTTAACTGTTGGCCGTGGATCTCGTTATGGAATCTTAACTGCTCAGGTCTGTATGTGCAAAGTAAGAAAGAGAGACTCTTCATTCTTTGCTTGTCAAAGACTAAAACTGAATTCTCAAAGAAATCTCGAATACCTAAATGCTCATGAGACTGTGACTCACAGAGAGAGATAGTCATAAATGTGCTACCAAGCAAAAGGCAAAATTTTTGACCCTCCAGGGAATTTATTGTACTGCCTTTGATGCCACTAATTAACTCACTCTGTGTAAGCAGCGACTGGCAACTAATAGCAGACTAATAGAAGAAGCTCCATGACGTTGTTTTAGAATTCTTAATTCAAGAAAGAGTCTTGGCAAGAGCTTGAAAAATAAGGTAGATCTCCTCCCTTTTAAAGGCGAACCCGCTGGGGCCCTCAAGGGTACTGTTTTGTTTATATTTTCCTGTTCTCAAGTGCATGCTGGATTTGGCAAGTCTTTCTGTAGGGAGCTTTGAAAGATGGTTAGTACCCTTGGGTTTGTGCTTGCACTTAAGTGCCTGTTCAGGGCAGTGTTCAACCAGGTCACAGCAATCTTCGCTGACCTCGTCATCAGTGTTCAGAAGCATCCTCCCGGGGGTAGAGATGGGGCTGCAGACCTCTTATTTGTGAGGGTTCAGGGGCACAGGAAAATGTATGGAAACCCTATGGGCTACAGGGCATACTTGCTGAAGCTTCAGACAAGCTGATAGTGTTATCTGCTCATCATTGTCATTATCTTTTTAAAAAAAAAATACAGGAGGCAGCTTGCTCTGCATGCCATCAAAGCTTTCTGCTGCAGTGAGGGGAACAGCCATTTCAGGTTTTACATTTTCGTTTATCTGAATTCTCATCTTGCTCTCTCTGCCCACTCCCTTCTATCCCAGGGACCTCTTTTGAAGTTGAATGGAGCTCTGTAAACTGAGCAGTTGGGGAGTGAGGTGAGAATTTTGCCTTGGTTTGAGCTCTAACCTGCTGCTCTTTGGAGCAAATGGTTTCCAGTGGAAGCCATTGGGATATTGGTCAGTCTAGATTATGTTTTATTCTTTGGTAAAAAGAACAGTAGAAATATGAAAACAATTAAGCTACTCTATGGCTCTGATGGAGGGCATTTTCTTTTTCTTTCTTTTTTTTTTTTTGGAGACTGAGTTTCACTCTTGTTGTCCAGGCTGGAGTGCAATGGCGTGATCTTGGCTCACTGCAACCTCCGCCTCCTGGGTTCAAGCGATTCTCCTGCCTCAGACTCCTAAGTAGCTGGGATTACAGGCATGCGCCACCACACCTGGCTGATTTTGTTTTTTTAGTAGAGATGGGGTTTCTCCATGTTGGTCAGGCTGGTCTTGAACTCCTGACTTTGGGTTATCTGCCCACCTCGGCCTCCCAAAGTGCTGGGATTACAGGTGTGATCCACCACGCTTGGCCTGATGGAGAGCATTTTCTACTTTCTCTCCTTTCACCCTGGGACCTCCTGGTTGGTGAAAGTAGGAAGAGAGAGCAATCCCATAATCTTTGAGGGAGAGTTGTCACTTGAATTTCCCCAAGGCTTCAAATTCTGCTGCAGCCCTCTCATGTTGCAGGCCTGGCAGTGCAGTTTAAAGGTTGCAAACAAAGCTGAGTGCTTTCTCCTGATCCATCTGGGCCCCTCCCTCTGTCATCCGTCATTGTCAATGGGAGATGTATGTGTAGCTGCACAAGGGCAAAGTCTGACCCCGAGGGTATTGGAAATGTTCTTAGAGTGGGCATTGTTTGCTCACGCCCTTTGGAAGCCAAGCTCTAGACATTCTAGGGAGCAGCCCCTGGCTTTGGCAGAACTGCAATCTAGATGGAAAGAGGAAATATTCTGCTTTTTAAAACTACAGGAACTTTATTCCCCCTTCCTAGCGTAATTCTGCAATGCTTTTGAATATACTTAGCCTCTTCTCTTTTTCATTTCTGATCTCTCTTTGGTCAGTCTTGGGGAGAATTCTGAAACAGGGAGCGAGGACTTGGATTCCGTTGGTTTTTATTCAAAGAGCATCAACATGTAAATAACCAAAGAAATAAAAGCTGATAAGA
Organism: Homo sapiens; assembly: GCF_000001405.40. Lineage (NCBI taxonomy): Eukaryota > Metazoa > Chordata > Mammalia > Primates > Hominidae > Homo > Homo sapiens. Next base: position 42,154,524 of record NC_000007.14, on the reverse strand, counting down.
TGCAACAAATGAATAATAGGAAAAAAATGAAATAATGCTCTTTGCAAACACAGCGAAGCAATTTCCTGGGAGGAAAGGAGAGACGATTATGCTCTGTGTCTTGTTCAGGACAGGAGGGTGGGGCCCCAAGCTTCTGGAGACACATTAAAAATGCCTGGAACACACAAAGCCCCTGGCCGAGTCCTGGAGTGCGGTGGAGAGGGTGTGCAGTGCTGAGTGGGGCCTGTGTGTATCTTTGCGCGTGGTAGGGGGAGGATTGCACCTGTGCGGGTCCTCCACGTGGGTCCAGTGTCTCCCCATAGATTTGTCATTTGGGCTTCTGTCGGTGTTTCCCAGGAGTGGATTTATGTTGTCAAAAACTTAATGGGAGAGTGTCTCAGTTTTGAAATTTTCTGTGCATAGCAATGTCATTCCTTTTCTTTTTTTTTTTTTCTTTTTACTGGTGGTAGTAGTGGATGTTGGGGCACATATCCAGGTATCATTCCAAAAGCCTACCCAGGAACAGAGCTCTTGTCCTGTTAACAGGGGACAGGGAGGTGTGGATTCAGTAAAGCATACTGGGAAGTTTCTTTGCATCACTTACTCACCTGGGACATGACGGCTAGTTTCTGAGCTGGGCCTAATACCTTGTCCTACCGCCATCATTGGGTTGCTGTGAGGATCACATGAGATGATGTAAATAATGATGGGAAAGGGTTATTTCTTTTCTTAAGGATGGGGAAGATGTTTGCTTGTGAGGGGTCCAGATTAGTCAACAACATATTTATGGAGCCTCAGTCCTGTATTTTAATTCATTTGAACGTGACTTTATTATATCATTCAATATAGAAGTTACAAGGTTTCACAAACTCAGACCTTAAATATGGAAATAGTATTTTCTTGTTAGAATCTCATTTGGCTAGAAATCTGAGTATCCTCCGGTCTTTCCCCCCACCCCCCCTTAACATTTTGTTGCCTCCTCCCTGCCCGCCCCATCCTCCCTTCATTTTGGCTGGCTGCAACCTGAGTGCCACTTTTCTGGGAAAGCCTGATATTCTGACTTCAGTTTTGTAATTTAATGATGGAGAGTTTCCTTAGTAAACCAAATTTAGAGTCCTAGAATGCTTATCTTATATCCAGACCTTGAACATAAAAGGCATTTTATACCCGCAATTGTTCATTTAATGAGCAATTGCAGAGTGCAGGCCGGTTAAGGGATTGAGCTATATGCACTATTATTGCAAGAAGTATTCCGAAATACCAGAAATAGGACGTAAGCTCTGATCAGGGAGACTGCGAGCACAATTACCTTCTTTTCAAATCCTTCTGTGACACTGCGGGAGGAAAAAGGACTTTGAAACTTGAAAGGAAAGAGCTTGCTTTCAACCTCAAAAGCTAGGAGGAAAGGGCTCTGAAATTTGCTCAGAATTCCCAATTCACCATTAGCCTGTTTCTTCCTTTAGCCTCAAGGCATTCTCCGCTTTTTGAAAAGATGTTAAGAAATTCAGTCACAATAGAGAGCCTAGTTTTGAACATGTTTCACTCGGTCCATTGAGGTCTAGGCTCCAGCCTTTGTGTGGGGTGAATTGAGCTGAGCGGCTAGCTGGTTGGAGAGAGGTGAATGAGGAGTCGCTGTGCACTCGCAAATTCTGGCAAAGAAAAAAGCTCACCCCTTCCTTTATTTTACAATATGCATTCCTGTACAATCCTGCTAGTGGCAATATGTGGAGTGGAGCCTGTTCTTAAGTCAATACAGAGTACTTGGTTTATAGCAACTCTTGTTAAGTTTGTCTTGTAATTGAAGCTGCTGTTGACCTTGCTTGGGGACCATTTGTAAAACCGTTTATTTAGCATAAACTGAAATAATAAACCCTCCTTCTCTCAGGCTGATTGTGATAGGGTGACATTAGTTTGATTTAATGATTAGCCGCCTGACCCTTCTGCTGGAGAGAGAGGCTTGAATAGGGAGAGTTCACTCGGAAGCACTCAGAAAGAATACTAATGAGCTTGTTAAATTTAGCATGGCTCCAACCACTTTTAATTCCTCTAATGGGAGCAGCATTGCCTGGGAGAGGGAGAGGGAGAGGGAGGCAGAGAGATACCGAGAATGTTCCTAGAGGGTCTGCGCAGCTAGAGAGAGCTCACCAAGAGAAGTTGGCGCAAAGTAGCTAGCCAGAGCCTGGGGACTGTGTTGTAAGTATTGTCTGTTCTCTTATACTCCGCATCTTCTAGGTCTTGGGACAAGAGAGGAGTAGTGGGTATTAAAATGGGTTTTAAGGGAAAATCAATGTTAAGTGGGAAAAGGGGGTGAACACGTGTACTGTGAGCTCCTAATCAGCTAATTTTGTTAGGTGACAGGAGGTGTCCTTAGTTAGTGATGCCTGGCAGAGTTTTGTTTTTATCTTGAAGGAATCACCTGAAACTTTTCTTTCAAGTCATGGACAGAAAAAAACAAAACAAAACAAAACAAAAAAACCCGAAACCTGTTCCCTCGGTTACCATGAGAAATCGGATAGATGTCTGTCTGCAAGCGCCCACAAGTGCGTGTTCGAGTCCTGCTTCATGCAGCAACGTGATTACCTTCTCCAGACTTTTATTGCAAACGTCCTAAGCACTGCTTGCAAGGACCCCACTTTTTTTTTTTTCTGAGTTTCTAGCACCAAGAATATCTGACTTGATGTCACTTGCTTTTGGATGAGTTTGGAAATTCTGGGACAGTTTCTAAAACGTGATGCTTTGGGCAGCTCTCTGGGGGCAGGGATTTGTTAACTTCCACTTGAGCATGGATATGAAAAGAGAAGGAGGTACAAAGTGGGATTATGATGACAGTATTTAAAGTCATTTTTTCCTGAAAGATTTTAGTGAATTGCATGTTTCGGTTTGACCCCCGAGCTTGCAGCTGTTAAACATAGAGAAGCGGGAACAGTTGCCTTGTGTTTGGCTGTTAAAGTCCATTGGCAGATGCTCTTGGAGCAGTGGGCTGTTTGCTTACATTTTTGCAGCAGACTTCTGCCTGTTGCCATGGTGGACAGTGTGTTTCTGTCAATAATTTGGCCTGGCGTAGCCTGTCTGCACTGACTCTCAAACTTTATTGAACAACTCGGCTCAACTGAACAAGATTAGACAGCTTTCGTCTTTTGGCTTGCTGAAGTGGTTGCTAAATTTATAAGAGCAGGCAGGAATATTGCTTGGAAAGTGTCCCTTTCACTGTATACAGAGTGCTTTCAAGCCTCGTAGCTGTTTGTATTGTGGAGTGTGTATACTGTCAGGTTTTCATATGAATGCCCGTCAAAAGCAACTTGGTACAGGAGGTAAACTTCATGAAGTATTTGTCTGCTGGAGTTTTCCTTTTGGAGCGGGGAGGTGTGGTTGGGTAAAATTAGGGTAGCACTGACTATTGTAAAAGCAAGTTTCCTGATGGAAGTTTTCACGTAAAAAAAATTCCTGCCTGCATTTAACTTTACTAAGGGAATAGTAATTTTAATTTAATTTTTTCCATATTAAAAATGTGCACTTCGGTTACTTCTTGTTATAACTTTAATATTTACTTTTGTTGGGTGAACTCTCATTAAGAAAATCATTGAGCTAAAAGGTACCCTCATTTCCACTCACCCTCCCCACTCCGCCGCCCCGATTACCCTCCTGAGTTTATTCTCTCAAGAGGTTGGGGGAATGGTGGGAAGAGTCTCTGGCCAGACCATAACCCATTCATTATTCAGTTATTTGTGAGGTTGGATTCAAATGCTCATCATAAACATGTAGTTTTTAAGACAGGGTTTATTATAGGGATGCCGTTTTAAGAGAAGAAAAGTTAATTTATTCTAGGACAATTAAGTCAAGGAAATCCTGTTTTAAACCTGGAACAGGTTAGCCGAGTTTGGTTATTCATCTTTCCCAGAGAATGCTAATTATGTGTCAGAGCCCCCCTGAGGAAGGGTTTTCTGGCCTCCAAATGAAGGTCCCTTTCTACAGAATTTGCACCTCAGTGCTAGAAGTTCATTTCAGATTTAAGTTTGAAATAAAGGCTTTATACAGAGCACAAATTAGTGGAAAATATGACTTGGGCCATTTGTAGGTTATGGGAATTTTTATAAAACTGACATAAGTTTTAGTGTTTTTGACACCCTTTTGCTTTTACGTAACTGCAAAATTCTTATTCTATAGACTGTGAATTTTCTGCTAATGAAGTACAAGGGTGACCTACTGCCTAAAAATATTAGTTAGAGGGGAAAATAAAAATGTATTTTGTCTTTTGTAGTTTGTTTTAAAATTGCAAGGAGCATGGTATGAATTGCTTTCATAGAGATCAATGTGAACATGTGAGATTACAGGATTTTTTTTGTTTTTGTTTTTACTTGATAGATTAAACATATAATTTACCCCTTAATTATAAAGTTTGGGATGAGGATCTGCACAAAACATTATTAAAATAATATTTCACAGTTACCTTGTAGTAGTCAGCAAATTCTCTGTAAAGACCAAAATATACCTCATTGTCTTTTCTGTTCTGCAAGTCATTTGCTAAGGTAAGGAATATATTGCTTAGTTTTCAAGTCCTACACACAGGCAGAAAGACTAAACTTGCTGCTGGCTTTAGGTAGTTCAAGTCCTGAGTCAACATAAATAGTATTTGTTATTTTCGGTTTGTATTTTTATGCAAGTCTGTGTTTACAGTTCTACTTTCTTCTGAATTTGAACAAAGTTATGAAACTGCTAAAGCATTATTCTTATGTTTATTGGGGGAGCCCTTAGTTAATCATATCTGCTTTATGGATTATTTTGAAGATAAATTTGTATATGAGAATAAGATGTGCTCAAGATCTATTTATCTAAAATGCACAACAATATTATTATTTATACCCAAATACAGTTTTTTTTTAAGATAGGAATAGGAAACGGTTTTTACATTAGATGTCTAAGTGGTACCTGGACAGCAGCTTTCTTTCCATCAGCACTTATCTGCCAGAGCACAGTCTGTTGATTAAATGTGGAACTTGTTTAGGAGCATGTAGTTTAGAGTTCATGTATGATTCAAAGAGATGAATTGGTCCACTTGTTGTGGGTTCACATAGGCAGTGTGATTTAATTTTATGCATGGGTTCTTTGATCTGCTATTATAGAAAGGTCATCCAATCACATTTGCAGAGAACCATAGTGGAGAAATGGAAAGTTCTTACTGATCGAAGGGAACTGAAGTATTAGGAAACTGGAATACCCGCTGTATATGGAATTTCTTCAAGCTGTTTCTTACATGTTTGAAGAAATGTATGGACCCATCAGAGCATGGACACATATCAACATCCCCCACACCTTCCTTCCTCACCCTCAGAGCCATCTCACACCTGGACTTTCAGTCTCACTCTGTGTTCCTCTTAGGTCTCAGCTTTGTTGTATGGACAGAAGCAGGAAGTATCTCACGAGAGGCTCTGTAGGTTTTCATGATTGGCACCTTTATCCCTTTTCACCAATGAGTTTTCTGTTCCATTTTTGGCTCTGTCAAATCTCTTGCTGGGTTACAAATCTGACTTAAAACAACAAAACAGCATAAACTTTTGGATAGCTTCCTAATAGGTCATTCTCTAGGAGCAAAGGCCCTACATCCCCTGGAGCAACCAGAGCCTCAGTGGGTAGCTGGAAGGACTTTGTGTCACCCCGGAGGCCCCGCGTCCCCAGGCAGGCAAAGGGAAGCTGGACATGCACAGTCTTAGATTGGCAAAGGTTTCAGTTCCACGTGGGACCTGCAAGATGTTGGCCAGCCCATGAGCAGAAACCTCATGGGCAGACCCATCTAGAAGCTGGTGATGCCAATTTGCCAACCCCTACATCTCAGTTTAATAGGCTCATTTCCTGCTCTCCTTCATCCTTCCCTGTGTATTTGTGTACTTTGGACCCTCATTCATAAACAATTTTGTCTGCAAAGATCCCATCCCAGCCCTGTAGCTCTCAAAGTTGCTGTGAATGAGAAAGATACTTCTTTTCCGGGAGAGGGATATCGAGAATGAGACCTAATTGATCATGGTTTTTTAATTGCTCCTTAAAGTAGTTTACAGAGTCTTTCATTTTTCTTCTTTCTTTAGAGGATGAAAGTCCTGGACAGACTTATCACAGAGAGAGAAGAAACGCAATCACTATGCAGCCACAGAATGTCCAGGGGCTCAGCAAAGTCAGTGAGGAACCTTCAACATCGAGTGACGAGAGGGCCTCATTGATCAAGAAAGAGATCCATGGGTCCCTGCCACACGTGGCGGAGCCCTCTGTGCCGTACCGCGGGACGGTGTTTGCCATGGACCCCAGGAATGGTTACATGGAGCCCCACTACCGTAAGTGCCCATGCCAGTCGGCACTTGTTCAGGAGCTATGGGGAGGGCTGTGTGTGTGTGTGTGTGTGTGTGTGTGTGTGTGTGTGTGTGCGCGCTTTATGAAGTTTTGGCTTGTATAATTTATTAAAAGGTGTAATTTTCTTTCCACTTTCCTTCTTACTTTCCCTACTTCTTTCCCATTCTTTTTAGAGAGAGATGTTTTCTTACGTCTCTAAGCAACATCAGTCTTCAGTGGGGCGGCCTTCAGGAGAGTGGTCCATTTGTGACTAATCCACATGAGACTTTTGTTGAGAAGTAGAACTAGAGTTACTCCATCCAAACAGATGCTGCAGGAGAAAAATTTGTTGTTATGAAGTTATGAAAGCAGGCTGCATTAAGAGAAGTGCTCAACAGCCGCAATTCCCATTTTTAATGATTTTTTAATGTAATGATTTTGCCTATTCCCATTTTTGATGGTTTGTAAAAACAAACCTCTTTTAACAAATCTGTGCTAAATTCCTTAAAATGGAAGATTTTCCTTTGTGCTGTATTTTCCTCTCTAACCAGCGTGCCAGACACATCAGAAGCTCCTTTCTCAGCACTAATCACGTTTAAGAAATTAACTAGGACTCTGAACTCATGTATGGGATGGTTTTCTCCAACGGCAGAATATAAAGAAAAATGTATAAGGGTTGAGTTTATTTCTGACCTGTTTCTAGTTAAAAAAATACAATTTGGTTGTGGAGTAATGAAGTTCATATTGAGGTGCCAAAGCTTGCAGCTCTTGATTACAGATTTATCACCTTGCCAGGATTCAGACTTGCCATTTAACCTTCCCGGCTCCAATTCCAGATGATCCATTGAGCTCCAGTGAGGGGGACTGGTTTGTGTTTCCCCTTTTCCACATCATTCAGAAATTTTAGTGTTTTAAGGCAAAAGGTCATTAGCCAGATGACTGATTAGTGAGGACAGCTGATTAGTGCATGTTTTTTTGCTCAAGAAAGTGCCCAGGATAAAAGCTAATTTCATCCCTTCATTAGTTGGCTTGCAGCAAAGGGGAATGCTCACTCCTCAGATCAAAGGGCCTCGCATAACCTTAAGTCTCAGCAACCGCTACCCCGCACCACCTCCCCCCCAACCAGATTATATTGTTGGAAAAGATGGAAGCTACATTATTTTTTTTAAGTGGAGAGAGCATTTTTTAAAAAGTGGTCAGAAGCACGGAGGGTAGTTTTCTGGATTCTTCTAAGCTTTTGAAAAAGGTTACAACTTCTCTGTTTCAAAAGTGCTTGTCCATCTTATTTCTGCAGATACAGAAATAAGGAGGAAGGCTATTGGGCTTGTTCCTTCCTTCATTCAGGGTTTACTTAGTTTTATTTTATTCATCTTTCCTTTTAGTAATGAAGGTTTAAAATAGCCTTGGTAGGCTTTTTCTCTGAGCACATTCCTAAGTTTTCTGCATTGTATTTTTATTTGTGAGTCTCTTTTAAACATCATCCATGCAGAAAATGTGAGGGACTCCTACATGCTTTCTACCTGTATTTATAGACCCCAGTAGTAGACTTACTTTTTAAGAAAAATTCAGGCTAGACTCTTAGCCAAAGCTCCCTGCATTGTTTTTGTTCTTATGTGTGAACACAAACTTTTCCCATCTCATATTTATGTTTTGTTGTCTTTTCAAGATGCCCACTAATTAGTGAGGTATTTAATTAGTCAGGACAGCTGAAGAGTACTTCTTTTTTGGCTGACAGTAGTGAGCAGATAACCGTTAACTTTCTCTCTGTGCCATTCAACTTGCAGCTTGTTCTTGGTTCGTTTGTTTTAACGGTTTCCCCCATTGAATCTTCCCGTCCTCTGAGGGGCTGGGAGCTCTCTACACCTGGGACCCTTGTCTTCCTTCAGCGGTGCAAGTGGGACCCATCTCCTGGACCTCCAATGTCCTATTAACTAATGATGGGCACGGGAGAGCTCTTAGGGGGATCTGAATTCATTCATCATCACTCTGTTTTGAGGTTACAGCATTCATAGTGGATTATTCGTTACATTCTCCCACAATATTGTCCAAATCAGTGTTAAAATTATGTGATAACTTATAAACTGTATAAGTTCTCTGTAACCAAATGGCAAATACAATTTTGACCTACCATCCCAATGTACTCCCTAAATTGGTCATAAATTACATTATTATATAGATAATATGGATGGGAAGTCCTAAAGACTGCACAGATTGGCTCAACACTTGGGAATTTGGGTTCAAGGTCCAGCTTTGTCACTTGCTAGCTGTGTGACCTTGACAAGTGTGCTGATCCCTCTAGGAATCCTTTCCTCACTGTGGGATAGGGTGATAATATGACTGCCTGCTCCATGGTGTTCTTGTGGAAATTGAGACAATGCAAATAAAGTATTAACTAAAATCTCTGGCACATGTTAAGTGCCTCAAATGTATTAAGGTAGTTCTTCTCTGCTTTCTCTTCCTCCTTCTCCTCCTCTTTTTTTCCTTCTCTTCTACATCATCATCCTCCTCCTCCTCATCATCATCAATATGTGATAAGTTGACTCTCTAAGTCATGTTTGTGAGGGTTGCACTTGTATTTGATTCAGTGTAGACTGTTTTTTTTTTTTTTCTTTCTTTCTTGCCAGACCTGGTCACCTGCTTGCCTGAGACCAGTTTCTTCTATAACACAGATTAAGAATTGAGCAAACTGCAAACCTGTAACTGTGGTGTCGTTAGAGCTGTGCACTGTGGCCTTCTGAACATAATCTTTTCTCAGTCAACCTCAGTAGATCGACTATAACTTTTTTCTGTTTTGTAAGTGAAGAAATTGTAAAGATTTTAAATGAGTTTGAGAAGTGTTAACATTTTAAATTCTTAGCAGAAAGTGTTTTATGTAACAAATGCAAACTTTAATACATGCAGGAACATAAAAGATATAGTATTATTTATTCATATTGAATATTTAAAGACATCCTAAACTAAGCCTCAGCATCATATGGGATATGACTTTACTTTTTCTTTAGAACTCTGTTGGATTACTTAATCTCCTGCCAGTATCACAAGTATTTTTTGAGATACTTTATAATAAAATCTATCTGCTCACATGGATTTAATTATCCAGGCAAAGCTAATGATTGATGTGAATTGAAGGTGATAAATTTTCCATGAATTTTTTAGTGTATGAAGAAATGCCCTCTTTTTAAAATGAGACATACAGTTTTGGTCACATTTGTTTATCTTGTGGGCATAGCTTGTCTCAGTCGTGGGCCCTGTCAACAATACAAGCGCATTGCAGACCTTCAGTAGCTCAAGTTCAGAAACATCTTTTTAGGCCAGTCCCCTTGCCCTTGAGTTATTTGCTAGCTCTGCTGAGCCGGTCAAAAGAAAAGACTCCTCTAATCCAGTGGGCTGGCCATGTGAACACTCACAGCAATTCCTTCATTTCTCTGTGGTTGGAAATTGTAGACTCTCCAAGATGCCTAATTTGTGTTTCTATATATATGAACTTTGTATTTCTAAAGTGTGGGCAGGCTTCCTGTAAGACCGGAAAAGGGAAAACCATTTTTGTTTTTTTTTCCCCTTCAGAAGGACATCTGTAAAATTTTTATTGCACAAGATTTTATTATATTTGGGTATGCAATGTTGCATCTTCAGAAATTGTAGTTAGGCAAAAATCAAAGTATTTTAGGTTTTGTGGCTTAAAAAAAAAAGAAAAAAGAAAACTCAGGGACAGCGGGCACTTCAAACATTCACAGCATATGTTTAGAATAAAATCTCCCGGGGGGATACGGGGGTATTCTCTCATGAAGGGTCGCAGTGGACGGGCTGTATATCAAGGCGCAAAAGTAGACGTTTTAGATGCATGACTCAGACATGGCGTGGTGTTGACAGGCTTTCAGCTACAGGATCACTGGCGCTTTATAATTTGGGGGAGCGTGGTAGGGGTTAGATTGGAGGACCTGATCTTGTATCAGAGTCAGGGTAAGAAGCCCCATCCTCTGCCCAAAGATTCCTCAGCAATTTTCTTCTGCCCATGCTCTGTCTGTAGCCAGGTATTTCTAACCGCCATCTCTCCCTGCTTTCATTGACTGCCATGCATTTATCTTCTATAAACTTTCAAAGGCAGGTGACATAATAGTTAAAGCATTCCTGTACCCTGGCCGACACTTAACTTTTATTCGCTTCCCTTTTACAGAAAACATGTGTTGCATTGTCTTCTGTCTTACTGTCAAGAGTCTAGTTTTTAAACTCTTCCTGCAGGGATCTTTGTGCAAAGTTTCTCGGATTCACTAGTCATGTCATATTATAGGGTCTCTGCTGGCTTTGGTAAAGGGAGCAGAAAGATGCCTGCTTTTTAAAAAATTTCAGGTCTCCTTTACAGTTTTATAGTTGTGTGAAGGCTGCTTTTCTTCTGCCCCCAACTGCTCCTAAGCAGTAGTTCTTCATGGAAAATATGATTCATTCTTCCATGCAAATGCTTTGATTGAAAACATACCACTGGTATTCTTCCTATGTTCCCCAGCTCAGATGACAGAACTATTGGTTGCTAATTAGCAAAACCTGAGGAATTAGCTTAAAGAAAAAACCCTGAATTTTTAATTGGCTTGCATTTATTTTCTGTGGAAGGCTGTTGTGCTAAGCCCACTTGCATTCTTGTGTGCTAAAAAACTGCATAGATTTTTTTTCTACCTGTCTGTCTTTATATTAGGTGACTTTCCACATCCCTTTAGAAATACATCTTCTGAGTGAATGGAAGAGAGGATGTATATTTTACATATTTAATAGGTACACTTGCTCATACTTCTCTCTCTTACTATCCAAGTGTCATCTTGAGACTGTGAGAGACAAAAATGCCTAAGAGGCATAAATGAACAGTTTTGTCTTGACCAAACTGCAAAGGCAGTGACAGTTCCCTGAGCTCTTAGTTCTCTTCTCATCCAGACTGTCTTTTACATCTTTGGAGAACAGTTGATGAGCCAATCAGAAATGCTTTGTTTTTTTCCGCCCTTTGAAAATTAGATTGTTTAACCAGAAAGACTGATGTTGGGTCACACCCTGGGGGCTTTGCTAGGTCTCTTGCTTCCTAGGCTGTTAGTCTTGAATTGCAGTAAGAGCTGGAGTGAGGAGATCCAAACAAGTCCATAAACCTTTGCAAAACTATTATTTGTGAGCTTGAGAATAGCTCCCTGCTTATTCTTGTCTTTCTCTTAGAAATTCAATAGAATGACCTGGCTTTCTTTTAGTAATCCAGAGGTAATGTTTTAAGACTAGAAACAGTGAGCCACTTACATAGCCTTTTTTTTTTTTTTTTTTTTTTGGAGACAGAGTCTTGCTCTCGCCCAGGCTGTGCAGTGGCGCAATCTCGGCTCACTGCAAGCTCCGCCTCCCGGGTTCATGTCATTCTCCTGCCTCAGCCTCCCGAGTAGCTGGGACTACAGGCACCTGCCACCACACCCGGCTAATTTTTTTTTTTTTTGTATTTTTTAGTAGAGACGGGGTTTCACCATGTTAGCCAGGATCCATAGACTTTTAAAGAGCTGCATTGCAAGACAACTTGGAGCAAAGCAATACAGATTTAGGGATAATTCTTAGTGTTCCAGATTTGAACTGTTGCCAGTGAATCTTGACTACTCTTGTGCCTGATGCGACCGTGAGTCTGCGTATCTCTGTTTTAGGAGATAGTGAATGAAACTGGGAACCAACAGTGAGAAAAGTCCCTGTAGCATTTAGAAAAATTTGTTAACAATTTTATTCATCAATTTTGAGGATAAATTTATTAAAGGAGACTGGGAGAAGCTTGAAGACCACCCAGGTCAGGAAGAGAAAGAAAAGACCAAGAGAGACCGCATTTTTCTAGAGAAAATCACTTAGCCCCTTAGTGCACTGGTCCAGTCCTCTCTTCCCCTGCCGCCTGGCACTGTTCTCTTCTACAACGACTCAGCTCCCATTGGCCACTGCTCTGGTGCTGGCCCTGCCCTTGTTGCCCTGCTTGTATAGTTGTTTCTCCTGGACCAGTTACTTGCTTTCTCTTTGCCTTCAAATCCTGCTTATGTTTAAAGGCCTATCTAACAACCCACCTCCTTGGAAAGTCTCTAAGAGCCATCTTACAAGGATATTTTCCTACCGTGGACACTTGAGTAGTCATGTCATTCTCACCTTTAAACACATCACAGCTACTTCCTTGTGTTGCCCCTACCTGGTGGCCCGACCTCCTTTGGAATAATGTGATTAGTCCGAGGCAGTACTTACTTTCTGTGGGCACCAAAACTCCTAGGGTAGGACTGGGGACTCATGCGTGCCACCATAGGGCAGAGAAGTTGGGAGCTGCTCAGATGCTTATCACAGTCACCATGGAGGTGGAATTCCAGGTGACCCATGCTCACAGCCTGCCCATCAGAGTGGCTTCTTGACCACCTGAAGAGACATTGCTGTTTCTGCTTCCCTTCTACAATTTAGTTATTGTACACAACCTCTGATCCAAACTTAGTCACCTAATCCTTCCTGAGAGCAGGCAATGTACAAAGTATTTATGGTACATTTGTACATTTGTAAAATCTGCATTTTTTTATTTTTTATTTTTGAGGCGGAGTCTTGCTTTGTCACCCAGGCTGGAGTGCAGTGGTGCGATCTTGGCTCACCGCAACCTCCGCCTCCCAGGTTCAACCCATTCTCCTGCCTCTACCTCCCAAGCAGCTGGGATTACAGACATGTGCCACCTCGCCTGGCTAATTTTTATATTTTTAGTAGACACGGGGTTTCGCCATGTTGGCCACGCTGGTCTTGAACTCCTGACCTCAGGTGATCCGTCCGCCTAAGCCTCCCAAAGTGCTAGGATTACAGGCTTGAGCCACCTCACTGGCATAAGGCAGGGACTTCGATTCTTTGGAATAAGCTGGCATTTCACTCATAGACTTGGATGGGGACCGTAATTTTAAGTACTGTAAGATTAACACAGGAGAGCTGCCTCTCTTCCATGACACCCATCTGGCATCGAACAAGTAGGTATTTTCCCTGTGGTTAAGGGGAGCATGATGTTTGTTTGCCTTTTTCCAAATTTCAGTGATGTATCTTGTCTTCAACAGCCTCTAGGCAATTCATATTTTGGTAACATCTTCCCAACTTAGCATCCAAGTATGCGTCTGATCCATGTTGATGGGAGGCCCCATCTGCAACTCAGTTCAGGATCATGAATCCAGTTGCTTAAAGATTCCATGTAATTATTTATCTTTTCTAATTTGGCACCCACCCAAATGGCACTTTTTTAGTAGTTGCTTGTGATTTCTTTCCCTCCGTCCTTTCCCTCCCTGTTTCCTTCCTTCCTTCCCTCCTAGAGTAAAGCATGAGAAACAGCAACTCTTGCCATTTCATAGCCATCTGCTAACAGCTTTCCCTCCCGCTTTCTTAATAGAGGCAACATTATCCTCGGCCCTCCTCCTTTTTCTTGTATAATTAAAGAATGTTACCTTTGATGTCTCTTGAAGCTGCAATCTCCCATCCTGCCTTAGCTTTCTTGATCTCATACCTGTAAATTTGTGCTGTATCTTCATAGTTCTTAGGGAAAGGGCTTGATTTTTCTCTGTGTGCTGTTCACAGTTTGGGTTAATTTAGAGTAACCGATCTGGCATTTTATTGCTCTCTTCTCCCTGTCTTCTGATATAGTTTGGATTCTTGTTGTACGCTTTGAAAAGGATCCAACTTCCTCAATTCTTTAAGCTATTAAATTTGGGTCTATCCTACAATGGACTGTTCTCATCATTCTAATGTCTTCACTTCTTTTGAGGGGGGCCAGGCTTTTCATTAACCTCAGTTTTTCAATGAGTTTCTTCTTCTTAGATCAAAATAAAGCAAGATTCCATTTGATTCCTTTAGCTATTTATTTTTGTGTTCATTCTGTCAGTCATGTATTAATTGAGCATTTGCTTATTGAGTGTCACCTAAGTGCTAAACAGTGTTGAACAAAATGAGCAAGTGCCTGCTTCTGTTGAGCTTTAGGCCATCGAAAAGTCAATACAAGGGAGCTGTCAGGGGAGAGAGAGTGAGGAGTCCTTTGGGAGCAGGTGAGGGACTTACCCAGCCTTGGCAGTCCAGAAGGCCTCCCGGAGGAGGTGATATCTGAAAGAGGTGAGGAAAGAGTAATCTAGGCAAAAAGGAGCATTTGTCAAGGCCTGGAAGCCAAAGGAAGAACTGACATCTGCAGGACTTGAGAAGAATCTTTGTGGTTGGAGGGTGAATTTCAGGAGGGAAGTGGCAAAGACAGGGCTCAAGAGGTCCAGGCCAGCAGGCTTCTGTGAGGAGCTGTTTGTTTCTCTCCTGCAAGAGTCTGGGGTGATTACTAAGACTTGTTCCATGGCCCTTTGTATATTTAAACAGACCTTTGGGTTCCCAATCACTTACCCAGAATTTCTCCATTGCAGAATTGAATTCACCCCTGCTTTCAATTTGACAGCGTGCGACTCCATCGCAGGTCACAGGGCTCCCCTCCCAGGCGTCCCTGGCTGGGCTGCTGTCTCATTGGTCTTTAAGGATGTGCTGCTGCATTCCTTTGTGTAGCAGGTCATATATATATTTTTTTGAGATGGAGTTTCGCTCTTGTTGCCCAGGCTGGAGTGCAATGGTGTGATCTCGGCTCACCGCAACCTCTGCTTCCCGGGTTCAAGTGATTCTCTTGCCTCAGCCTCCTGAGTAGCTGGGATTACAGGCATGTGCCACCATGCCACGCTAATTTTGTATTTTTAGTAGAGATGGAGTTTCACCATGTTGTCCAGGCTAGTCTTGAACTCCTAACCTCAAGTGATCTGCCCGTCTCGGCCTCCCAAAGTGCTGGGATTACAGGCGTGAGCCACCATGCCCAGCCAGCAGGTCATATTTTTTCTTCAAGACAACACAATTTATTTTTACTTGTTCTCAACTGCTGAGCTGCTCTGTAATAGGTAACCCCAATCACCACAATATCTTGATCACAAAGTACAAATAAAAAACATAGGAAATAACTGTGGCTTCGTTCCTAAAGAATTAACAGTGTTCTGTATCAAGGCACATTTTAATTTCCACTTACAGTGTTCAAAATGAAAAAAAAAAGCATTGAGTTTTATTTTATTGGAAAACTCCCAAATGCTCTCACATCAGTCAAGCTAGAGAAATTGTGCAGCAGGGCCAGGCTGAGGTTGGAGATAGGGCCCAGAAATAACCAAGTGAAATTCAGCTGGGAAATTTAGTAGCTAACACCACCAGGGGAGCATGAGAACAAAGACTGGCATTAGTGGATGAGCCTGCAATCCAGCCAGGACTGAAAGAGTCTCAGGGGAGAGGATGGGACCCCGGAGGAGACTTGTGCCATGCTCCCTAGGGAGCCGCAGGCCTAATCAGTGGACATTGTGAGGATCAAAGGGAGCCCACTCTAGGAAGCGGGGTGTTTACGTCGTCCACTGGGGGGACCCAGATCTGCATCCTGATTGTGCTCCTGTCTTGTGAGTGGAGTAAAAGGAGGTGCCTGTTTCCTAGGTAATTTAGACAAGAGCAGAGAAGTGCACGTGGGGGATGCTGAGAAGCAAATGCCAGCTCTTCTTCTGGTTTGCTTTCGTGGAATAAGCCTGTTTTCAAATGGGGCAAGATTTCACATTTCCTTTCCCTTCCCCTACCCCTGTGTCTCCTCTTTGTAAGAAATTTATTCCCTCCTCCCCCAGGGGTGAAGGGAAACTAACATACAATGGTAGCTTTCCTGTGACCTCGCTCCCTGCTAGAGAATCTGTGATCCACTCCAACTTGGTGTCTGTGATCCCAGCTTGGCTCAGTGAACCTGACCAAGTGGGTTGACCTTTTGATCAAATGTGCAGTTTACCTCTCATATATAGGTCTGTGAGATGCATTTTTATGTAGCCTCTATCTTTTATGATGAATGATGTTTTAAATGCAGTATGTGTTTATCACATTGCCACAGATCGATGATGTGGGAGATAGTGAACAATTGGAGACACCTGAGTGCCTCTGGGGGACTCAGTCCTTCTGATAACACTGCTGACGTGACCTGCCTCGAGTCTCACTCCATTAAGTACATGATGCATGATATTTATTTTCATTAAAAAACTTTGTGCAGTGTTTTGAGAGCCTGCTGTGAGTCAGACACTATTCTAGGTCCTGAGGGGTCAGCGTTTGCCAAAACAAATCAGGTTCTTGTTCTCAAAGCTGACATACCAGCCAGAAGAGACATACAACAAACACCTAGGCAGAGCCTTAACAAGAAGATACAGGTTGAGTACCCCTTATCTGAAATGCTTAGGACTAGAAGTGTTTTAGATTTCAGATTCTGAATATTTGCATATATAGAATGAGATATCTTGGAGATGAAATCCAAGTCTACACAAACAATTCATTTATGTTTTATATATACCTTTTCCACACAGTCTTAAGGCGATTTTATGTAGTATTTTAAAACAATTTTATGCATGAAACAATTTTAGCTGCATTTTGACTATGACCCATCACATGAGGTCGGTCAGGTGTGGAATTTTTCACCTGTGGCATCATCTCAGCTCTCAGAGTTTTGGATTTTGGAGCATTTCAGATTTTCAGATTAGGGATACTCAACCTATAGCTGGTGGTGCTCTGAGGGTAATAAACCAGGTGATGTGCTAGAGAGAGACTTGGGTAGGAATGTTGTGCCTTAGGTCAGGTGGGTGGGGCAGGGAAAGCCTTGCTCAGGAGGTGTCTTTGCAGCCAGAATAACTGAATAAAAAAAGAGAAGCTGCCCTGGGAGATCTGAGGGAGAGCATTCTACTGAAAGGTTTGCCGTGAAAAAGTACCAGGAGCGGAGAGCATGCCAATGTGGTCATTGGCCAGGGGTTGGGACAGTAGGGGGAGATGAGATTGAGGGACCTTGTGGGCCAACAAAAAGCCAGTGGAAGAAGTGTTGTGATTTGATTTTTATTTTAGGGCTGTCACTCTGGCTGGTGTGCAGTGACGTTTGTGAAGGCATGGAATGTGGAATCAGGGAGGTGACTTAGCAGGCTGCTGTTGCAGTGGCCCAGGTGGGAAATGATCCTTGCTGAAATGATAGCCAGCAGAAAGTAAGCTCTCTGTCTGCACCACAATGTTATGCCATGGGCTTTGCTCTTGAAGTCACTAAATCCCCACAAAACAACCTTATGAGCGGTTGTCATGATTTTCCCCTTTGACATATGAGGAAACTGAGACCTGGTAAAGCTAAGTAAGTTGTCCATTTTTACGTGGTTTGGAAGTGGCTGAACTGAGGTTTGAACCCGGTTTATTGGCTCCAGAACTCAGATTCTTCACCCATGTCCCATAACGGATGAGATTTCAAAATGATAGTCCAGATCTGTGCAAGAGCGTGGCTAGGTTGCCAGTGGTTTGGGATCAGCCCAGCTGGGGAGTGCTTGGAAACTATGTCCTGGAACCCAGGTGGTGGCATTGCCAGTTTTGGGCAGGGGCTTGGAGTACAAGGGTGTAGAATCAGGGAAGGCAGGCCAAATGCCACTTCGGTGTCCAGGCTTTGTTCTTATGCATCCCAGTGTCAGAGAGGCAGGAACTGGTCCTTGCTACCTCTGCCCTCCCCGTGCTCCAGGTGTTGGGTTGTAGGGGAGAATGAGACATTTCTTCTTATTTTGTTAACTGATATTTTGCAAAGAACTTAACATTACCTTACCTAGAAGTTAAAAATGGGGAAGCCTGTGGTCCTCTCTGTACCCCCATGTTTTGGAGGATGTAAGAGTTGGTACACAGTAGTAATCACCACCACAGGCCATATGTGTGATATTTCCCATGTGCCAAGCACTGGGCTGAGGACCTCATTATGTGATCTTCTTTAGTTTTCACACAAACTCATTTAGCACTTGAATTATAATTATGGAGATTATACAGCCTGCTCATGGTGCTGGTTTGAGTCTGGACTCCAGACCTCGGCTTTGTAACTGAGAAACGGAGGCCTACGTGCATTCCTTTTCTAGCTGTCTTATAAAACGTTGTCCTTCTCATGGTGCTCCTGTTGCCCCCACATCTGCTTCGTTAATGGTGCAGTGGCTTTTGGAAGATGGGCTGTCTCTTTGGATCAAAGATCTTAATTCATTATGTGAAATCTCAGTTCTCAAGAACAGTTTGTATAATAACTGGAGCTTTCACATGTCAACAGATAATACAAGCCAGTATCTGGCCCTACCTAGGCATTTTTGGGGACCAGCTCTACCAGCCATACAGAGTCCACTGTAAGATCCTTAACTGTCTCTATATGTGGTTCTACACAGGGCTGCAAACCACCCTGCCCCACCCAGGGGAGGAGGTGGTGGGAAGACAGTATCCCCTTTGTTTATAAATATACTTAATGCTTACATGTGGCAGGGGGAGAGAAAGAGAAAAAAAGTGAGAGAGAGAGACAGAGAGAAAACAGTTTTTTTCCACAAAGGCATCTTGGTATCCAACAGTCCCGCTAATATGGACAGTTCATGTCTCCTGACTTTGGTGTCTCAGATAAACTAAAAGAATCTTAAGCATGATGAAGAGGTTGGAGGAATGATTTATGAGAAAAGATCAAAAGGACTGAGTATAGATAGCAGGGCCCGTGCAGGCTAAAGACAGACATGGAAATTCTCAACCAATAACTTAAAGAAATATATGCTAAGGAAGGCCAAGACTGACACAGAGAGCTCTGAGTAGAAAATCTGTGAAAACAGTAAGAAGAAGACCACTGGGATCCCTTCCTGTCTCTGGGACCTGCAAGTAGGACTGATACTTGCTTTAAAGACAAATATGAGATATCTGCCTGGATCTGTATAAAGTAATGTTTCAGGGGACTTGATTTGACCTGAGATATATCTGGTCTGTGAGATAAAGATACATGTTGTGGCAATGCTCTCCTGCTACATCAGGAAAATAAGAAAAGGCAACATTGAGACTTTTAAGAGTGACTATAATACTCTGAGATATAGCTAGCTAGAATAGTCTAAAGATCATGAAAAATTGCTACAAGGCTTTTAGAGAAGTCAGAGGGATGAATTTTTAGATTTTTTTACTGGTTCCCCAACATTAATTGAGCTCCACACACAGTAGAATAAAAGACATGACCTTAGCGTTCTAGATTTTATAATTTGGGGAGAGAAAATAAGAAACAACACATGAAACAATTAAGTTGCATATCAACAAGTGTAAAATAGCAAGATAAAAGGCAGGACCTAGATCTGGTGACGGTGATTTCAGATTCCAAGGGGGTTTTTACAATAGAGCTTTGACTCCATGGCAAATTTAAATACACTATGAAATTCTCCTAATTAACATTTCCCTTCTTCCTTCCAAATATCAAATTTATGGACTCTGAGAAATTCACATAACACATATGCCGATGCTGCGTTTTCTTTCTGCTTGATCCGTTCCAGCTTTTATTAAGTTTAATGCCTGACTTTCATTAATTTATGAGGAGTTGTGAACTGCAATCTGAAATGCTCCCCTGAATTTTAGAGTTTTCTTGCAGGGAAAATTTCACGTGAGCTCATCCTGACCCTTGCTAATATTTCAGCCAAGCACATAGTTTATTGTCTAATGACCTTTCAAGGCCCTTCAGTGATGTTGGCACGTGCTGTCATATTCTGAGGGTGGTGCGCAGCTAGTCTTTGTCAGTGTTGATTTCATTCTGCCTCATACCTGATTTATCAAACCTGAGAGCCCACAGCATGCCTAATTTAGCACATAGTTCCTGTCCCCAAAATCTAATAAACTCAGAAGTAATAAATTTTCTGGGTTTTTGTGGGTTTGCCCTCTGAGCTAGGGTAGTTAAAAGTTGCATTTGGCATGTTTTGTTTACCATAGCGGCTACGGAAAGTGCCCTTTTCCTTTCTTCTGTGTCTTCTCATGGGTTTATAGTAACAGGGAACTGATTCTAGGACATGAATCGTTCAGCTTTTGGTCGTTAACGCTAGATGTTTCTCATACACGAGTCCTTCTCATGCATAGTTATTTGAAGTTAATATTTCGCATTGGTGACCATGTATTCTTATGTCTGGGAGCGCAGACATCAGACTGCTGGACTGTGTGTGAAATAGCCTACTTGAGATGTCATCCCTGGGGACTACCTACCCCACTGCCAGGACAAAAGACTTTTGAGACCCACCTTAGAGTTCCTTTTTGGAAATGTATGCCAATAGGATTTTTTTTTCTTTTTTTTTTTTTTTGAGACAGAGTCTCGCTCTGTTGCCCAGGCTGGAGTGCAGTGGCACAATCTCGGCTCACTGCAACCTCCACCTCCCAAGTTCAACCAATTCTTTTGCCTCAGCCTCCCAAGTAGATGGGATTATGGGCACGCGACACCACGCCGGCTAATTTTTGTATTTATAGTAGATACGGTGTTTCACCATATTGCTCAGGCTAGTCTCGAACTCCTGACCTCAGGTGATCTGCCTGCCTGGGCCTCCCAAAGTGCTAGGATTATAGGCAGGAGCCACCACGCCCAGCTAGGATGTTCTTAATTTTTTTTTCCTTTTGGTAATGGTGCAGTCTTGTTCCTTTGATGCCACACTCCTGCTATTAATCTTCAGATTTTCTGAAGTGTTTCTCTCATAATGAGCCACCAGGTGAGCAAGACTCTAAGGCACAGTTTTTTTTTTTTTTTCTGCTGCTTTCTATCCAGAGTATTAAGATTCTAATTAGAAACTCTATTATGCAGAGCTTGATAGGAAAGCTGTGATTGGCCCCACTCCTGAAAAGAGTCAGGATTCAGTGGGGTGATGATGTAGTGTCAGCCCTCCTGTTCTGTGAATTTCCTGATCCCAGTGTTTGGAGGGAACTCGGTGCAATTAGGAGTGAGGCCTGGAGTCTGACTGGTTGAGAAGCTCCACAGGCTGCATTGTCTGGGTTTTGGAAGTAAATGAACTTGGAGGCATCGGCAACACTAATGCTTGAGTGTGTTCTGTCGTTTACTTGTCCTCATTTAGCTAATGATATCTGAGACCAAGGTAAAATACTGATTTATTTCAGAGTTCCTTGTTTCATTTGAATGCCAACCTAGTTTTGCCAAGAGCCAAAGTAGAAACAGAGTTGTTCTAAGGAGTCATAAGTTTGTTTTCTTTTCACTTAAGTAAGCTGATGATATGAGAGAATGTTTTTGTATAAGTTTTACTTTTATTAAACAAATTCCATTCTTCAAAGTTAATTTCTAAAAAAAAGTATTTCTTTTAGGAATTAATATTGAAGGCCTTTTGGTGTTCTGAAATTGTAGGAGAGGGTTTTGGTGCAGAGGATTATGGTGTTAGTAACAATGGAATATGGTGATGTGCAAAGATTTGAAGCAAATGATTATTGATAGGGTGGTAGGTGAAGATTACTTGTGTTTTTTTTTTTGAGCTCATTTTATGTTTAAATACCTTTTAGGGTCTTTTTTCCAGTCTCAGTTTAATGTTTCCTAAGATGATGCTCTGCTAAATGCTTTACAAAATCAACCTGCTCATGTTGGCTCATTTCTGATCAGTGGTGTCAGATTTGGTTGAACAATTGGGGCTAATTTTCTGAGGATCCCAGAATTGAATGACAATTGTGAGGCTGTAAGCCTGTAATCCACTGAGAGGTTATAAAGAGATGTTACTAGAATTCTTCCTCAGAGTAATATTCCAAAATTGGGATGCCAAGCCAGGTAGAAGCAAAGTTTTCTCCTTGAAATGGATTTGAAAAAGCCAAACTTTTTTTTTCTATATGCGATGACTATTTGATTATTCCAATATTAGTTTGTTGTTTTTCTAGGAAAGATCCAGCAAGAAAGAAACCTTGAAGCTCTCTTTATAATTTAACATTTTTTACCATATTTGATGACAATTATCATGTACAAGTTAACACATGCTCATTTTAATAAATCATGAAGCCGGCCGGGCGCGGTGGCTCACGCCTGTAATCCCAGCACTTTGGGAGGTCAAGGCGGGCGGATCAGGAGGTCAGGAGATCGAGACCATCCTGGCTAACATGGTGAAACCCCATCTCTACTAAAAATACAAAAAATTAGCCGGGCGTAGTGGCGGGCGCCTGTAGTCCCAGCTACTCGGGAGGCTGAGGCAGGAGAATGGCGTGAACCCAGGAGGCGGAGCTTGCAGTGAGCCGAGATTGAACCACTGCACTCCAGCCTGGGCGACAGAGCGAGCCTCCATCTCAAAAATAAATAAATAAATGAATAAATAAATAAATAAATAAATAATGAAGTCCTGAAGACCCTGGAATGGAAAGCCACAGTGGTCCATCCTTCCTTCTCCAACCCTAGTCCCAGGGGCACTTGTCACTGTTTTTGTTTTAGTTCTTTTGGTAAACAATCATTACAACTCCAGAATGTGCTTATATTTTTATATCCTGACATGTCAACTCTAGATATTTCTTATGCAATATATTGACTTTGAAATGAGAAAGTTAATCTTTAATTTTTAATACTCTGCCCTCTTCTTTCAATATTGATATTATATTATTACTTGTATATTGGGTGCTTTTATAACTTTAAAGAGTGTTGTAAGCTTCTCTTTCTTTTCCTCATCAGCTTTTCATAGCAAAACGAGTAAGATGTTAGGTCCCCTGTGCCATCCACATCTCATCTTCTGGAGCCAGCTTTTCTATTATAGTGTCAGGGTTGTTAATATGTTTGTGGGGTCTTACTATCATAACCACATCTGCTATGTTTTTGTCCATAGATTGATTTTTAAAGTTGAAGATCTAGAAAGCATCTACAGCATTATGGTTGTGGAAATTCTCTGTGTTGAACCAGTAGAATGTTAAGATCATACCTAACCTTCTGTGTTAGTCCAGTTTCTAAATTCTTAAATCACCCAATGGCGATGTGTCTAGCATTACGAACAAGTGCTTTATCTACACTTACTCTTTAATTGCTTTCCTACCTATCATGTTGCTTTTTGGTAGTTGATTTAGTTTTTTCCCTATTATTTGTCTTTACAATAGTCTTACATCCCCCCACTCCCCAACCTCCCAACCATATCTTTTGCACTTAAGGGAAAGCTCCCTTCTTTCCTGGCCAATTCATTCTCCTGAGAAGTCTGAACGAGGAATCTCTAGACATCCCTTTGTGATCTTCTGGATTGGAACCACTGTTTCCTAGGTCTTACGACTTCAACTTTGCCATTCCTAATTTATTCCTTTATTTTATTGGAATACATCAAGTAACTTCCCAACAACAGTGGAGGCAGAATTTCTGAGTCTTTGTGTCTGTGAAATTCTCTTTATTCTGCCCTTGCTCTTTCCTGATGGTGTAGTTAGAATTCTAACTTAAAAGGCTTCCCTACAAGATCTTTTAAGGCATCACTACATTTTCTATTACCATCCAAAGTTGTAGATGAGAAGTCTGATGTCTCTTTGATTTGTATTCCTTTGTAGATGGCTTATTTTTTTCCTTCCTGGAAACTTTTGGGATCTTTTTATCCTTAGTGGTTTGAAAGTATGTACCTAGATGTGTTTTAATTTAATTTTTATTTTCATTAATTCTGCCCATCCCTTCATGGACCATTTGAATCTGAAGATTCATTCGTTAACTCTATGGATGATTTCTATTCTATCTTTAATAATTTTATCTGCTGTGTTTTCTCTTTTCTTTCTTCCCAAAATTCTACATAGTTGACTGTTAGACCTCCTAGGTTACTTCTGTGTGTCTCTTCTCTTTTCTCTGATATCCTGTATGTCTTTGCTTTTGGTTCTGTGCTCTGGGAAATTTCCTTGACTTCATTTTTCATTGCTCCACATTATTTTTAACTTTTTGCAGTCATAATCTTAATTTCTAAGAACTTTAAGAAATCTTTTATTGAAACTTCTTCTTAACATCTTGCTCTTGCCTTTTGTATGTAATGCTTTCTAAAACCTTCTAAAAGTTTCTTCCAAGGTTAGTTTTTCTTGTTGATATTGGTCATTCTCATTCCTGTCCTTTTTTCTCCTCATAAAACCTAGTGATCCTTGGGTGTCATTCCCCAAAACCGTGGAGAAGGATAGCTGGCCTAATGTTGTTCTGCTTGGCATATGGAAACTTGGATGGATGGATGGAACATCCTGACCACGTGTATCAGTTGGCAGGATTTCCTTTAGGGAAATAGGGTGGAGCTTCTCCACATGCCAGAACGAAGAGGGCTTGATTCTGGGGAGCTATAAGAACCGGTATGGCTTGGGTACCAATAAGGGTGTCACACCAACTTGCTGGGACCAACACTAGAAGTTAGAGCTGGTGTGACTCTTGTGGTGAGTGCATTTGTGTGATAGACCTGGGTGGAAACAGGGCTTCAAAATCCACGCTGAAGCCTTCACTTTCCCAGGAAAGTTCATTCTGTTTTTTGAAAAAGAGTCATAAAATTTTTATCTGGAGAAATGCCAGCTACCTGTGCTCATGTGCTGTGGGCAGGAGACAGGCCATCTGACTGTCACGGGTGTGTCCGGTAAAAGATCTGCCCAGCCCAGGGCTTTTTTCTTTTTTGTTTTTTAGATGGAGTCTCGGTCTGTCGCCCAGGCTGGAGTGCAGTGGCGCGATCTCGGCTCAATGCAAGCTCCGCCTCCCGGGTTCAAGCAGTTCTCTGCCTCAGCCTCCCTAGTGGCTGAGATTACAGGCGCCCGCCACCTCACCCAGCTAATTTTTTTGTATTTTTGGTAGAGACGGGGTTTCACCATCTTGGCCAGGCTGGTCTTGTACTCCTGACCTCGTGATCCCCCCGCCTCGGCCTCCCAAAGTGCTGGGATTACAGGCGTGAGCCACCGCGCCCAACCCAGCCCATGGCTTCTTAGGTGAATCAGCTGCCACCTGTTTCTTTGCCCTCTTGAAGAATATTTCAGGCTGCTGCTTCTCTACGCACCATGTCCACCTATAATTCCAGTCTTACCCACTATGCATCTTGCAGAAATGGGTTGAAATTTTTTATCTTAATTTTATGTATTTCTTTGACTGTGTTAAGAGTTTCACCCATAGACCCAGACTGCCTCAGTTCAAATCCTAATTCTGCCACTCCTAACAATGTGATTATGGGCAAATTACTTAGCCTTTCTGAGCCCCCATTTTCTCATATATACAGTGGGGCCGGGAGTAGCTCTGACATCATGGGTTCGTTTTGAGGATTAAATTACTTAATATAAATAAAGCTCTTAGAAGTGCCTAGCACAGAGTAAGGGCCTGGTAAATTTTATTCTTTGGTACTGTTATTTTATCATTACTACAAAACTTACTTCCAGTTTTTCATTTCACAGAAGTCTTTGGAGGGACAGGTGAGAAATATGTTTGCCCAGCCTGCTATCTTGAACTGGAAATGATGGATTAAATATGTTGCATTTCTGCTAGACTGCAATAGTGTCAGTTAAACTTAAGACCCAGGCCCACCTCTGCCACCTTCTGGCAGTGTGACCTTGAGCAAGTTCTTAGATACTGGACTGGCTTCCTCATCTCTAAAATGGGAGTGGAAATGGCAGCCGCACAGGGTGATAACAGGAATTAAGGGAGATAATTTGTTAAGACCCATGGACTTCCATTCCTACCATCACCTCTCTGATGTCTTGGTTCTCACCCTAAAAAAAAAATACTGACATACCAAGGACGGCTCATGGGCTGTCTGACTGACAGTTTTTCCCTCTGCACATTTAAGATCTCTTCTGATGCTGCTGAATCCTTCTTTATAACTTTCTTACTTTTAGTTTTTAAGATGTATTTTATTCTCCTTATGATTTTACAAATTTGAGAAGCCTGAAAATAAATGAATTTAATTCTAAACTTCTACCTAAAAACTAGGCATGTATCATATTTTATAGAATTACTTACAAAGATTAAAGAGGCAGCTTTCCAAAGACAGTGATCCAAAAGCCAAAAAGTCTTTTGAAAATCTTACTTCTTGCTACTGGAAGAGCTAGTCTTTCATTTCCTGAGAAAAATGTCACTTTTTATTTTTTTTTAACCAAATGGATTAAAAACAGTAACAACCATATCCAACTGGTAGTATTCAATAGAAATACATGATAGGTTGATAGAAATTTAAATCAAATAATTGAATTCTGGCTAATACCATAACAGACAATTAAAGTGGGTGATGCTGTCAAACTGTGTCTTAAATTGAGTGCTCCCTTATTACAGACTGGCTACTCAGGTAAGTTTTTCTCCAAACATCTTCCTATATATGTATATTTTCTTTGATTTTATTTTTTTATTGCATATTAAGTCTATTTGAAGATACTTGATTGGCACCCTGTTTTAAATTTGTTTCCTTCCTTTTTTCTTTTTCTTTTTTTTTTTTTTGAGTCAGGGTCTTGCTCTGTCGCCCAGGCTGGAGTGTGGTGGCTCGATCATGGCTCACTGCAACTTCCGCCTCCTGCCTCCTGGGTTCAAGCAATCCTCCTGCCTCAGCCTCCTGAGTAGCTGGGACCACAGGCATGTGCCACCACACCTGGCTAATAATTTTGTATTTTTTTTATAGAGATAGAGTTTTGCCATGTTGCCCAGGCTGGTCTCTAACCCCTGAGCTCAAGCAATCTGCTGCCTTGGCCTCCCAAAGTGCTGGGATTACAGGCGACAGCCACTGCACCAGGCCCTACATTTGTTTCTTAACATGGTTCATTTTAATGCCTACTGCATTGTTTAAAAATCATGAACTTGGAGAAATAAAAATACGCTGTAAAACTTAGGTTGCTTTAAAATTGGAAAAGTTATTTTCAGTCTGTCCCAAACACTACTGGAGTTTAAATATTTTAAGTTGGCACTGTATTGAAATAGGCTATTCCCTCATAGAAACTGGCCCTGTCTAAGAAATGGGCATAGTGAATCATGGGGATGCATGTGTGCTGTTTAAAGGCACCACAGTCTGCAAACAGTTTTGCAAGTCAGATCTCATTGAGAAGAGGGAAGTGGGTAGATTTATGAGCTTCAAATACATGCTGCCCACCTCACATGAAGTACATGTCAGTGTGTTTCTTTTTCAAATCATGCATCTCTGAAAAATGTGTAATGGGCTGTGGTGTCAGAGAAAAACATCTTTATCCCAGCTTGGATAGAAGAGCATGAGGCAGTTTGTCTACTGCAAGCCTGGGATCAGCTCTGAGGTCCGCTTACTGCTGGGCCTCTCTGGCCGAAGTTAAAAAGGCTTGTTACCAGAAGGAGTGCCTGCAATCAAGAGCCATGTCAGAAGTGGGAAGATAGGCTGTCATTCAGAGAACAAGACTGTGTGGTTGAAAGCTGGTGAAAAACTGAAAGCTAAAAAAATCCAAACTGAAAGAGCTGGAATAGCCCCAGAGTTGAGGAGGCCATATCGAGTGTGGGAGTGTAAAGTGTAGATGGTTCAGGGGCTGGCTGTGGACTGACGCTCGTCATTGGGTTTTTCTCTGGGGTTCTCACTCTTTTGGGCTGGAGACAGCCCTGTAATCCAGAAACAGGAAGGCCACAGCTTCCCAGCCCTTTAGGCTGACCCTCTTCTAATAAGTGGGTTTTGGAACCCAGACCAAAGCCCAGAGTAGAAGAATGTTGTCATGGTAGCTATAGAATTGCTGGTCTATGTCAAGTGAGGTGTATACTTTTCTGAAAATTTTAAATACTGTGCAGATAAAACACAAGACCATGATATAAGATAGTGTGGTTATGTGACTTCTTGCAGGATATATCATATGGCTGATTTTGGTTTCCTTTACTCATTGCTTACCAGGAAACTCAGATTGTTGTTTCCAGGAAACTCAGATTATTAGCTGCTCAGTTATTCCAACTCTATTGGATTGCGGCCTGCATATTCTCTCTTAACTTTCTCTAGGTCTTGATCATCTAAACTGTTCTCTGATCAGATTTTTCTTTAGTTAGCATTTTCTACCTTGTGAATTCTTGTATGCTGGCTGAAATCTTTAATGAAATGAGGCAAAGTATTAAAATCATACCACTCTAGATCACTTGCTGAGGCATGTTACAATTTCACTCAGTATGAGAAATAGTCATATAGGTGAGCGTTGTTAAAGCAATGTGTGCAGACAGACTTGTGTGACAGAATAAGTGGATGTTGAGAAGTCTTGTGTTGAATGAATTTGATCACAGCAGTTTTCCTTCTCCTCAAATGTCAGAACTTTTCAGAGAAACACAGGCACTACCCTTTCTCCTGGTATGATTTGGAAAAGTCAGTACCTCTAGCCTCTTAGAAAGGTCTCAGAGGGAACTGTTTTACCATTCAGGTTTCAAACTTTTCTCACCTGCAGTATATGTGTGTTTTAAATATTTTTCTCTCTCATTTTTTTAAAAAAATTCCTTTTAAGTTGAACCAGGTTTAAGGATATTTGTGTGCTGCTGTTTTTTCAAGCCCCAATGTGCAGTGATTTTGTAAGTAAGTTTTAATATTTCAGTATTTATATTTGTATTCCTCCTGTGAAAATATGTGATTTTATTAATCGAGTTCTGTATGATCATTCCTTGTGTTTTTGAGTTATCTCAGACATGCAGCTTTCCTATCTTGGCGCCCAGCTCCATCGAACCCCATTGTACAGAGTTTGCACGTAAATGCCGTCTATAGTTATACCCTCAAAAATAAGAGGCTTGTCTCCTGAGGACAGCTCTGTATTATGGGCAGAGTATAATCCTGAACATTGTTTTTCTTTGCTCTCAAATGGCTGGGGACAGTGAGTCAGGAGTGAGAACTCCCTTTGTTTCATGTCGTGTGCATGGCAGGGGAAGAATGTCGCAGGGCAGAAAATGAAGAAAGACATAAAAGGATCTCAGCTCAAGGAGGTCAGATCCATCAGAGGCTTAGCGTTGCCTTCAAAGATGCCTGGGACAGGTGGCAGTTCAAGACAATCACAGTAGTGGTGTCCGCTGGAGCCGAGATAAGGGATTGCCGTGGAAGCCTGCTATCTGCTGCCCGTTTGCTTTGATGTAACTCTGCTAGCAAGACTTGGGGGAGCAGATGACTGCCTTCCTCCGTGGTCTGCTGCTGTTGTTCAGCCTTTTAAGGTCTCATTACAGTGCTCCTTGAGGATTAATCCTCTTTAAGGTTTACATGAGATGGTTTTGTCCAAGGGCCCAGACAGGGACCTTGGCGCCACCTGTACAAGGCACCATGGCAGGCTTTTCTTTCCCCTTACCTCTCCAAGTTGTTGGTACTTACAAATACTTGTTAGCGTGAGGACTGTAAGCATGCAGCACCCTTTGCTGACTCTTGTTGTGTTTTTGCTATTGTGCGAGCAATACCGTTAGCACTAAATTGTCAGCTTCCACTTCCTCACTCTATTCTCTGTCAACTGTGTCCCTTTTTTGAAAGAAAATCTGCTGTAGCTTGGCTGTAGAAGGGATTGTTGAGTTCTTTTGACCCATTGTCTTTATGAAATATCTATCTGCATAACTTGCATCTACCTGGAACACTTCATCTTAAAAATACATTCTTTGAGCGAGCAAATCAAACCGCTAGATTTTATTAGACTTGCTATTTTAAATACCATCATCTAGGAAAAGAAAAGTGGCAGATTTTATTTCTGACTTTTTTCACACACACAGCAGCACCAATGGCAACAACTAAAGCAAAAACTATCTCTTGAGTCTCAGAAATAAACTTTGTCCCGACACTTTGAATTTTTAGTTGAACAAAGCATTTCACTGTCATTTAAAATCTCTCAAGTGGCACTTGAAGGCAAGCAAGTCGGGAACTTTGAGACCAGCATTTGAATTTGGTTCCATGATACTGTACTTGGCTTTCCATACTTGGTTGGGGACAGAGATGATTCTGAGAATTACTAATAGTACACGGACGCTTTTCATCCCTTGGTCAGTGGTTCAGGGTAACTTTCTGTTGTCAGCAACTAAAAGGTAATTCACATCCAACTGACTGCATTTGCTCAGCTTCTCCGGTGTTGGTTTGGTTCTGTAGGAAGAGGAGCACTTAGAATTAAAACGAGTACCATAACTGGTACACAGTCCCACAATAAGTGTCGTCCACATTTTCTGCAGGTCAGACTCTTTACAAATTTGAAATAATCTTTAAAATAACAGCAGAAACAAGCTAAGCTCCTGTAGTCAGTTTAGTCAGGGAAAAAGACATAGTCATATAGGCCACCTGACATTCTACAGATAAGCATGTGTTTGGCTTCTAAACTTCTGCAAAGGATTGTTTTGTGGTGTGTTTACATTGATTGACAGTTATCAAAAGGAAAATCACCTTTTGAGATGGTCTATTTTAAGGGTAACTCCTCTCCACCCATGAGTGAGTAAATAATGGAAGGCAAGACAAGACAGTGGGGAGAGGCAGCTGCGGTGGGAGAGTCGAACAAAGCAGAATGATGACTCGGTGGGCATCAGGGGCCTTGCCTCTGAAGGTGACTCTTTAAACTGTAGTAACAGAACCAACCTTGCGAATCTTGGTGTGACCATGTAGCATCTTGGCTTCGTGCCAGACTCCTGAATCAGAATTCCTGAGAACTGGATCTTAGGTTCTGTGTTTTTAACAAGTTTTTAAACAATGAAGTGTGAGAACCACTGCTTTTAAAGGTCAGATGTCAATCTCAATTTCTTCAAGTTCCCAGTTGGTAAGCACTTACATTTTCCGTCTTAAAAAGATCCTGTACATTTGCACAGCTAGTTGTGGCACATCAGACCATTCTTTGAATTACACTTTACTTTTGGTAATTACTTAAAAATAAAATTGAATATTTATGATGACATCAATTTAGTACTTTCCCCAATAAGTAAAGATGGAATACCAGTTATTTTATGCTATGGAGAATTTTTATTTATTTCTCAAGTGTTGTGCCTAAACTGAATTAACAACAAGAAGTAAGGATAATTTGTATAATTACGTTTTTGTATCTCTGAATTTCCTTTTAGGAAATAGAAATATATACACCCTTGTATGCATTTTAATGCGTATGTATTTTGGTGTGTACTGTCAACAAAAATATAGACTTTACTAAATATGAAACTGCTCTCATTTGCTAGAAAAACCACCAAGTTTGTGAATTAGTTTTCTATCATTACTCTTTGGTCAAGACACTGCATGTCTTTTAAAGGAAGGTCTTATTGCTGAGATTAGCAGATTCAGGATGTAGAAATGTTGGTTGAGTGTAATTCTCTCTCCGGAAATGTGAAAATAGAGTTACTAATTACTGGTGAAAAAAGTGTTGGCCTGGTCTGTCCAATTGTCCCATCAAAGTGGAAGATGTTAATTTAAGGGATGAGTAACACATACTTCAGACATACGCATTTGAAATAAATGTCGATAATGGACTTGCCAATTGATTTTACCGATATGAATGCTAATATTTTGTTAGCACTTGTGATAACCATAAGAAAACAGTAGAGGTGTAGAATATAATAAAAAGTTTGAAGTAGTACAAGTTTTGTAATTAATATTCAGATTTATCCTTTTGGACATTTTGATCGTAAGGTCTAAAAGACACTCTTGCGTGTTCTAGTAAAAATATTCTGCATTCAATAACTTTTCACCCTGTTCAGGCTCTAGGAAAATCTGATTATCAGAAAGCTAGGTGTCTTTTCTGATTCAGCATTTGGTACAGAGGGGATTACTACAGCTGGTTTTCCTTATTCAGTTTTACCAGCTGATTATCTTTTAGAATATACTTGACTTGCACATGCTTTTAATAAAGAAAAGATAGGTGCTGGTGACTTGGTTTCTTGGAGGAAAATCAGATGTGATTTTGGAATTAGAAAGGACAGGATTCTAGTCTCAGCCCTTTGCTGGCTGACTTGTGTAAGTCACTTAACCCCTCAGCTTCCTTCCTGACACCAAGTACCTGCTTCAGATGATTGTATGAGGGTCGAGCATCTGGATCCAGACATTGACATCCTATATGCACTTTGTCATGAGAGCCCATATTGGTATGAAGCTCTTCTCTCTCTTAAGTGATTGAAGTTTGAATACCTGAGGCACAGAACAGTCTAGTTTCCTGTTCCAACAATATCACTTCTGGCCAATTTGTGGTTATACCTACAGACCTCATGGTTCTTCTCTAATAAAAATCATAAAAAATCTGATTTTATGTGATTAGGAGGTGAGGGTTTTATAACTGGAAAGACTGTGTGAAAGCTAGGACTTTTTCAATAAAATACATATATATAAAATATAAATTATATATAATATATGACATATATTAATATATATAAGCATGCTATCTGATTTCCTGGTCTGGCTTATTTTTATCAAATAGCATTTTTCATTTTAATATTCCTCTAGGGTCTCTAATTCATTTGTCTTCATGTCACAGACATTGGGAGATAACTTGTTTGCATGTTCTCTGATTTAAAGTTACAGGTGTGGAAGCCTGGGAGGTAATGGCCCTCAAGCCAAGGGGAGAGGGGATTGGCTGCCATCTCTGTTGCCAGTCTCAGAAACCTTCCACTTGTTGTGGCTACTTGGTACCTTTTAATTTTAAGATCTGGGGCTTATTTATTACCAATGCTGAACTTAAGATAACCAGAGTTGCTGTGCTGAGGGACAGAGAAGCACACACTAGCTTCTGTTACTGCTCTCTGGTTTTATTCTGATTTAAAACAATAGCAGCTGGTATTCAATGGGTGCCTACTGCTTAGGTGGGTGCACTCCTGATGGAGGGGGAGGAGGTGGGGACATGAGGATCCTGCATTTCTAAGAAGAGCAGACATACAAACTGGAAGCTGTCACTCCCCAGTTTGGTGCACCCATCCAGATCCTTAAGGGACATCAGATGGAAGGAAAAGTAGGCAAAGACCAATGTGGAAGAGAGGGCAGGGGCTTGGGAATTCTACATGGAGATAATGTTGTCAGCCATATATTTAAGCAGGTTGCAATTAACAATTGTTGACTAAAATAACATACATTGGTATTTCGTTTCTGTTATTTGCTATTTTGGGGGCAGGGGCAGTAGGTACCGCTTACCTTCACTGCACCAAACTTTTGCCTATTTGCTTTCTAGACCAGCATTTATCAACATGTGGTCCCAGGACACGCAGCATCTGCATCCCCAGGGAACTTGTTAGAAATGGCACTTCTTGTGCACCTTCTCTGTCTTACTGAATCAGAAACTCTTGGGCTGGGACCCAGCAATCTGTGTTAACAAGCTCTTTAGGCAAAGCTGATGCAGCGAAAGTTTGAGACCATTGTGTTAAGGAGTATTACGTAGAACAATTTGGGTCTGTCATTAAGAGGGGAACACTGAGGCAGGTGGGGAGGTGTGATTCAAGTCGAAGAGGGAAAGAGAGTCGTCTGTCTGGTTTCTTCTGACCTTTTGTCATTGGCAAATTAAAACCCAAAGTAGCTGATGGCACAGGAATTTAGATGCAGGAGCCAGTGAACATAATATCTCTTTTTGGTGGTGGTTTGTTTAAGTCATTCTCTTATTAAGCTGTAACTTTCTGAGCCTGTCATTTTATATCCCATGAACATGTGCCTATTTAGCACTCAGGTTTGCAGGCGGCAATCCAAGAATAATAACAGAAATTCTATGGGAGAAAATGATAATTGTTGATCCCCAAATACTGGATTCATGGAAACTTATGAATGTAGAAAAAAAGTTAAGCTTTACAAGATTAAATCAGAACAGCATATCTGGAGCCATGTTCATGCACCAATTCCAAGTTAAGTAAGAGGCAGTAGCCATTCAGAGTATATGTCTAATTTCAGCTTCTTCCTTATATTCTTTGAAATACTGTTTTGCCCCCTTAATTTAAAGAAATGAAAAGAACCAAGCACTTTATTCCCCTCTACAAGACATCAAGGAGAGGGGGTAATAAACAGTACCTCGCCGATGCATTTTAATAAATACTGGTTTACTGCATCCCACAACGGAAAGCAAATACATGCAATTACTTGCAAATTTCTTCAGTGTTTGTACTTATAAATCTCTGCCTAAACCTTCCCAGCTGGGAGTTCAGTTAGTCTTTCTGCTGTGGAACCAGGGCTTTGTTCTCCTGTTCAACCTCGGCACAAGCTGGAATAATTCAGAAACGTATTAGAGAGATTGCTGCTCCCAAAAGGCATAAGGAAATAACCTTCACTCCCGGCCTTAGAGAAATCAGCCCAATCAGAGTTCGGGCAGATTTCTCGATTAAACAAAGAACTAACTGTGCACAAATTGCACCTTAACAATTTGTAAGGTGTCCACCTTAGAAATGTCTTGCATATGGAAAGCTGATATTTTTTAATCAGGGCAGTGGGGCTGCTAAAGTCAAAATGTCGCCAGCATTTTCCTACCACTCCACACAATTATCATCCCCCGCAAATTAAATTTAAAGTTGCATCCATAAGCAGCCCTCAGCCTTGAGACCCATGGCACCGGGTTGTCAAATACAGATGGAGACAACTCCCTCTATAAGTGCGAGGGTCCAGGGCGTGTGTGCGTGTGTCTGTGAGTTTGTGTGGATGACTCGATTCATCTGGAACACATCCCCGGGAGTTTTGGGCTGTCAAGTTTTATTTCAGCAAATTTCACACTGGGAACCAAACAGGGGGTAGAAAGTTATTGCACTTAATGTTGTTGTGACTTTCCTTGCTTCTAGTCAAATTATTCAGAAATCAAAGTCAGGCCCCTGTGTCACTGTGGAATGTTGTTTAGAATGGACCTTTTAAGAGGGATTTAGTAGATTTCTGCTGATTGTTAAGAGATGCTCCTGCCAAACCGTCACCCTTGTGGCATTTTTAGAAAAGTGACTGTATTTTTCTATAGGAAATCTGGGAATATTTTACTTTGTGTCAGTTCTCTATCTGTTCTGTTTGAGGTACCTTTGCTCTTTAATGCAGGGAAGGGACCCAGCTGATATAACAAGCAGGTACTCCCAAGCCTTAATGCCTAGGGTAAGAACCTCCCAAACCCCAGCACTTACTTTAAGAAGAGAGTGTACATTACAGCTGGTCTTGGTCACGTCATTCTGGCCTGAATTTGACAGTTTCACATTCTTAGTGTAGCAGAACAATCAAGGGTGCTGGCAAGGATGGTTTGGGATGGTTAAGAGCAAACAGAAACTATAGCCCCTGGGCCCCACAGAAACTCTGAGATTCCCCACGTGATTCAAAAACCGGTCGAGGAAAAACACTGAAAATTGCTTTCCTCACATGTTCTTTTTGGTTTTCTTGTTTTGCTTACATAGAAATGTAGACACAGGACACATTCATTGACAAGATCCCTTTTTCTAATAGAAGTCGGAATGAAAGAATACAGTGCGGGAGTCAGAGGCCTCGGCTTCCCTTGTTGGTGTGCTCTGTCCTGTCCCTCCTTCCCTTGGCTGAGCCTTGTCACTTGTAGGTGAGGGAAGCTCCTATCAGCCCTGCCTGCCTCCTACAGCCCTGGCTGCCTCCAAGGTTGCAGGAGGCTTATATGGAGAGTGGTTGAAGGAGCCTTGCTGAACTGTGAAAGGGTCACCCAAATGGTGTTCTTCCCTTCATAGTTTTGGGTTTCACGATGCTGAGTTTGAAAGAGTTTGAAAGAGTTCGTTTCTCTTTCAAAACAGTGATTTGTTGGGTTTTGACCCATAGCTATCCCATGTACGTTAGGAGCTCTTAAACAGTGGTGACAGCCTGTCATTCTATGCTTACTGTGTCAAATGAGCAAGTTAAGCTGGTGAGAACTTAAACTTGGAAATCAGAAGGCCACTGGGCCCCCTGGCTGCAGCGGAAGTGGTGTAGTGTCAAGGTGTCAAGATGATCACGTCATTCTGGCCTGAATTTGACAGCTTCACATTCTTAGTGAAGCAGAACAATCAAGGGTGCTGGCAAGGATGGTTTGGGATGCTTAAGAGCGAAAAGAAACTATGGCCCCCTGGGCCCCACAGAAACTCTGAGATTCCCCACGTGAATCAAAAACCAATCTAAGAAAAACACTGAAAATTGGGGGCTAGGGGTCTCTAGTTGCTGTGTGTTAGACTTGGTGTGATTAGAAGGCCCATTTTGAGTCATGGCACTGCCACTTTCTAGCTCTTCATTTTCTCTAAACTTTGTATCCATCACCTGAAAATTGAGGATAAGTATATTGTCTTTTCAGATCTGCTGTGGAGAATTCAGTGAGAAAGGAAATAAAAACTGCTTAGTCCATAGTTAGGACTCTGAACTCAACGCTGCCATCCGTGGAAACTATTTGGGACTTAACATGCACATTAAGAAAATAAAAAATAATGGAAAGGTGAAAAAGCCCTTGAGTGTATTTCATTAAGATGATTAAGCTTTAAAGGGGATGAGAATATTTGCAAACCCGAAGTTGGTATTTTGAGCCTCCATTAAAAAGAAAAAAATCCCTGTATGAAAGGCAAATTCATCTTATCTTTTCCTGTTAAGTGTTTGAGAGGGCCTTCTGACAGCTTTGGCCCATCAAGTATATTCTGATAACTTCACTTGCAGTGTTAGATAATGAATTTTACCGTCAGAGTGGACATTTAATTAACTATGGTGCCGTCCTTCCATGGAGACAGCGGCAGCTACTCAAGGGCCAGCATCTCCCTGACCACGGAATCTGCAGTGATATGTAGGGTGGGAAAGCCTCGAGCTGGGTTTTCTTTCAAAATGGCATTTAAATGTACACCAGATCCACATTTATCACTTTAATCTAAACTCTACTGTAAATGAACATGTATGGCCTCTGAGATCATACACTTTGCTAGAAGGAGGTTCATGTGCTGGCAGCTCCTGCCTGAAACATCATTTGTTCCATTCCCCCAGCAAAAGCAGGCATCTAACAAGTCAAAACTATTTTCACTAACGAGTCCTGGCCTCTTTTAAAGCTGGAGTTCTCAATGTCTTCTCTCCTGCACCCATTTCATTGGGTCAGAATCGCACCCATCAGATGGGAAAGCTTCCCCATTAGGAATGCTCAGTCATTGGTCATTTTTCTTAAAACTGAGTCATGGCAATGAGTGTCTAAGTGACTTGTCATTCTCAAAACTGTTCCTAAAAGGCGTCTGGTCCTTGGTACTGCAACATGTAAAACATGTAAAACTACCTGTCAGACAGGTGACAGCCTTGTAAATAAAGGACCAGAGGCATATAAGGGTGCACCTAGGTGGTGCGAATGAAAACGTTGCTCAAAGAGGCATCCAGGAATCCAGAGCCCTGGCCTTTTTGCTGGTATCATTTCCTTCTCCTTCCCCTACCACTATCTTTTCTTCTCTCTCCTCCCTCCTGTCCTTCTGACCAATCTATTGAGTGAAATCTCAACATCGCATATTCCTTGACATAGTAATTTTTGAAAGCCAACACCAAAAGTTAGAATTAGTTTAAAGAACTGGGACTCCCACAAAATAGGGAATTCTGCCATAGGTTGAGCGTTTACCTACAATTTAAAGTGTGCACCAGCATGTTGTAGCCTTGGCCCTGTCCCTGGAGGAAAGACACTGTTTAGTTCACAAGTGATATCTGCGTATGGCTGAACATTGGTAAAGGGAGGATGTAGATAACTTTGCAGACTTCTGAGAATTGCCGTAAGTAGCTGAGAGGGAAGGAACTTGAAAAGGACACCCTCGGTCTTATGAGACCATAATAAGAGGTCTCTTATGAGACCTCTTATTAAATTATGGCGTGTTAAAAGTGATGGAGCTTTAGCTGTCTGTGTTTATGGATCCTATTAGTGTTTTGATACATTTTGTGTTAATATTCCTGAAAACATACAGTAAGATGACCTCTGTAACTGAGGCAAACCTAATTTGATTTGGAGAATGCTTTGGCCATCTCCGGTAACCAATGCTGTGCCCTCGTGCATCAGAGGTGGTCTGTCTGGCAATTTTTAAGTTGTTCATATAATAAAAACAAATGGATAGATTTTACGAATGGGTTGAAAACAGATCCCCACGTATTTAGAAAGGGGATGGAAAGCTTTAATTCTTTTTTTTTTTTTTTTCTTTTTGCAGATCTAAAACTTGGACCTGATCCTCTGGGTATTAATGAAGCTTTTCAGTTTATTTAGTTTATTCACCCAGTTTCAAAGGGCCAAAATTTCTGAGGATAAGTGTTGTTTATGGGTTGAGCATCCTGCTTCTCCCCTCTGTTTCCTGGGTGAATTTTACCCAGCATCCACATTTCATCACATAAATTAAATCACATGAGCTCGTGTGCTGCTGTTCAAAACGCAGAGGTTTTTAACTCAGCACTTAAATAGGGAGCTGTACCTGAAGGCGGGTCCCATAAAACTGCTCTTCTCCACGTTTGAATTTGAATTTTTCATACATGTGACATGTTTGGGACCTGGTGGCTTCTGTCAAGATAGGTCTTGCAGAAATGTGTGTCTCATGAAAAGGGTTTGTTGGTGTTTCCACTCTGTTGCTTGGAAAGGGTTTCTGTCTGGTCTTGGTGTTGCCCAGGCTGCTCTGTGAGCTGATGATGCCCTCCCTGTTCATTTGAGGTACTTTCTTCCTCAGGACTTCTGAGGGAAAACCCAAGACAACCCACAACAATCTCTATTTTGGTCTTATTTTTAATATAGCCGTGGGTAGTATGACAGTTGTTAACACTTGCCACCAACCCCAAATTATATAATGTGCTATGAAAATAAAAATCTCTATGCCAACTCCTTCCCACTCTCAGAGGGGATAAGAAATCACGGAGAGCATAAAACTGACTCTGCATACCTGTGACCACCTTAAAATAACCTCACTCTCAAAAGAAATTTTGTTTCTCTTTCCCAAGCAACTAACTGCCCCACTGTGTCCCTGCTGTGTGCAAGTTTGGCCCTTTGGGAGACAAAAACTCTTAGTTGTAGGGAAATAGGTGTAGGACCTCAGTGTTACAGGGCACTTAATAGCAGCCCGGGGGCCTGACAGAGTTAATGTAACATCCACGTCACCTGAACTATCAGGAGTTTGGTAGAAAAGAAGAGATGAATTATATTGGCTTCCATTCAGAGATTGAAAATCTGTGGTAATTTGAAGTTTCCGAAAATGTAGGAAAATGGGCTGGGCACGGTGGGTACACCTGTAATCTCAGCACTTTGGGAGGCCGAGGTGGGCAGGTCACTTAAGGTCAGGAGTTCCAGACCAGCCTGGCCAATATGGTGAAACCCTGTCTCTACTAAAAATACAAAAACTAGCTGGGCATGGTGGCAGGGCGCCTGTAGTCCCAGCTACTCAGGAGGCTGAGGCAGGAGAATCGCTTGAACCTGGGACATGGAAGTTGCAGTGAGCTGAGATCACACCACTGCACTCCAACCTGGGAGACAGAGCGAGACTCCGTCTCAAAAAAAAAAAAAAAAAAAAAAAGTAGGAAAATTATTTGGGGCCAACACAAGAAAAAGGTTTACATTTTTGTCTCCTACCCTTTTTTTCCCTTTTCTCTCTTCTTATTTCTTCACTATTGCAAATGCTCTGTTATTTTTAAAATTATGCCTCTCCTGGTCGGTGCGGTGGCTCAAGCCTGTAAGCTCAATATTTTGGGAGGCTGAGGCAGGCACATTGCCTGAGGTCAGGAGTTTGAGATCAGCCTGGCTAACATGGTGAAACCCCCTCTCTACTAAAAATACAAAAATTAGCTGAGTGTGGTAGTGCATGCCTGTAGTCCCAACTACTCAGGAGGCTGAGGCAGGAGAATCGCTTGAACCTGGGAGGCGGAGGTTGCAGTGAGCCGAGATCACACCACTGCACTCCAGCCTGGGTGACAGGGCAAGACTCCATCTCACAAAACAAACAAACAAACAAACAAAAAACTCTCCCCGACCTGCACACACATACATACCTACACCACTAGATTTCTGGAAGAGTTAATACAGGTATATACTGGCAAGGAGCCAGTTGACCTTAGGGTTCTTGGAACTTCACAGCACAGTGCGGATGTGTCACTTAGCAGTGACTGAAGGACACATTTCTTTTTCCTAAGCCTCTTTACCCTAATAACCAATTCAATCCTTCACACACACCTGCTATTGAGAAAGCACTTCTGTATTTCTTTTTTTTTTTCCCAAGCCAAACCGTACCTAGCTTTATAAAAGATATGTTCCATAAGCAATCATCGTATTTCAGGCAGGACATGGGTAGACAGTCGTTAACAGTATACAACAACTTTCAAACTCCCTTCTTCTATGGACTACCAATAATCAGAAAGCCAAGATAAAACCCAATAAGTCTTCATCTGATGCTCTGAACAGGGTAAGTTTAGAGTGAGGGTTGACATTTCGCATTTAGCATGTTGTTTAACAACTTTTCACAAGCTGACCCTGACTTTCAGGAAGTGGAATGAAAATGGCAGAATTTATCTGAAGATCCACAATCTAGAAACGGAACCACTGCTCTTTTGAGGGGTGCCATCTCATTGCCATCACTGGAAAGTCCAGATTGTGTGACACACTGGTAACCAATGACTGGGGATCATGTCCCAACAGATGTCTGGCTTTAAGGGAGTTAAGCCTATGCTGAAAGGTGGAAAGGGAGAAGAGGACATAAAATCAAATTTGTTTTTCCCTCCCACAAGGTTTTTGTGCCAAGGTGGACATGTGTATCAAAGTCAGGGAGTCCCCCCTCCTCCTGGGAGCCAAGAGGAAGTCTCTCAGAACTAGAAGGGAAAGGGAAAGGTGTTTTCCCCACATCAGTCCAGCTTCAGAGACATTCTATTAGGGACATATATCCTGTCCTCCAAAAACAACAATGAAGTGTTCTGTGTGCTAACAACATAGCTTAAAGTAAAACAAAATTCTGCATTTTTATAAAACTTGATAAAAAATAGTATTTCAAACTGTACAGTCATCAGAAGTACACAGTTATCAAAAATGCAGACACTTCACTTGGCATCTCCAGCACCTTCAGCTTTCTGGGCCTGGTCTTTTTTGGCAACTCCATTTTCTGTAGGGTTATTCCCCTCCTTGCCAGCATCAGCTTTTCCCTTTTTCCCTTTGGGTACCTTCTCAGGGGCCTTTTTAGGCTTGCTCTGGCTTTGGAGGAGCAGGTTTAGCAGACAACTTTGTGGATCTTCTCTGTGGTTCATCCTTCACCTTGGCTTCATCTCCTTCAGCATCCCCCTCAGCCTTTCTCTTGGGCATGCTGGCAACAACAGCGACGGGACGTAGGTGCTGGGCACAGGATGTGGTGGTGTGCGGGCTTTGGTCGGTCCGGGGGTCGTTCTCGCCTCTTCTTCTTCACACTGCTCCGTACTTCTGTATTTCTTACTCACCAGAGATGCAGACATCATACGAGCATCCCTGGCATTCCTTGGGCTTTATTTATTTTTGAGACAGAGTCTCGCTCTGTCGCCCAGGCTGGAGTGCAGTGGTGTGATCTCGGCTCACTGCAGCCTCCACCTTTCAGGTTCAAGCAGTTCTCCTGCCTCAGCCTCCCGAGTGAGTAGCTGGGATTACAGGCTCCTGCCACCATGCTCGGCTAATTTTTGTATTTTTAGTAGAGACAGGGTTTCACCATGTTGGCCAGGCTGGTCTCGAACTCCTGACCTCAAGTGATCCGCCCACCTCGGCCTCCCAAAGTGATGGGATTACAGATGTGAGCCACTACACCCGGCCCTATTTATTTATTTATTTTTAACTGAATGTCTCCTCTCTCTTGGGCAGGCTGGGATGCATGATCTCATGTGGGCACAGTCTCCTGGTGCCCAGATATGCACCTCTACAGTGGGGATGGCAGTGGTACCTTCTTCATAGGGAGAACACGTTTCTAGCCCATAGATTCTTCTGACATTCAGTAAATGTCAGGCATCCTTATAGTTATTAGTTGAAAGAATGTTGGTTGGGATTAGAAGTATATTATATTTAATTTAAAAAATTTTAATGTTAATTGTTATGGGAAATAATGGGCATATATATTTATGAAGTACAAGTGATGTTTTGATACAGGCATGCAATATGTAATAATCACATCAGAGTAATTGAGGTATCCATCTCAAGTATTTATCATTTCTTTGTGTTAGGAACATTCTAATTCCACCCTTTTCGTTATTTAAAATATATAATAAGTTATTGTTCACTGTAGTCACCCTGTTTTGCTATCAAATACTAGATCTTATTCATTCTATCTAGCTGTGTTTTTGCTCCCATAACCATAGAACTATATTCTGTGGTCATATAACCAAATAAAGCTAAGTAGGTCACTGAACAGTTGAGCCCAAATCTTGTTCCTCATCAACTGAAGATACCTGGCTGGCTTCCTGCTTATAATAACAGTGGACACAGTCTTCTGGGGCCCAGATATGCACAGTGAGGCATAATGCATTTGGAGAAAAAGCGTTGGTTTCCAGAAAGAGTCCATGATATTATCATAGACGGCAGATGAAATTCCTGTCATGCAGTGAATAGTGGGGTAAAATCTCCCCTGTCATTGTTTGTGGGAGTCTTCAGCATCTGGCACACTTTTTTGTCCTTCACAAGCTCTGTGTCTGTCTTTACTGGTTCCATTTTCTATTATTCCTCTTCTTGG
This sequence comes from Homo sapiens, assembly GCF_000001405.40. Taxonomy (NCBI): domain Eukaryota; kingdom Metazoa; phylum Chordata; class Mammalia; order Primates; family Hominidae; genus Homo; species Homo sapiens. Next base: position 42,111,980 of record NC_000007.14, on the reverse strand, counting down.
GCTCCTATTTCCTGGATGTCCAGGGCTTTACACCCTGGAGCTAAGCACTAGGGTGGCCACTTTCTGGATCTTGCTTTAACATTCCCCATACCGGGTGCACTGCTCACAATGGGTCATCTAGTGTTTTTCCAGCTTACCCGCAATGCTCATGATCACGTTACAGACTGTGCAAACCTAAGCCATCCCACCTGGTTTCTGTGCTCCTTTTCCTGGACTAAAGAGAGCGAGCTGAGGAAAGAACAGAGCTAGGTGAGCTAGCTGGTAGAAAAGGTGCTTAGCTTCAGGGAAGCTTAAGTGCTCTAGAACTTTATTTCTTGTTGCTGTGTCTCATGCACCTGATATTGGCTATTTGAAACATTTTCTACCTTCCTCAGGCCTGCTCTCCTGCCTTTGGCCCATAGAAAATGACACAGTTTCTTGAAGTATCACCTCCATTCTATTCCTGGTGTCCTGTTCATGTCTGGGCTGTGGTAATGGCCTTCAGACTTTCTGTTCTCCAGTCTGTCCTTCATACTGCTGCCTTGTTAATCTTCTTGAAATGCCCCCAAGATTACCTTCCTGCTCAGACCATAGCTACTCACTGACAACACCGTCCAGACCCCTTGATCTGACCCCTTGAGCTACCTTGCAACTTGGCACCTATGAGAACACTCTCACACTGCTGAACTTGCCTCACCTGAGCAGATCTTATGCTGTAGTTCGCTGGTACTCATATCCGATCCCAGCACTCTGCATGCATGCCTTGCCCCTTGTTTTCGGCCTCAGTCCAGTCTCACTCTTGGCAGGAGACTTTCTGGCAAAACTTAGTGTGGATAAGGGTTGATAGACTATGCAAGTTGTTATTTACTTATTATTTATTTCAGCCAACCCTGTAGTAAGTCCTTAATAATCTTTAATACTGCTTTTCCTACTCTGGTAGTAATTATAGAAGAAGATTGAGGCTTACAGAAGATGAATAGCCTTCCAGAGTTTGCATCTCTAGTGGTAGAGTTGGGATTCAAACCCAAGTTTGACTGGTTTCCAAAGCTCGTGCTGTTCTGGACTCTTGTCGTTCTCAAACCACCACAGGCTCATGTGCCACCAACCAGAGCTGGGAGCCATTTTGCACTGGGTGTCTACTGTCCTTGGGGCAGACAATCACTGAATAAGTTGATGTTGCTTTTCAGGAACCCATTTACTAAAAGAAACAAAATGTGTCGGTTCCATTATTTATTCATTTAATTGCAAATCCCTCCTTTTCCCTCTATCATTTAAAGTTAGTATGTGCTCTACTTTAATTAAAAATAATATTTTGGAAATAACTTAAAAACAGCTTAAGATAATTGCAACACTGTGGTATTCACAAAACCAAGTGTTGGCTTCCTGTGTTTTGTAGATGCTGTGCAGGGCATGTGTTTTTGACCTCTGTTCTGAATTACCGGGTTTATTATGGCTTTCTCTTCACACCGTGGGCTTGTCCTTTCTTGGACTTACCATGGTTTTAAAGTAGGTGATTGTATGTGGAAATAACGAATGTCCACTTCCGTTGCCTGTGCTGCTGACACGGCCTCTTGAATGCCTAGCATGATGCAGACACATAATAGGCATCCAACCAATCAGTATCTGTTGAAGTTTGAATGAATGAATGAATGAAAATATGAATGAATGGAGATGCACCTTTATTTGGGTATCCTATGCTGGATTTTTAGAAAAGTTGGTTGTAAAAGGAATTTTTAAAATTGAATTCTACTATAAAACTGAAAATTAATTTATTTGTATGGAGATACTAACAATAAATTTTGGAAACATTTGAAGAAAGGAATAAGACAGAGGTTGGTTCCTCTGTCTTTTTGTTACACAGAATTTTTTGTGAGATTCTTCCACTTACTACCCCATTTTTTCTTGGCATTATCTGTGGCCGCCTTCAGGCATCAGTCATGATTCTTGCTGTTATAATAAAACAAAGCCTTATATAAGAAAGATATGCATATTCCTGACACTTAATTCCATTCACAGAAAAGTAATGCTTGGTTTTCTATAAAAAAAGTATCCTAAAGAGGTATAGCCAGCATCCGTAGCAAAGTAATCCATAACTTACTGTTTTCTTGGTCAGTGTTCCTTCCTGTCAGGCAAAGTTAAAATCTTTCTTTTGCAAGTGGAAAAGCCGACGTTCATAACTGCTGCTGATTGTGCCCATTTTAGAGCAGGATGTTTCCCTCTGCCAGGAAGATGTCCAGTTCCAGGGTATGGAATTTGTCTTTGTCAGTAGGCGTCTCTTCATCTTATTTGTTGATTCTTCATTGTTCTGAAACCTCTCGTCCCAGAGGTTAGCTTCAGTTCCGGGAAAACAAGGTTTTCCAAATAAAGTCCACTTCTGCTCTGCCGTGTTTCATTCGTTATTTTCACTGTCAGCTCAGAATGCTCAACTGGAAAATGCCAGTGCCCTGCTGGTTTTTCTGTAGTCCTCTCACTTTCTGATTGTGTGGCTTCAAGGGCAGGACATTATGCTCTCATTCATTACAGTCTCTAGGCCACTTTCCTCCCAAGGCTTTCTGGTGCATATCAGCCAAAACATCAGCAATATCTTATTATAGCCCATGGGGTTTGTGTGGGACTTAAATTTCCTGAGGTGCCAGACTTCCAGGAATTCTACTTTCCAAAACATGGGGTTGCCTGTCAGTGAAAGCAATGTCTTTCTTTATCCAGCTCTTGGCTGCCCTGTAGTGACTGTGATGAACCGCAGATTTGTTCATGGATGCTGGCAGTTAACTTAGTTTTGTAGGAGGGGTTGGATTAAAGCAAGGTGCCTTTATTTAGCTGGGAAAACAAAAGATTGTAGGGGGCCATGGTTAAATGTCTACCAGTACTTAAAGAGCTATCGCATAGAAAAGCAATTACACTTAATGTAGGTGGCGTCAGAATGCAGCGCTAAGATGCATTGATGGGCTGGGCAAAAGTTAGAGGGAGGCCAGTGTGGTGGGGTGGAGGGGACAGGATTTCTTGTGCATAGAGCAGTGTGAAAGGAGGGTGATGGCGTCAGACTTCCAGTTCTCAGAGACAGGGGTGGGAGGGTGTTTCAGGTTAGGCTGGATGACTGCTGGTGGAGGGTGGGATGGGGACGTCGTGCAAAGGATTCTTGCAAGGGATGGTTGCAATAGATAAATAGATAATTTAAAAAGATGCCTTCCAGCTCTGAAATCCCATGGTTTTATTATGCTAAGGTAAGCCATTTTAGGGCAGCTTCACTCTTTTCCTTTCCCTTTCTCTTTCTTTTTCCCTCTGTAATTGTGGAATCTATTTGTGTGTGTGGCTTATGCTAAAGAAGTCTTAATCATGTATTATTTCCTATCCTCTTACTTTGAAATGGTCAGACTTCTAGCTGAGTTGTGTTTGGGCACTGTAGAGGGAGGCAGGGTGTCTGTGTACAGTTGTGCTGGGTGTTTACTGCACAAAGGACAGAAATAAGGGGCTAAACTTGAACACATACTCTGCTCACCAAGCTACCCAGAGGAAGAGTCTATCTTTCCAGTTTGCGGAAAGCGCCATCAGCTCACCAAGCTGAGTGCCAGAGGGGCTAGGTCTCCCCAGAAGAGGCATAGTTTTCTAATCTGTTAGATTAGAGGTTTCTAGTCTAATCTGAAGATGCTGGTCATGACTCTAGAGGGAGGCATAACATATCATTTTTAATTTATCAGGATTGACAAAGTTAAGTCTAGACACATCTGTGAATTCCGTGGTGGGCTGTACAAACACAGTGCTAACTATTGCTACTAACGGTGCAAAGTTCCATTAAGCATCCACGTATTTCTGCGGACTCACCAAGCATTCAGGTCCTTGGAAGCATCTGGAGGATTTGCTCAAGTTTTCACTTTTCATCTGGATATTTGACATTGTGTGCACACAGCTCTGTGCATTCTCCTTCTAGCCCAGGAGATTCCTTTTGACTCTTCCATTCACCCTCAATCCTCAGGGGCAATAAATTTGGTTGAAAAGCAGTTGAGGATTTATGAATGTGAGGCACATAAAACCCCTTTGGATTCTCAGACTTACACTAAACAAACTTGTGAGTGTGCCAGTGAAGAGGAAAAAGTTTAAAAAATCCAGCACGCCACCGGCAAGGTTGGTTATTTTTTAAAACAACAACAACAGTAAACAAAATGGAAACAAAACACAGGTCGCGTTGCTGATAGCAGGCAGCAGTTCTTTGAGCAGGCGTGAAGAGATGCAGAGATTGCTGTGCATTTGTGAAGTGTCCCCAGAGACAGATTCCTTAAGCCTTTCTCCACCCTCTGGCCTTGTCACTGTTCCTCCCTCCTCTGGAATGTGGAGGAAATACTCCCCACCCATCCATTCACAAAAACCCTGGAAGAGAGCCACCTTCCCTCCACTTTTCTCATCTGCCAGCTCCTGCTCTGTTCTCTGGCCCCTCTGCATCGCCTGCCCTCAGTGCCATTCTCAGTCAGCAAGGGCAGAACTCTCGCTGTCCCCTGCCTTCAGTGTCAGCCCTGTGACTGTTGTCCTGCGACCTGTTTCTTATGCCCAAATACCCTCAGTCGCCTGAGTTGAATACACTCCGTGCTTCTGTGCAAGTTCATGAGTTGGTGCCATTTCTTTTTAGCTACCCTGATGCTTTTGTGTTTCTGTTTTTTGTTTGTTTGTTTGTTTGTTTTCCCTTTGAGACAGGGTCACTGTCGCCCAGGCTGGAGTGCAGCGGTGTGATCTCGGCTCACGCAGCCCCGACCTCCCGGGCTCAAGGGGTCCTTCCACTTCAGCCTCCTGAGTAGCTGGGACTACAGACTTGCACCTTCACACCTGGCTAATTATTTTATTTTATTTTATTTTATTTTGAGCAGAGACAGGGTCTTGCTGTGTTGCCCAGGCTGGTCTCAAACTCCTGGGCTCAAGCAGTTTGCCAGCCTCGGCCTCCCAAAATGCGAGGATTACAGGTGTGAGCCGCCACACCTGACACAATTTTGTGTTCCATTTCTCTCTTTGGAAATCTTCACAGTCTTTAATTACTACAAATCAGTAGTTCCCACATTGTTGGCAGTAAGAAATGGAAAAAATATCCGCCCTCCCCACCGCCCCCTCCCCTCCAAAAAAATACTGTGGGGCAGATACCAACATAGGGATACCAGATATTTGTCCAAATATGGGCATGGCAGGGCTGGGGTAAGTTGGGACACTGGAAAATAGCAAACAATTCCCAGAGCATTCTCTGCTGTCATTACCATTTCACAACACAAAGGCTGTTTTCACACCACGAAGTAGGAAGAACAGATTATTGAGCAGAGGACATTCTTTGAAAATGAGTAACTTTAGCTGTGTGAAACATTCATCACTTCAATCCTTCTTGTTCTCATTTTGTGTCTATTTATTCCATATAATTATAGATTTCCAACCAGTATGTAGAGGCCACTGCTGCAAATGATTCTAAAAGAAGGAGCTCTTCTGTCCAGCAGCAAAACAAATACAGAGCCCACCAGGGAGGCCCACCTTACCTGGGCAGGAAGCTACCAGATGCCTTGGCAGGAGCCCGTCCTTGCTCATGTGGCCATAAGATCTGTTGTGACTAGGGTTCCTATTGCAGCTGGAGGGACACAGAGATTAGGAGCACCTTGCAGCCTAGATTTCTGCAGGAGCAAGAGGGGTGGGCATTGGACCCTGAGGCCTTAGGCTGGGGACAGCACAGTTCTGAGGGCCAGGTGCTGAGTGGGTGTCTGTGAGCATGCTCAGCCTCTGGGCTGTGCTCTCAGAGGACGTGCAGATATCAGACATTTACAGTGAGCAGCATGGAAACTGCGGGCTGCATGAGGATGCCTGTTGGACGGTGAGGCCAGGCTGCCCAATTACGGAACATGCTGGAACTGCTGGGGAGATGGAGGCCAGAAAACACATGCTTCTTCCTGCTTGCCCGGCTGCTCCACCCCTGCCTCTTTTGGCTTTTATACTTTCCAGCCTGCTTGGCCAAAAACCAAATGCAAAAAGGATGAGAGAAACCTTTAGGGGCTAAAAGGAAGGTTCATCATTGAGGTATGTACTGAGAAATTTGATTTCCTGGTGGGGTGTCTGGGCCCCTTGGATAAGCGGATGTACCTCGGGCGTGACCTCACACCCCGCTCATTAAAATCAGTCTTATGTGACTGCAGACGTGGAGGTGCTTGTTTACGAGAGACAGAGCTGCCTCTTTGCTTGAGGAAAATTGATTTCCATTCAACAGATGTGTATGGAGAGCTGGTTCCCCCGAGGCTAGCACTGGACACACACAGTCTATTAAGGCCCAGCCCTAAGTGGGAGGATTCACACCTTGCAGATTCTGCTGTTTGCTTGATGAAGTGGAACTAAAGAATGCTGTTTTTAAATTCAGATGTACATTTCCTGAAAAGATTTTCTATCATCTGTGATTAACTTAAGTACATATTATCTTCTTTTTAAATCTTTCCCTGATTTTCTTTCTCCTTCCCCACGGCGTCATCCTATCTCCCCATCTCTCATTTTCCTCTTACTTCCTTTCGCTTCTCGCTTTTCTCTCTATGCCAGTGCATTTTCTTTTTCATGGAGTTTTGCTTTTATTTAGAGTAATTTTTATAAATATTTGAAACTAAATTTATGCTTCTCAGAAACAAGATTCTTTCTGAAAACATACTTTGGGTGATAAAGATGTAATCTGCTTCCAAATCTTTCCAAATCTGGGTGTAAATTATGAAACAGAAAAAAAAAGAAGCAGCCATTTAGTACCTGATTATCAGTCCACATCAAGCCAAGTTCAGTGTGCCTTCCTGAATTTGCCCACTTGAATTCAGGGCACACAGTAGCAGGCACATGTCAGACCAGGAGTTAGAAACACACGGCTTCAGGACTGGCCATGAAGGACCCAGGGCAGATTATTTATTCTGTTTGAACCCCAGTTTCCTCACCTGTAAAATGAAGGCAATTTCACAGTGTTTCTTTGGATAAATTCAGATAATAATTATCAAAGTTCCTGGCAGTATCACAGTCTTAATCTGTTCAGGCTGCTGTAACAAAATACCATAAATGGAGTGGCCTATAAACAGTAGAAATTTATTTCTCACAGTTCTGGAGACTGAGAAGTCTCAGATCAAGGTGCCAGCAGATTTGTTGTCTGATGAGGACCTGTCTTCTGGTTCATAGATGGCCTTCTTCTCACTGTGTCCTCACGTGGTGGAACGGCCAATAGGTTCTCTGGGGCCTCTTTAAAAGGAACCCCATTCATAAGGGCTCCACCCTTATGAACACCTCCCAGTTGCCATACTGCCAAATACCATTACATTGGGGATTAGAGTTCAATATGTGAATTTTAGAAGAATATATTCAGTCTATAGCAATGTTGTAACTTTAAATGTTTCCCTGAATCAATCCATCTTTAAACCTTTTTTAAGCCAAGAGTTTGAATCTCAGAAATGTGTGTTTATTAAATGATGATTTCATAATCTCACACCCATTACACATAGTAATCTCAGGAGTGGTTCATTGATTCAGTAAATATTTGGAAATGCCTACTTTATGCCAGATTCCTTGCTGTGTTTATGGGATTCAAAGATTAGTAAGACATTTTTCCCGCCCTGCCTGTTTACCCACTGTAGAGATGGGAAGTGGGAAATGCTAGAGCGGATGTGTGAACAAGGCTGGAGGGTGCAGATGTCAGGGCGTCTTCACAGGAGACTGAACTGGGTACTGAAGGATGTTGGGTACGCAGTATGTCTAGGTAGGTTTTACGTGATGCATTATCTTCTTTTCTGACAACATCTTTAATTTAGACTAATGTTGACTTTTGGAGAAGTGAAGTTCAGGATTTTACTGAAGATGATAGATTCCTAACTACTGGCCTAACTGTCTGGCACCATTTTATTTTTCAATGCTTTCATCTTCTTCAAGTGGAGACCGTAAGTATGCTCATATACTTGTACAGGGCACCAAACAAAGCACATCGTCCTCAGAGATACAGTGAACAGTCAAGGAAAGAGATGCACAGTGAATACTAGAAAGTCAGCTGGCCCCTCACGTGACACCCACATGCCTAACATCATCATCAGCACCATCATTACTATTGTTCTCACTTCTTTTATTAACTCTGTTATTATTTATGGTTCATGGTAATGCATTATCAGATTGTAGCACTTTTATTTCTACCTTTTCCTCTTTTCTGAGTCTCTTCACATGCCAATCTACATCTGAAGCTTGAGAGACAGATTTAGGGCCCCATCCTGACTCCTTATCTTGGGTTATCTTGGGTGCTCTTGGATAGGTGATTTAGTGTCTTTATGCCTCAGTGTTCGCAGCTGAGAAATGAGGATTCAGATATCTACGTCACTGGAATGTGAAAAGGACTGGGTGAGGTCATGTGTGTTAAGCATAGCACTTGGCCAAAGTGTAATAGCTGAAGAAATAGTTGCAGAGAGGTTCCCTAAGTATCTTGGAGAATCAGTTATCTTGGTTCCCCAATTACATAGTGAGCTGCTTTCAGAACTTGAATCAAAGCCACAGTCTTTTGCCTCCTAGTCCTGCTTTTTTTTTTAATAAGATACATTTGATCTTTGAATCATGTCACTGTATAAATCGGAGATTGGATAAAAAGTTCAGCTATTTATGGCACTGTGGGGGGTTTAAGGACATGTGTACAAGTTTTTGATACTCCTGCCCTCAGGAGGTGGGACTTCCTTCCTCTTTCCTTAATGACTTACTTCCAGTGAAGTGATGGGATGGCACTTCTAAAATTAGATTACAAAAGGACTGTGACTCAGGTGGCTCTCTTGCCCTCCCTCTTGAATCCCTCACTCTGGGGTGGACAGTGGCCATGCCATGAGGACACTCAGCTGGTGGAGAGGCTGTATGGGGAGGAGCCAAGTCTGGAAACATACTCTCCCCCAGTCAGGCCTTGAGGTGACTGCAGCCTCCTGAGAGACCCTCAGCCGGAGCCACTCAGCTAAGCCGCTTCCGGATTCTCTACCCTCCAAAAGTGTGAGTTAGTACATGTTCACTATTTTCACCTGCTACATGGAAGGTCAATTGTGATTAACTCAGCATCTATCTGCAGAATGGAGTTCAAAGCGTCTTAAGCTTTGAGTTTGCTGTATGTTATAATATGCCACAATTAGGCATTTCTGCGCCAGTGTGACCGGCGAACTGAGATGGCACTCCCATATCCTTGTATTCAGGGGGTTGTTAAAGACAAAAGTTTCAAATGACCCTGCTTGACTTAGGGACAAGCCGGAGCAGGATTGCTGTTCACCTGCAGTTCAGCTCACCATGTCTGAGCCTTAGATAATTTACGTCTTATAGCAGAAACATTTAGAATCATAAATGTTCTAATCCTAGGCATGGGAAGAGATTTGGTGTAACTTGCCTGGTGAGGCACTGAAGCCCAAGAAGTTAAGTGCACACCCAGCCTGTACAGCTGCTCGGTGGCTGGGCTGTTGAGGTTTTCCTCCTGCATCAGCCAGGGCTATTGGGTTACATGCAACAGAAACTGATTCCAACCCTTGCACCAACAGGAATTGCTGGGATGACATAGAATTGTCTTAAAATTGTCAGAAAATCTCGAGAAGCAGGTGCTGTAGAGGCATAGGAAGCAGGCGTGAGAGTCTCCCTGGGGGAATGAGCTCTGACTGCTTCTCCTTCCCCCAACTCAGGCTCAGGACTCAGGCTTTCAGCAGAGGCCGTCTGCTATCAGAGCCAGGTACCCTGGCTGTCTTGGGCAGTGAGGCTCATGGATTTTTTAAAAAAATGATTCCTCAGGGATCTAGAACTAGAAATACCATTTGACCCAGCCATCCCATTACTGGGTATATACCCAAAGGACTATAAATCATGCTGCTATAAAGACACATGCACACGTATGTTTACAGCGGCATTATTCACAATAGCAAAGACTTGGAACCAACCCAAATGTCCAACAATGATAGACTGGATTAAGAAAATGTGGCACATATACACCATGGTATACTATGCAGCCATAAAAAATGATGAGTTCATGTCCTTTGTAGGGACATGGATGAAATTGGAAACCATCATTCTCAGTAAACTATTGCAAGAACAAAAAACCAAACACCGCATATTCTCACTCATAGGTGGGAATTGAACAATGAGATCACATGGACACAGGAAGGGGAACATCACACTCTGGGGACTGTTGTGGGGTGGGAGAGGGTGGAGGGATAGCATTGGGAGATATACCTAATGCTAGATGACGAGTTAGTGGGTGCAGCACACCAGCATGGTACATGTATATGTATGTAACTAACCTGCACAATGTGCACATGTACCCTAAAACTTAAAGTATAATAATAATAAAATAAATAAATAAATAAATAAAAAGATACTAGCAAACGAAATTCAGCAGCATATTAAAGCAATTATACATTTAAAAAAAAAAATTGAGACAGAGTCTTGCTTTGTCGCCCAAGCTGGACTGCAGTGGTGCCAACATGGCTCACTGCAGCCTCCACCTCCCGGGCTCAAGCAATCCTACTGCCTCAGCCTCATGAGTAGCTGGAACCAGAGGTGTATGCCACCATACCTGGCTAATTTAAAGAAAAAAAAAATTGTAGAGACCAGGTCTTGACGTGTTGTCCAGGGTGGTCTCGAACTCTTGGACTCAAGCAGTTCTCCCACCTCAGCCTCCCAAAGTGCTGGGATTACAGGCGGGAGCCACCACGCCAGTCCTGGATTTTTTATTTATCACCCCAGAATGCCTAAATACAGTAGGAGAGAAGTTAATTCTGCAAAGGAAATCAGAGTTCTGTGGGAAGAAGGAATAGATGCTTCACAGCCAGAAAATGACGATGGGCATACTGCACATGCTTTCCTCTTCTCAGCTCTTCTGAGGGTTGTTAGGTTCTTTGTTTCTTGTCAATATTTACTGCTACTCCTACTCACAGGAGAAGAGAATGTAGCCTCTTCAAAAGTCACTGGTATAGGGCGGCCTTCCCAAAACAAAATTGTAAGGAAACCCAGGTGTGTATGTTTGCTAGCACTGCCAGAACAAGGTACCACAGACTGGGGGCTCAAAACAACAGAAATTTATTATCTGTCAGTTCTGGAAGCTGAAAGTCCAAAATCAAGGTATTGGTAGGGCCATCCTCCCTCTGAAATCTTAAGGGAGGATCCTTCCTTGCCTCTTCCAGCTTCTGGAAGCCCCAGGCAATTCTTGTCTCATGGCAGCATCACTCTCTGCCTCTCTTCCATGGCTGTCTTCCTGTGGTGTGTCTGTGTACAAACCCCCACCCCCTCTTCTTTTTCTTGGAAAGAGTCTTGCTCTGTCACCCACACTGGAGTGCAGTGGTGCAATCTCAGCTCACTGAAACCTTCGCCCCCTGGCTTCAAGTGATCCTGCCACCTCAGCCTCCCAAGTAGGTGGGACTACAGGCGTGCACCACCACACCTGGCTATTTTTTTTTTTTTTTATGTTTGTAGAGACGGGGTTTTACCATGTTGCAGAGGTTAGTCTGAAACTCCTGAGCTCAATCGATCTGCCTAGTTTGGCCTCCCAAAGTGCTGGGATTACTGGTGTGAGCCACCACGCCCAGCCACAGATCCCCTCTTATAAAGACACTAGGAGTATTGATTTAGGGCCCATCCTAATGACCTCATCTAACCTGATTGCTTCTGCAAAGCCCTATTTCCAAATATGGTCACATTTACATATACCAGATGTGAGGGTTTCAACATATCTTTTAAAGGGACACAGTTCAACCCACTGCACCAGGCAGCTGTGGCTTCCTCCTTCCACAGCATAGAAGGTGGCCACATGCTGCTGGACTTTCACAGTCACAGTCCCTTTATCTGTGCTTTGGCTGCACCGGGCAGCTCCCAAGTCTTTGTTTTCAGCTCCGTGAGAAAATACTGGGGTTGGGAGTGGGAGACACTGGTATTGATTGACTTGGCATGTTAACTACCCACTTGCTATGAGAAAGCTGCCTGTGTTTAGACTTGAAGAGGATGACACAGACTTTATAAACACATTATCCAATGAGCAGCTCTTCATTACAAAGACATGTTGATGCTGGTTACAGAGAAAGAGAGTGGATTGGCACTAACGTGCCCGTGATCCTCATGGAGAGAAAATACTTTGGCATGTGCATGCTGTCACAGAGACTTCTAGAATGTCAGACTGTTTCGAAAGTGTGTTTTGTCTTATATTTAAAATATCATGGCCAGATGCAGTGGATCATGCCTGTAATCCCAGCACTTTGGGAGGCCAATGTGGGAGGATCACTTGAGGCCACAAGTACGGGACCAGCCTGGGCAACATAGCAAGACTCTGTCTCTACAAATAATTTTTTTTAAATTAGTGAGGTGTGGTGAGTGCCTGTCATCCCAGCTACTCAGGAGAATCACTTGAGTTCGGGAGGTCGCAGCTGCAGTGAGCTGTGATCGCACCTCTGCACTCCAGCCTGGGCAACAGAGTGAGACCCTGTCTCTAAAAATAACTAACTAAACTAACATATCTCTAAAAATAATTAAATAAATATAATATGTTCATTGCACAAAAATTTAAAGTTACAGAAAAAAACAAATCTAGTAAATTACAAATATGTTTACTGTTAACGAAAAAAGCCTGTTAAGTATGCTCTATTTCAATTATTTCATGTATTGATTGAATGAGTCATTGGTTGGTTGGTGGATTGCTTTTCAGTTATAAAAACAATGTGTATGGGAGATGGTGTCGAATTCAAAGGAAGTAATCACTCAAAGTGAGCATTATTGGGAGAATGTGAAACCTTGGCTTGCATATGTATTTCCTAACCCGAAGTTTTGGCCTTAAGCTGATCAAACATGTCAAGTTACTATCAATGTAGCAACTGGTTGCTCTGAAAATGGCATGTCCAGGGATCCCTATGTGGATAGTGGGGAAGAGGGCGGAGCATGAAGTCCCTGGGCAGAACTCACTCAGCCTTGGTAAATTGTACTCCTTGATATCACCACCCTCTCCTTGGCACGGGGGAGCAGGCAGGGGATAGAGCCACTCTCAGGGCAGATGTATCCCTGGATGAATGGCGACAGCTCTTCCTTTTGGATGCCCCACTGTTAGGATCACCCACAAGGGTCCCCTCTTCTACCCACGCAAGCTTATGTATTTCAGCCTCAAAACACTCTGAGAGAATAAATAGGAATTGGGTTGTGATATTTGCGACCTATCCTCTCTGTACCCAAGCAGGATAAAGAGAGTTCTATACTGGGCCCATTTTATTTCCGTTTTCTCTTGGGGTAGCTGAAAAATCTGACCCAATGGGGAATAAGGGACATTTGTAATTGGGGTGAAAAGCATTGCTAGAAATGAGGCATTGTGGTAGTCCCAAATGATAGGGTGGAAGATAGCCTAAATTGACACAGCACTTTCCAGCTTGTAAAGCATATTTATAAACACGATCTTATTTTGGTTTGGATTCCTAAAATGACCAGTAGGTTTATATGGTAGGTTTTACACCTGAGAAAATGGATGTTCAGAGATATGGAGTCATGTGTACAAGGTTATTCTGGGGAACTGCCTCAGAGCCCTCTGCTGTACATCGAATAGGAGCCCCATGAAACAGAAACACATCACCTCCCTGATCCTATAGGTGAGGAAACTGGGACTCAAAAACTTCAAGAGGGAAGGCCCCTGAGGTTTTTTTTTGGAAATGGCTGACATGGGGCTAAAATGTAGAGCATCTTTTTCCGTTAGCGTGGGTCAGTTTTTAGTACATTACACAGAGACAGAGAGATGGGGATAAAAACAAACTTTTCTATGGTCTAATAATGAGAATTTGTTCAGCGTGTGATGAGGAGGGCATGTGCAAGTACATCCACATTGATTCCTGCCTTCCCACAGCCACTGAGCACTCTTCTTCACGTGTCGTTTCTCTCTGTGGTCATACCTGCAGGCTGTGGAAAATAAATCTGCTTTAGGGAGTCAAGGCTGTGGCTTTAGGTCCTCACTCTTCCACTTTTCAACTGTGAGTCATTGGGCTTATTGCTTAACCTCTCTGAGCATAATCTGATCCGCAAAGAGGAGATAATATCATATGCCTCCTGGGATTGTCATGGGATTTGAATAAGGCCAGTAAGTTCTCAGAAATGGGCTAGGCACACAGGAAGCAGCTGGTAGATGATTTTCCCTCCCTGGTATGTCTGGTATAGAACATATACCCTGACATCTGTCCACTAGGGGTGTCGTAGAAGGACATGGCCTGAGCAGAACTGAGGCCCTTGAAGGTTGTCATGGAGAGGAACGTAGGCTCATAAAGCCAAGTTCTGCAGAATTACACGTTTACTCACTTCAGGACAGAGAAAATGGCATGATAATTTTTAAAAAGTTATTTTTTCTTCTTTCAAAGGACAAAGGCTTGAGAGAGACATTTTGTTAAATTTTAGATCAGTAAATGCTGTTTGCCAAGTAATGTCTAAGAGAGGGGATCCTGGCCATTTCCATGGACACGAGAGCCCCTGCTGGGTCCCGTGCTCCTGGCAGGCTGCTGGTGTCCAGGGGAAGGGGGGCTCCCGGGGTAGGCCCCAGGCATCACCTGCGTCTCCCTCCAGCATCTCCCCTCGTGCTTAACCAGAGCCTGGGCCAGGGCCTGTGAGGCTGAGACCGTCTGGGGTCTGATGCCTGCTGCTTCCTGTCTCACATCTCCCGCCCCCTGCCCCTCCATCTTCCAGGGGGAGCGACTGTCTCTAATAGGGTGGCTGTGACAGATGCTGTGGGAATTCTGAGTTTGGGATAATGAGCTGTCATATGTCATTTCACTTAAACACAATAATACAAATATTTTGATCAAACATTTTCTCCAGCTGTTGAACGAAAGCAATAAAAGCAGCAGGGAGTGCCAGTGAATTCTCTGTTTCTGAAACGCTTTACCCTTTAAAAGCTGTTGCCTGTTAACTCCTTCTATCTCTGTCTGTCTCCTTTCCCTCTCCTTTTCCTGGCCTCTCTGATTTCCCACTGCATGCCTAGTCTGGGGCTATAAATAAAGAGGCTGAATTCAGGGATGTGAAGGGGGTGAAATTGAGCACAGCTTTTTATTAAACATCCCTTAGGCTGGCCGCAGAGCAACCGCAGCTGCTGTGAACTTGTAAAACCTGGCTTGGCCTGGCCACTGCAGCACAGCCTCCAAGTGTTTCCCCAACCCTCACAATCACATCCAACTTTTAGGCAACAGTCTTTTGAGATAACCTATCTTTGATGGCACCAGGCCCTTGGAGCTCTGTGGCTGGAGTCTGGTTTCATGGCTGATTTCCATGGCAGAGTTCTCTGGGCCCTTGCTGCTTACTCTCCATGCTCTGACCTGGCTTCTGGAATCTCTTCCTTCCCCCTCTCCAGGCAGAGAGGGATGTGGCTGCTCCAGGCAAAGTGGAGGGTCAGGAGTCTGAAGGGACCCTGAACACCCGCTCTTGGAGGATCTTAGCAGTTCTCCTTGCCAGTGGGCAGCAAAGGTGTGACCGCTTTGAATGCGTCCTTCAGGCTGAAACTCCCAAGA
Source organism: Homo sapiens (assembly GCF_000001405.40). NCBI lineage: Eukaryota > Metazoa > Chordata > Mammalia > Primates > Hominidae > Homo > Homo sapiens. The sequence goes on along the minus strand of NC_000007.14, from coordinate 42,096,525 downwards.
GGAATGCCCTGTACCCTGCTCCCCTTTTAAACCATGACCTCTGACTCAGCAATGCTACCAAGTTTGAAGTTTCTCCCGTGAGCCTGCTGTTTAGGGGTGGGACCAGATCAGGTGCTTTACTTGACACTGGACACTCTTTAAAGCCAGCCCGTTCCTGTACTCTCCCATCCCTCTCCTTTATTTCTGGGGAAGCGAGTTTGAGCTAACCTGCGTCCTATTCTGGATTCTAGGGACCCTGACTCCATCGGTACTCTCCTTTCTCACTTCATTCTTCCTCCACTTCGGTGGCTCCAGTGCCTTCCACCCATAAACAAACAGAGTCAAAACATCCACACAGCACTTCTGGCCTTGGGTCTTCTCTAGCTGCTGCCCTGTCTTCTCTATTTGCAGCCGAACATCCCGGAGTGCACCACAGTGTTCACCCTGGCTTCTCCACCCGTCAGCTCCCTGCAGTGCACACACCCTGGCTCCGGAAGCTGTGCATCTTGCCTGAAACTGCCTCCTCCCTCTGGCCCCTTGGAGGCCCCTGACTGGTGGTTGTCCTGTGTCTCTCCTATTTCCTCCTTGCACAACTCTGCTTCCTCCCCTCATCCCTTAACTGCCAGCCTCCCTCCAGGTTTCCTCTTCCTGTACCTTCCCTGGAGATATCACTAACTCTGATGTCACCATCCACTCCTGTGATCGCCTCTCCCGCCTCCATCTCCAGGCTAGACGTGGCTCTCAAATCCCAGATCCACCTCCCTCCAGACATCTACCAGGAGCCTGGCTGTGGTGGTCACCTCAAACCCCACCTGTCTCAGGCTGAATCCATGCTTTCTCCTCCCTCCTCTTGTGTCCTCTCCTGCTTCCTTCTCTGTTGCTGCCTTGGTCCCAGGACCATCATTAACACTCACCTGGGCCAGAACCTTAGAGTCAGCCCACCTTCCATCTTTCTCTTCTCACCCATCTCCTGTGTCCTTTACTTCTGCTTCTCCCAGAGCCCCTCCTCCATCCCATTCATTTCCCTTCCACTGCCCTGCCTTGGTTTTTTGAGTCTTTACATCTCTTGTTCTCCACCTTCATTTCATTCCACTCCAACCCATTCTCCATGTTACCACCAAAGTAATACTTCCAAAAGATGTGTTTGATCATTCCAGTCTCCTGCTGAGCCTTCCGTGCTCTCTTGCATGGTGTAGGAGCCCTGAACAGGCCTGGCCTCATCTTCTTGCACGCTTCCGTGGTTCCCGGAGGGTCTCCAGCAGCAGCAGCCTCATCTGGGAGCTTACTAGGAATGCAAATTCTCAGGCTCCACCCCAGGCCTACTGAGTCAGAAACTGCTGGGGTGGAGCCTAGCAGTCTTCATTGTAACAAGCTCTGCAGGAACTTGGAGGCAAGGTCAAGTTGGAGGACCGATGCTGGAAAGCAACACTGAGCTGCTTAGGAGTCACCAAGCACGCCCTTGCCCCCGAGCAGGCTGTGCTTGTCTGTGGTGTCTTTTCTCCACACTCCTGGTCACCTTTCTGAGCAAGGCTTTTCCTCAAGGAGAGGAGGTTCCTCTGGCCCTCATCCTTCCCCTACCTAGTCCTCTGCCCACTGCTCCCTCATGTGCGGTCTTTGGACCTGGGATGCTTTTGAGCTGTTGTGCTTGTGGGTGGCTTTGTGACTCCTCAGTCCACGTGCTTCCTTCCCCTCTGGGGCTCCTTGGAGCAACTGGCTTATTAGGCTTTTGGGAATCCGTGGGGCCTGGTACCTGGCAGTGCTGCTTAGATCTGCAGAGTGAATTGTCTTTTTTTTTAATTAATTTTTTTTTTTTGACACAGAGTCTCACTTTGTCACCCAGGCTGGAGTGCAGTGGCTTAATCTTGGCTCACTGCAACCTCTGCCTCCCAGATTCAAGCAATTCTCCTGCCTCAGCCTCTCGGGTAGCTGGGATTACAGGTGCCCACCACCATGCCCTATTTTTTTGTATTTTTAGTAGAGATGGGGTTTCGACATGTTGGCCAGGCTGGTCTCGAACTCCTGACCTCAAGTGATCCACCTGCCTCAGCCTCCCAAAGTGCTGGGATTACAGGCGCCCACCACCATGCCCTAATTTTTTGTATTTTTAGTAGAGACGGGGTTTTACCATGTTGTCCAGGCTGGTCTTGAACTCCGGACCTCAAGTGATCCACCTGCCTCAGCCTCCCAAAGTGCTGGGATTACAGGTGTGAGCCACCACACCCTGTCTAGTGAATTGGTTTTGACTTGTTCCTGTATTCAGCAACTACTTACTGAATCCTGAGGTGTTAGGACTGAAGCAGCACAGAACAGAATTCGTGGTTCTAATTGTCCTGTCTAAACTTTAAGAGTCAGCATCGTTGAAGAGCTAAGAACAGCTGAGTATCAACCCAGCAATGATTTGAAGGGCGGGCAGTGCAAGGGAGATAGTGACCTTGAGGGAAATACTGTGACTCCTTCCTGAAACTTCCTTTAAACCCCAAGACCCTTCTTGGGCACTGGCCTCTCCTCATCTCCTGCTTGACTTTTGCGCCCTTCCTCTCTGTTTCCTTAGTAGGATAATGCAGAATGAAAGTCAATTTTTGGTATCTTTTTTCTGCATTGAAGAAGGGAGTTGGACTTTAGCACTCAGTCCTGAGTTTATTTGGGGAGTGTGGCCCTTTCCTGATTTTCACTTCCTGAGGACCTCTGGCTTTGGATAAAGAAACAGTGTTTATTCTTTGGGGACAAAGATTTTTCTGAAAGCTCCCATACAGGAGTGTTCTCTAGCTCTTAAGATTCCCCATTAATGTGTTTGTTTTTCCTTTTGTAAATTTGTTACATTAGCATTTAATTACTCTTCATGACAGTATTAAATTTCATGAGTGATTTATAGTGATTTATAGTTATAATAGAGACTTGTATGATTTATTACAGTTGGCATTTGAGGTTTACCAAATTCTTAAGAGCCATAAGCACTGAAATTGCTTAATCTGACCCTGTCCAGAACAACCACAGCATGTGTGAAAACCCAAATTTAAGTATAATAGGAACAGCTGCACCACCCACCCCATTTTTATTTGATGTTACTGTCTACGATTGTGGTAACCGTATATATGGGGGACAGTGGTGGTGAGTATATGTGTTTCTTATGTAGAAAAGAGAAGGGAACCTTTTTTTTTTTTTTTTTTGAGACATTGTTTTGCTGTTGTTGCCCAGGCTGGAGTGCAATAGGGCGATCTCAGCTCACTGCAACCGCCGCCTCCCGGGTTCAAGTGATTCTCCTGCCTCAGCCTCCCGACTAGCTGGGATTACAGGCATGTGCCACCACACCCGGCTAATTTTGTATTTTTAGTAGAGACGGGGTTTCTCCATGTTGGACAGGCTGGTCTCGAACTCCTGACCTCAGGTGATTTGCCCATGCTGGGCGCCCTTCTGTTTTTAAAAACAAGATCCTGGCCAGGCGCGGTGGCTCATGCCTGTAATCCCAGCACTCTGGGAGGCCGAGGCAGGTGGATCACCTGAGGTCAGAAGTTTGAAACCAGCCTGGTCAACATGGTGAAACCTCGTCTCTGGTAAAAATGCAAAAATTAGCCAGGCGTGGTGGCGGGTGTCTGTAATCCCAGTTACTCAGGAGGCTGAGGCAGGAGAATTGCTTGAACTCCAGAGACGGAGGTTGCAGTGAGCTGAGATCGCACCACTGCACTCCAGCCTGGGCAACAGAGCAAGACTCCGTCTCTATAAATACATAAATACATAAATAAATAAATAAATAAATAAATAAAATGAAATAAAATAAAAGATGAGCCCCAAATCCTGTGCCCTGGATGGATAGGTATAACCTGTCATCTGTTGGTCAACTGAAGAGCTGACTCTGGTGCGTTCCTCCTGTGGTTCTGAGATAAAAGCCGGGGCAGTGCGGTGCCCACTGGACTGAGAGTCGGGGCTTGCCTGCTGTGCGACAGATGGCTTCAAACCTCAATGGGCAGCTGACCCTGCCTCAGGGTCTCTCGCAAAGAAGTGCCCAGACTTTAACCTGCTCATGGTCAGCCCCCACAGTGTTTTCAGTGTGCCCCAAGTCTTTGTTGGGAACAGCGTTGTCTCCACTTCTGAGCTGGAATCCTGACAGCACACCACGGGCTTTGCGCTCCTGCCCTGGTTCTTGTCTTGAACTTTCCATCCCTGTGTCCTCTTGCTGCTCCAGCCTGTGTGTTTTTCTCAGGCACAACTTCCGGCTGTTGCTTAAATTAATAATTATCTTAATGAGGTGTTGCTTCGTTATTATTTTCACCGGGGTAGGGGAGGTGTAGCTGCTCGCTTTGGTGTTTTCTCAGATGACTTTATCCACTTGCATTTGCAGAGAAAAAGGTGTGCTCTTGGACTCTGCCTTCTCCTGCACGGGTGGTGTGGATAATCCTCCAGGGTCCTTGGCCGCAGGGCAGATAATCTCTTCGGGGTTATCTGTTAATTACCAGTGAATGTGTGAAGTATTTGTGCAAAGGCTTTTGAAGTGAGCTCCACGCACTGTTGCCTGGGCCGCCACTGGCCCTGCTTCCCAGGCAGAGGGTTTCGAGGCCCAGCTTGGTTCCCCTCAAGTGCTGGTGGTATTCTCTTGCTAAATTGTTTGCCTTTCTAATGAAGTGAACTGTTTGTTTGACTCTGCGGTAGAAGGTATTTAACTGGGGACTAAAGTAAACGTTGAAGACATTCAAATAAGCCATGCATATCTGCTTTGTGGAGGGAAGGAAAACAGTTTGGCCTCACTCACCTCCGGGAAGAATCGTTAAGGAACTGTTTAAATAATAAACTGAGCCGAGCGAGCGGATATTGCTGCAGCCCAGTCTGGGGCTTTTGTGCTAGTCCTGGCTGGCCTGGGAATTCCTCTGTAGCAGCCACGAGGGGAGAAGAGAGCGGCTGGATTCTTGCAGTTAGTAATTGTGATTTATATATGTGTAGAGGGACTTCTGCTGTGTTCGGTCTAAACAAGCCCAATTAGCCCTCAGGACAGCAGGCCGGTGGATGGCGACTGTGTTAGCACAGTGTGCGCAGGCCCCAGTGGCAGCAAGAGAGCATCGTCGTGGGGTTGATGTCTGGCCCGTGTTCTGCCAGATCTGGCCTGGTTAGGGGCCTGCTGCCTGCTAGGCTGGGTCCCTGGTGCCTGGGAGAAGTGTCTGAGCGACTGGGGCAAGGGGACCAAAGTGTAAGCCTGAGGCAGGGCCTGGGTGAGGTAGGGGACCTGTACCTGGGCAGTGAAGGCAGGATGTGTGCAATCACCCAGTGTACCCATGACAATGTCTGTTAGCAGCTTTTAGCTTTTGTCGTTGGCAAGGGTGAAGCAGAGAAGGTTGGAAGTGGGAGTACTTTTGTGGGAAATACAGGTGTACTCAGGACCAGCTCCATAGTTTGTGAGGCCCAGTGTAAAAAGAAAATGGGGAGCCCTTGTTGAAAAATTACTAAGAATTTCAAGACGGCTACTGCGCGTAACATTAAACCATGCTCGGGCCCTTCTGACCACAGGCCCAGGGGCTGCACAGGCCCCATGCCTGGGTAGTTGGCCCTGCTGTAGCTTACAGAGCACTGTAGTCAGGCACATCTGGACTTGAGGCCAAGCTTTGTCAGTTCCTAACTGAGCGACTTTAACTTCTTACCTTCTCTATCCCTATTTTCTCATTTGCAAAATAGCATATGAATACCTACTTCCTTAGATTGTCATGTGGTATAAGCAAGAAAATATATGAAGAGTGTTTAGGGCAGTCCTTAGTACCTGTGAGTGCTCAGTAAATGATAGTTCTTTTTTGAGCGTATTTGTAGCTGTAACTTTTTTTCTTTTCCCTGAAGGTTAAGCTGAGGACAGTGTCTGTCTAGTGTGAAGTTCAGGAGACAGAGTGAGGTCCTTGCCACAGACCTTACTTAGGGACAGAGATATGGAGGACTCTTCCTGGGTCTTATGATCAGAGAATGCTTGAGGGCAAGAGAGAAGCATGACCTGAACCTTCAGATTACTTGCAAAGCTGAAGACACCCACATAAAGTTGTTGACTCTCATGGTAACTTGGGTGTTTATGTTGAGGAAGAAGGACTTAGAAGGAACGGTGACTTCTTAAACATGGGTACAGTCATGTGCTGCCTAAGGATATTCAGGTCAAGGACTGACCACATGTAAGACAGTGGTCCCATAAGATTATAATGGAGCTGAAGAATTCCTATCACCTAGTGACATTGTGGCTATCATAACGTCATAGTACAGTCACTTTACTTTTCATAAATTTAGTGCAGCCTAAGTGTACAGTGTTTATAAAGTCAACAGTACTGTACAGGGATGTCCTAGGTCTTCACATTCATTCACCACTCACTCACTGACTCACCCAGAGCAATTTCCAGTCCTACAAGCTCCATTAATGGTAAGTGCTCTATATAGGTGTAGCATTTTAAAAATATTTTAATACTGTATTTTTGCTGTACCTTTTCTATGTTTAGATATGCTTAGATACACCAATATTTATCATTGTGTTACGGTTGCCTACAGGATTCAGTATGGGGACATGCTACCGTACCGTTATAGCCTACGAGTAATAGGCTATACCATACAGCATGGGCGTGTAGTAGGCTCCACCATCTAGGTGTGTGTAAGTGCACTCCATGATGTTCACACAATGACACAATCATCTAAAGACATATTTCTTAGAATGCATCCCATTGTTAAGAGATGCATGACTGTTATTCAGAATTTATGAACCACCTTCACTTATGTCACCTGGGGCCTTGTACAACTTTGTGGAGTCAACAGAGTTAAGTCTTACTAGCCTTATTTTACGGATGAAAGAAAATTTATATTATGGCTGTAGTGATTATTGTAATTTGTTTTTATAGAAATCTAGAAAATACGTCTTTAAATGGGGGAGCCTTTTCAGCTGCCTTGGGCAAAATGGAGAGCAGATAAATTCCCATGGGAAGGGTGTACCCAGCCAAGGGTTGCAGCATGCATCATTCAGTGTGCTGAGTATTTGGCCTTTTCCCGATTTTGGAGAAGGTAAAACTCAGTAGAAAGGATGGCTTTTCTAAGGATTCATATTGAGGGTGATAAATTCTGTACAAGTATATATTGGTGTCAAGATGACCAGTAGGTTGCCATCAATTTGGTCTGTTGCCTAGTGTCAGTTATTAAATCCATGCTTTGTTTCAAATGTTTTGTTTAAATCCCGTATTATCATGCTTCAAGTCATTAGTAACAGTTGGAAACAGCAAAGAAGCATGAGAAGCAGTCTTGCACTCTCAAAATGAGTGTAGGCCACACCCTCTGATTAGTGGAAACTCATTGAGGAAGTGCAGATTGGGGTCATCTTTGTGTGAGTGTGTCCACTATTACGCATCCATGTGTTGAGGCTATAGTCCCTAGGGCTGTAGGTGTGGACCTAGGCGTACAAGGTATAGATGCAGACTCCAGAAGCAGACCATGTTCTCTGTCCTTAGGGGCACTTGGAGCACATGGACATCATTGACATCAGATACCTACCAAGTATAGTTTATGAAGACTGGTCTAGAAGCCAGGGGTTACTTTGTAGAGAGGGAGGAGAGGACTCAGATGGAGATCACATTAGAGCCTGAGTCTTGTTAGACAAGGTAAGCAGCTGCTGAGTCCAGATGAAGGGCCAGTGAGATCACCACTGAGGCTGCAGAAGCGGAAGTGCGCAAGAGAGCTTGAGGCCTCAGGGAAGCACAGGCAGCAGACAGCCAGTGGCCTAGGCTCAGTGAAAGGAGCCTCAGGACCACTGCCTCCCCAGAGAGGAGAGTCCCCATCAGAGCCCAGCTGAATAGGTTTGTTGACACCCCCAAGCCTATCATCCTCCCCAGTCCTAAAACAGAACGCTGGCAAACTGAATTCCTCTGGGATGTGTCTGAGCACATTAGCTTGTCTGGACTGCAGGAATCATGGAGGGGAAGAGTGGGCAATGAGTGGCCTCTGCCTTTTATGGGCATGGTGGGCTTGCAGGCCCAGGCAGGATGCCTCTTGCCTATAGCATAGGTTAGACATCCAAGGCATTACCATAGGAGCAGGTGCTCTAAGGGGTGGACGGTCAGAGATAGTCTGAAATTCATTCAGCATTCCAACTGGAATTAAGCTAAGAATCAAAATAGGAAGCCAGATGAGATTGCGAGGAAGGGAAGGGTAGCCAACAAGAGAGGAAGCCACTAGTGGGAACTTCAGAGAGTGGAGCTTGGAGTAGTTCTGAACCAGCCTGCAGGCAGCTGTGGGGCTTTTTATCTGCACATCCAGCAATGAGTATGAGGTAGCTGCAAAGTGGACGGTGGACTTGAGAAGGCATTCTAAAGAAGAAAGGTATTTCGGACTCCTTCAGATGATACCATTTGATAGATGCTCACATAGCCAATGTCTTTGAGGTGTGTGTAAAATGTGCAGCTTGTGGCTAACATAGGGTTGCAGAGAAAGGAGAAATAGAAGAAAAATGGGGAATGTTTTCTACTTGTACTCCCATGAGCCAAGAAATGTGAAGTGGATTTTTTTCTTTCTAAGCAGCGGGGGATTCTCTCCCTTTTCTATCATTTCCTTGCTCATCCTTTCAAGGAAGCCATGTCGTGTGCTTTATTGTTTTACAGTCATGGTGAAAGAAACCCTTAAAACAAACTCTTTGCTTTAAAGCTTTATGTGTTTCTGCAAACAATGATGCTTCTTAGACAGTGAGGGTTCAGAGTTTAAGGGACACAAGAAAGTGGAGCCTTTTAATGCTCCCAGTGTGCAGTAAACATGCTGGAATTTCAATGGATTCCAAAGCGTAACAATAATAGCATTAAGTACATGCCAGAGCCTTTGATGTTATTGATGAAAAAAAAAAAAAAAGTAGGTGGTGGTGGGGGCAAAGGGGCCCCTGTCATTTCTGTCATGAGCTTTTAAACTTTTGACCTCCAACCTTTTGTGTCTAAGAGCTTTTTCCATATGGGTGTTAGCAGCCTGATCAAGTATCCTGAATTCACTGGAGCCATCAGTGTTTCTCTGATGGGAAAGGGCATTCTCAGTCAAAAGGTCCCAACCAGGATTGTGATTGCTGAGCGCCCATCAGTGTCTGCCCTGTCTTAGAGGTGGTGGCATGGGGTAGGGTGGTGAGTTTACTCACTGAAGTTACTCACTGCCCAGCAGAAGGCAGGCAGCCTGGTCAGGCTGGAAGCTGCCTTTCAGAGTGCTAGGATTTGGTCCAGGGTGTGCATGCATCTGCTGGGCCTTGGCCCTGGGCTCACTCTGAACATGGGAAGCATGCAGAAAACTGCACAGGGAGGATTCCAAAGAGGAGACAGCCCATACCTGTGGGTTCCCCTCATTTTGCCTGTTGTTGGAGGCCCCTTAGGTAGATGGAAGTGTCCTGCAGTTTCCAGGAGGGATGGCTAGCCTGGTCCACCACTGTCATTGCGTGGCCTCAGTTTCCTTTCATGTCTTTCCTCCCCCTTTTCACCTTTCCTAGAACATACATTTATTGAGTTCCTGCTGGGTATACACGGATAAGTGGGCCTCTTCTGCCCTCACACCCCAGACCTCCTGGGAGGGAAAGAAGACAGTTCTGACCTGTGGGTGTGTGCACCCTGGCAGGGACTCATCCCCATACTGCCCAGCAGGAAAGGCAGTGTGGTGTGCTCACCCCCATGGCTGTGTTGGTATAAGCTCTGTATTCAGTAAATGTGTGCTTGTCTGAGGAAGCGCACTGAGGATGAGCACAGGGCCGTCAGAGGGCAAGGCAGTGGGGAGGACATGATGCGGGTCCAAGTAGAATTCCTCGGGTCGTCCCTACTGGTTCTGGCCAACCTGAATTATGGAGAAGGGAGGAAGGAGCACTCGATCCCATGGAGCCCCCTGGGAAGCCTGATGGAGGGGGTGGTGTTTGTATTGAGTCTTGAAGAGGGGGTAAGACTTGGGTAAGAGGGAATTTGTCCTCAACTGAGGGGACACCATAAGCCATGAAGTGCATGGTGCCTGAGGGGGCACTGACTCTCGGATGGGGAGGTGTCCTGGACAGAGCTTGGTGGCTGGGGCCTCAAACTCATGGTGAAGAGCTTGGGCTGGAGTGGGGAGGCTATCTTGGGCTACTATACATTTTGGGAGAAGGGAGGGATATGGTTCAGACTTGGTTTTAGGGATGCTGGTGTGGGGAGTATAGTTTAGATAAGCTATGATAAAAAGCCTTAACTCTGACATTGTTGTGTCAGGAAGTGGAATGTCTAAGAGCCCTGGTTCTGAAGTAAGAAAGACACACAGCTCTACTACTGTCTCCCCCTGTAACACTGGAGAAGGTCAGTTTCCCCATCCATAAGAATGGGCGTATGAATAGTACCTGCTTCTCAGGGTCAGGCCCCAGGAAGAAATAAATGAGGTGAATCTAAAAGGCATTGCACATTGCTTGACCTGCATTAAAGTATTCAGTGACTTGCACTTGTGCTCATCAAGATTGTTTTATTATTTTTTATTAATTACTATTTATGGGGCAAACCTTGGAAGACCTTTAGTTGTTGATTGACAGGAACTGCAGATGGAGTGGATGGTCCAGATAAAAGAAGCAGAGTCAATAATCCTTCAGAGCTTCTTGCCTGGTTTTGAGCAAAATGAATGTGCCTCATTCATTTCTTAATTGCTACAAAGTTGCCAACCAGCACACTCTTGAAATACTGCTGGTCTTCCAGAGACTTCCAAATATTTCTGGAAGTGATTCTTTATGATTGATGGCAGCATTCTCTCTTGTGCAACTGTGAAGACAAGGGTAAACCTCTTGATATGCTGAGCCTGAGCCCCGACAATCTCTGGCAGGCTTGCATTTGTGCTGCCTGAGAGCTCCTCAGGGTTGCCGCCTCCAAAGCAGGATTGACATTTCATGAAGGTACCTGGGTTTCCCTGCCCTGGCAGGGATCACGTTTGAAGTGCCAAGTCCTGTGTGCTCTGGTATTGGAATAGAAAGAGCACCAAACTTGCATCATAAGGCCATAGTTTTATGCAACACTGGGTAGATCATTTAGCTTTTTTGAGTGGATAATAAAATTTTCCCTTCTTAGTTCTCAGGATTGTCTTGATAATAGAACTTAAGAAGAAACAAGACTTAGGAGAATAATAATAACGTTTTGGGAATGCTTATTTTATGTCAAGAGGATTCCTTAAGAAGATATATACTATTATGAAATATACTATCTTATTTTGCTTTCACATTTCCCTACCTGCTTCTGCTAGTTTTGCAACACTGAAAGCTCTTTTTGCAGCAGGTTAATTTTGAATAGAATACAACTTCCAAACCTCCCCTTTGTGGATCAGTTGTTGGTTTCCTAACTAAACCAGGCTTAGTTTAAACTTCTGATCCTATTGACTCCAGGGTCTCCGTAGTTAGATCTGAGATAACCAAACAGTTTTTATGGAAACATTTCCTCTTCTGCTTTCATTTCATAACCATTCGAGACCAGCCTGGCTCACATGGTGAATCCTTGTCTCTACTAAAAATACAAAAATTAGCCGGGCGTGGTGGTGGGCACCTGTAATCCCAGCTACTCGGGAGGCTGAGGCACGAGAATCGCTTGAACCCGGGAGGTGGAGGTTGCAGTGAGCTGAGATTGTGCCACTGCAGTCCAGCCTGGGCAATAGAGTGAGACTCAATCTAAAAAAAAAAAAAAAAAAAAAAAAAAAAAGAATCCAAATGCATATTTTTAGAGCTATAACTGTGACTTTTGAATTTTGTGATACAAAAATACAGTCATTGATTTAAAAATTTGTCACTGGTAACTAATTTCCATTTTTAATTTCCAAGCTTATTTATTGTCACTGAAAATACACCATTAGCATATTTCAAAGTAAACAGATTTGTCACTTTTAAGTGATTCCTTATATGTTTACATGTGATTTCCCTGAGAGAGTTCTGCAGTTCAGCTAGAATGGATGTAAACCTTTCCTTATTTCTCTTTGCTGCCTTTCCCTCTGGTTATTTCTTCTCTCTTATCCTGGCAGGAAAGCTGAAAACAACAAAAATGTTGGATGCATATATGTGGAATCACAGGCAAGACACATTCCAGAGTCTCTGTTTGGAAGGATATGGCTGGTCAGCCAGTACGTAGATGTGGTTTTCTTTCCACCACTGGGCATCCACTGGATGTGATCTTGAAGGGAGAAACATGCAGACTTACGGACAGAAGAAGTTAGAAGTTTCCAGAAAGGGGCGAGATCAGTTGTTGGTTCACGACTGAGGACATACCTGAAGCAGTAAAGGCAGAGGTTTCTTTTGTCAGTTCACTTGCAGAGGAACATTTGGCATTTTCTTGTGGGAAACACATGACCATGTTTGTTGAGGAGCACAGAAGGGATCTATCTGACTGTTTAAAAAAAAGGATGAATTGTGGGTGTGGCCAGAGTGTAGTGATGGGTAGCATTTAGGTCTAAAATACTAATTAATTTAATAGTCTGCATGCTTACACAAAAGAAATGATAAAAAGCTTGTTATTTGAGTAGTGGAGAATGTCCGTGGAAGTTTATAGACCAGGAGTCAAGACTGTCAGGTAGTTGCCAGAAGTAAAAGCTTATTGGGTTTTAGAAATAGCTTACTTTTTATTGTTAATTAGCATTTTATGTAAATTTGTATTTGTTTTACTTAATTTATAAGGTAACTTCAATTTTCAAATGCTTAGCTACTGCTATTATTGCTAGATTTATGGTTAATTTCATCCATTATCTTGAAATTTGTCTACTTGTTACGGGTTTTGCTAAAATTAGATGAGATGTCTATTGATTAATGATTAATATGAACACTTTTACTATATTAAGTCAGTCACACAAGTTAGCATATGAAGAAAGTGCATTGAAAATACTTGATGTACTTAGTGTTATCGCTTAGACAACACAATAAATAAAAAATTGATATTTTTTTTTCTGAAATGTAATAATTTCTGCAAATTACTTTATCATGGTACACTGGAATAGGGTTTGTCAACCTTTTTCCATAAAGGATAAGATAACAAATGTGTTAGGCCATGGGTTTCCTGTCTCAGCTGGTCAGCTCTGTTGTTGGCGTGGGAAAGCAGCCATAGGCAATATGTAAACAAATAAGTATGGCAGTATTCCAATAAAACTTTATTTACAAAGCAACCTAAGTGTCCATCAACAGATGAATGGGTAAAGAAAATGTGGTACATATACACAGTGGAGTACTATTCAGATGTAAAGAAGAATGAAATCCTGTCATTTGCAACAACATGGATGGAACTGTAGGTCATGATGTTAAGTGAAATAAGCCAGGTGCAGAAAGAACTTGATCTCACTTATTTGTGGGACCTAAACATTAAAATGATTGAACTCAGAGGGATAGAGAATAGATGGATGGTTACCAGAGGCTAGGAAGGATAGTGGGGGTTGAGCAGGGAGTGGGAATGGTTAATGGGTACAAAAAAATAGAAAGATTGAATGAGACCCAATGTTTGTTAGCACAGCATGGTGACTATAGTCAAAAGCAATGTAATTGTACATTTTAAAATAATGAAGAGAGTATAATTGGATTGTTTATAGCACGCATAATAAATGCTTGAGGTGATGGATACCCCATTTGCCCTGATATGCTTGTTATGTGTTGCATGCCTGTGTCAAAATATCTCATGTGACCCATAAATATGTACATCTACTATGTACCTATAAAAAATTAAAAAATTAAAACATAACTTTATTTACAAAAACCGGCCCACATGTGATAGTTTGCAGTTTCCTCCTATAGCATATACTCTTCAAGTTAAGGCTCCTGCCATTGTGTAAAGTGACAAAATAATAGATAATTTAAAAAAAAAGTTTCAGGGCATTTTTACAGGATTTCTAGAGTATGCTAGAACCACAGCTTCTTTAAACTTGCATTACCCTATAGAAGATCATATAAATACGATGTCTCATTCTGATGATTCCGGAGGAGTTTCTAACCCCACATAATATGCTTGTGAGACCAGAAAAAAGATTCCTAGTGCTCCATGAGGTGATGCTGTGGGGATTCTGCCCAGCAAGTCCTCAGCGGGGCCCTGTGGGGGTAGCACTTCTTAGATTCCGCTCACGGTAGATCATGGTGGGCCACAGACTGTCTTGCTCAAAACACGTTGCTCTAGACTCTCCTTGTCAGGTTACCTGGGGTGTCCTCAGAGGGCGGATCAGCTCATTTCTGGTGCCGTGTCATCCATAGGCAGGAATTGCAAGGTTGTCTGAGTTAGTAAGTCAGTCTGCATCTTGGAGTCAGTCCAAATGGCCTCCCACAGTGCACTGAGCCCTGGAAAAACGACTTGCAGGCACGAGGATGATGACTGGAGAAGCTCCATGGTGGGAAGAGACAGTGATGAGGCCTGGGCTGCCTCTCTACTATCTCACTAGAGTGAGTTCCTTGGCAGTCGGATCTCTCATTCTGTCTCTCCTCTTCTCTCCCTCTCCTGCTTGAGACCTTTCATTTTATAGAAGCTGGATGGTGATTTTGGTTGTAGCATAGCGGATGCTGTTTAATGATATTTCTGCTGATGGCAGATGATTGAATGAGTTTGAGGGGACTGGCCATTCCTACAGGCTGGACTAACTCTAATGACAGAAAATCATCCCTAGCTGATTGAGATGATTCCAAGCTGATTGAGTAAATTCCAAGGCCAGGGTACAGACGACTTCAGTATTTAAATCACCCATGAGGACTTCTGCACTTAGCAGTTTACTCTTGCACTGTTTCCCGGGCACTTTCAGACCATTCAAGTATCATTTGGTGAATTACTCCTTCAGGGCACTAACTGAGAGACTTTGATCTCTCTTTTTTAATCTGCAATTTTTGTATGTAAATTTCAAACCTTAAAAGACAGTTTCCCAGGATGGCATCCAAGAGATCTTATAGCCTGAGGATACTATAACTATTTCTTGGGAGAAGGATGCAACTAGAGATAAATCTCCAAGTGTCTTTCTCGGTTATTCTCTGGCTACAGGTTTTATGATCAACCCAGGCTGTTGTGAAGAGACCTAAAAATCAATGCCTCTCGTTCCTAATGAGACCCTTAATGCTCAACGTGATGACAGCCAGTGTGAAATGGAATACTGACAACTCTACCCAGCACAAATATTTTTGCTATGCATTTCAGTTTAAACATGTGTCAAGCCAGTTACATATTTATAGGGTTTAAAGACCATTCCACTCAAGCCTGGGAGAGTGCACACTCTTCAAATCTCTGTTTAGTGTAAGAGGACTCGGGTACAATAGTCAAACCTCTCGCAGGTCTGTAATAAATCATCTTTGCAACCATAAGCATGTACAGTTGACTGCTTACCACTGCTCCACAGACCCGCCCCCACCTGGTAGAATTTTAATTCCCTCAGTAAAATTGATTCCACCAGTTCTGCACATTATTCTCCCTGTCTTCCATTTAGCCCGTTAGTTTGCTGACAGTAGAGTACACAGCACTTAGCAGCTGGTTTGTGGAGCCATCAGTCAGGAAATTGTATGATAAATAGGAGGTAGCCAGGTTTCGTGGCACTTCCTTCTGCTTCAGCAGTTTTCGCCTGACTTTGGAGAAGTCATCATGTGGTGTTTTGTCAAGGGGCAGGGCAGGAGATGGCTGCGGTGCAGTAACTTATTACATATACGCTTGAGTTATGATGCGTCACAGCTGCACTGCTCATGTGTAAATAATAAACTGCGAGCTGGGTAATTATGGCGGCTCTGGCGACAAGGGCCTGTTCTCGTCATGTGGGTTTTCTTGGACAGCTTTTTGGGCCGATGATGGAATATGCCGCTGAGCCACATAGAAACGACAAACCAAGACACCAGCAAGGCAAGTACTCAACGTTTGAGGATTCAGGAGCATTTTTCAAGAAATGTGTTAGGATTAATGCCATGAGATGCCACGTATGTTACAGGACATGCCCATACTGCTTTTCATTCTTCATTTATCCTGTTAAGCTATAGTCAAGCACGTCTTGAATTGGAAGAGGGGAGTTCCATTGTATTTTCCCAGAAAGTGGCTTAAGAGGTGTGATTTCTACTAATAACCAACACAAGGTATAATTGTCCACACAGACTTCTGCAATCCAGGAGAAGTTATTTTAAATTTAATCAAGAGGGGAAACGTAGAAACAGTGAGACACTTAAACCAAAATCAGATGTCTTTGGTCAAATCAGATCATATCCATTAATTTTCTGTTCTTTATTTAAACATAATTCTCGAATGCAGAATTCATAAATTTTCTTGGGACATAAATAAGCATTAAGAATTTGGTGCAGTGTTAGGAGATGCATCACATATTTTCAGTCAGAATTAACTTTTAAATTCATAGAATACTGTGGACTCAACAGTGAGAAATGACTACTTAGTGTCCCAGTAATTGTGTTTTATATTTTCCTCTCAAATTTATTGTTGCAGTGCTAGGTCATTTTATCCTTTATTCTGAAAGAGGGAGAGAGGGTGAGAGAGAGAAAATTTAAACCCTGAAAGAATAATTTCTTGAAAATGAGAAGATGGCAGTGTCTTTTAAATGTCCTTGATAGCATTGTAGGTTTTCCTTGAGGAAGATAATTTTATACTTGTTGGGTACACGCTTTTGATTTTATGGGATTAACTGGTTGGTCTTCACTCCATACACGTAATCACTGCAACTTCATTATAAACACTCATATAAAAGATTGTGACTGTTACTTCGGGGATATATGAGGCATATATTAAATGTGGAATAAATTCACACATTTTGAGTGAAAAACGTGGTTTTGTACTTTGTCATAATTCATAGTTGCACCCACATAGAGAAAACCAGATACAGTTGACACCCACTTACCTGGTGGAGAGAATTTCATCATGCAGAACACAGCCAAAAGCCATGAAATAAAGAAGTGAAAATACCTTCCAACTCTGACATAGTTGTCAGTATCCCTCAAAACAGCCGCATAAACTGGTGCATGTGCGATGCCCTGAGGAGATGGGTACGACTTTATGAATGCTGAATTCACACCCTGTTCTAGTAAGTTTATTTCTGTGATTGCCAAGAGCAGATGATGTGTGTTAAGTAAGAAGTCTGCAGGGGGCATGCGTGTTTGCATTGGCAGTGATAGCTGAAAGGTGTGGAAGAGAAAGAAGAGCCACCCCCATATTTCATGGCCATCCACCCTCACCCGGATTTGAATCTGATTGATTTGGGTTTGTTTTAAAGTTTAAAATCAGTAAACATAAACTAGTATATGTCAGGCTTTCAAACGAGTGCAAAAGATGACCCCACTTAATTTTTTGTTGTTTTAAGAAGGGTGCATAATTTCCTTTGAAAATGGTTAAATGAGAGAGAATGTTTGGCTCTACAGAGGGTGGCTTTTAACTGTCAAGATGGCTGAACTATGTGCAGCAATGAAGGTGCCAACATTGCTGAATAAACATTCAACTTAAACTTTCAAACTTACCAAATCAACTTTCAATATTTACATTACAAATAATAATACCTACACCCTTTCATATTAAGTACTAAGTGGTAAACTTAAAATATAATCAATTTTTATATGGACTTTACAAAATGTGTAAAGTGTGATAAATGAGGCCGGGCGCGGTGGCTGACGCCTGTAATCCCAGCACTTTGGGAGGCCGAGGCGGGCAGATCACGAGGTCAGGAGATCAAGACCATCCTGGCTAACACGGTGAAAGCCTGTGTCTACTAAAAATACAAAAAATTAGCCAGGCGTGGTGGCGGGCGCCTGTAGTCCCAGCTACTTGGGAGGCTGAGGCAGGAGAATGGCGTGAACCCGGGAGGTGGAGCTCACAGTGAGCCGAGATCGAGCCACTGCACTCCAGTCTGGGTGACTGAGTGAGACTCCGTCTCAAAAAAAAAAAAAAAAAAAAACTGTGATAAATGATCAGGTCATTAGTATATCCCTCACCTGTTGAATTTTCAGCATTGTTGTATATCACGATACTACAGTGACAGTGATACAAGATCAAACTGATTCCTTCCTCTTTCCATGCCCCCCACTCCCTCCCTACTCAATCTTATGACAGTCACAAAGTACGGTGAGTCATTGACATTTCAGTAAAATAGTCCTCTGGGAAGTTTTCTAGATTCTAGATCTGGTGGTAAACTGTAGAATTACAGCCTCGGGTCCTTCCCTGGTAGACCACAGAGCTTCTATGAATGCTATGCTCATCGTTTTTTTTACTCTTACTGGATTTTTTTCTTCATAAACAGAGTCTTATATTCTTGAAGGCAGCAGGGACAAAATCAAAACAAGGGAAGCAATGTACTATAACTTTAAAAACATGTTTGTTGTGCTTATATTCTACTAGTTGCTTGTTGAAGAAAATTTGGAAAATAGAGAAATGGGTAGGGAAGAAAATCAAAACCACCTGAATTCAACATTACACACATCTAATAATCATCCATTTCCACCCAGTTGGGATGGCGGTGTTGCCGACCTCGGGGGATGCAGCCGACTTCAGCGGGGGGACGCTCTGTGCATTCTTAGGTGGTCGATCAGAACCTGTCCGCTGAGAGAAGGCCCCATTGGAATTGCCTTTAGAGACTGCTACCCTCAGCACTAGGGTGAAATAACTGGAAGCCATTCTGAGGCTTGTGGGTGTACACACCAATCCTCAGCAGTGTTGGCTCTAGGCAGGCTCCCAGCATGACCAGTGTGGACCCGTCACATTTGAAGAACATGTCCTGGCACATTTTGCTGTCGTATTTAGTCTCATAGACATGGAGTCAAACCTCCAAGTTTTGGACCCCTTCATTTTGCTTCTTGAAACTTGGGAAAACCTTGACTCATCAGTCATGCTTCTAAGTATAAAATCTGTTAAAACTCTCTTCAGTTTTTACAGTGAATCACTTTTTTTTTTTTAATAAAGGTTTATTTTCAGTGACAATGGGTGTGAGTTACTAGGAGTAAGTGGGGGTGGGAGAGCTATTTTTAAGGAAGAGCACACACCCAGCAGCTCAGGAACCCGGAGCGTTGGACTGGGGAAAGGTGGAAGCAGGAGAGGGCCTGGGTCCAAGGTGAATGTTAACACTACCTTGGGAGGAATTCCCTGAGTTTGGCTCTAGATGTCTGTGAGTCTGAGTGGGTCAGCTTATCTCTTCCTGGAGGGCTGCACAGTGTTTCCCTGGACAGGGCATAGATTTGCTGCCTTTGTGTGGGGACTATGGAGGCCTAGCCCGGCCAAGAAGGAGGGGAATATGTATTTAAGTTAAAAAAAAAAAAAAGAAGCACATGCATGCATGTGTATATCAGCCACAGATTCTAGCAAGCCTTTCACTCTTAAAAGTATGGTGAGCATGGGAGAAATGAAACTGGTATTTGTATTACAGTGTCTTTGTCTAAAACTTAACTTGACAATGTAGTTTTATTTTTCAAATAAGTGTGTTTTAATCTCTTCCCCTTGGCTTTGTGGCTCCCTTCAGCCCTTCTCCTCTGGTCAGCCTGTCTTTCAAGATAGGGAGCCTGTGTTGCTCCTCTCTTTCTTGCTTTCGTGTCTGGGTTTGAGTTGCAGTCAGTCCCAGGCTCTGCCTTCTCAGGTAGGTGCAGGCACTACTTACTTAGTCACACTGCTGCAGTACCTCACAGAGCTTCATAACTAACCTTAAAGAGTTCTTTTACAAATTCTTAGATTAAGTGTAGGTAGTGAAGATACAATAGTATAGCAATGTTGCTTTGTGAATCGGAATGCTGTTTGAAAGTGTTCATTTGATATAGATTGGGCTCTCTCTTCTTTTCAGACCCTCCTCATCTTTTCCCTGCCTTCCATCCTCCTGTACCAATTGATGCCAGACATCATGAGGGCCGTTACCATTACGATCCATCTCCGATTCCTCCATTGCATATGTAAGTATTAACACTTTCTTCATTAATGAAATGGAACGAGATGCTGGCTTTTACCATCTCAGGACTTTTTGTTAATGGCATGTCCACTGGGCTTTGAAGATGTGATAGAAGTGTAAGATTTACTTTTGAAATATAGCAAGCCTATCTGTTCGTGGGTTCACTGAAGCAAATCCCTGCTGCTTCCTGAGGAATGCCTGTCACACTAGGTCGCCGACAAGTATTTCCTATATATTTTGCTGACGTGTGTTCTGTGGGCTGTAAATACTAAATTAAAAAGTAAAAGCCTAATGGAAAGTTACCACTCAGAATATGTATTTGGTCGACATTAGGTTTGAAGTTTGTTATGTTCAAATTTCTGTAACATGAAAGTCCTGTTCTGGGGATCACAAGGAATTGTAATGAAATTTTTATGGTAAATTTTCATAGCCCCTATGTAAGTACACCAGAAGTCACTTGATTGATGGGAATGTCAGCCAAACAAAATGGCAAATGTGATCGAGCACATGGTTTACAGAAAGATAAAAGGAAAGAATGCTAGTGATAACATACATTAGAAAAGGAAAAAGGAAATCTCTTGGAAGTAAATACCATCTTCCTTGGTTTGGAGGAAATAAAGGATGGTGGAGTTGCAAAGTAAAACAGTATTTTTTTGTAGTACTGTCCAGGAAACTGTCATGTACCATAATAATTGGAGCCACTCTCTGGGATGGGCTGTCCCTTGCTAACGGCCTTGATATATACATTTATTCATATCTAATAATCACCCTTTATTCTGAGACAGTAAAGTTAGAAAAGCACAAATAATACTTTGAAGAATAATGCTGGTTATTCAGATGGTAGATTGCATCTCCGTGGCTATTAGTTACAGCTGTGTAATTACATATTATGCCAAAGAAAAATGAAGTTGTTTTAAAACAAGTCCTCCTCTGTGAACAGAATTAATTGATATTAACAATCCTAACTACATGCCCAAGTACACATATAATATTTTACCAACAGTTTTTTGGATCCATCTCCCATTACTGAATTGTAATTTCAGAGCAGATTTGCCTGGAGGTAAGTAATAAATCTGTGTTGCAGACTTCTATAAGCATTAAAGGAGAAGTGGGTATTTATAGAGAGAGAATGCAGAAACTTGTGACTGATCCTTTGAGTTTTCACTGGAACACAAGTAAGTATTTACAGGGTTCTGAAGCCTGCTAAAAATACCCTCTAATAAAACCAGGAGGCCAATTTAAAATTCTCTATACAAAGGGAAGGAAATTCCTAGTTCAGCCTGAAACATGACATGTAATTCACCCCATTATACAGAGGTTTTATGATACAGATGTGACCACATGGGTCTCAGATGAGGATCTGCCCCATGGTTCAGAGCATGCAAGGGCCAGATAGACCTCGGAGACATGGATGGCTAATTCCTCCCAGACTGGAGCCTTTGTGATGTACTTAATTTAAGTCAGATTTTCTCCGGAATTTTGGAGTTCTTCATTCTTTCAGAAATGATGTTCTAGAGCAATTTTTTAAAATGAGTTTATATAATAGGCTGAACTATTTCCTCTGCATTCATTATAGTTTGCCTTGTAATTAAATTCAAATATGAATTTATCAATAAAAACCCCAAGTCTTGGTTCTATGGCGGAATATAACAGCAAGCCCTCCTGTAGCCCCCACTGTGTGTTCTAGGCCCTCATTACTGACCTGCATTGGCCCGTGGTGATAACATCACGAGACAAGATGCGTCACATCTGGACCATCCTCGTAGGCAGAGTCGGGGGAGTCACATTTCAGGTGTGACTGTTGAGCTGGGTTTTCTTTGGATTTTAGTTCTTCCTGCTTTTTTAGCCAGGCTTTGGATACTTTACTAGCATCTGACTAAATGGTTCTCTAGCAGCCTAAATGTATAATTATCAAAAAGATTGATGATGTAAAGCTGATAGATAATCCTGAGCCTCAAAAGACAAGTCCTGGAAGATTCTGAGAGGGAATATCATTGCTGCGGGCACAGAGAATGGTGAGCTTATGGGTTTGTGGCCTCCTGGGACTGCCTGGTTTTAGTGCATCCTGGCAGGGCCCTGGGTGGACGCTATGCTTATGAAGTGGGCCCCAGCAAGCTGGGGCATGTCACGCCCCTGTGTCTTTGTGACTGACATTCTGTCTGCATTGGTCTCAGTGGCCTTCCCTCTCTGCATGGTGAACTCCTGCTTATATTCATCCTCAAGGCCTAATTTAAGGGCCGTCCCAGAGACTCGCATGTAGCTTTGTTGTGATGCTTTTCCTCTTGCTTGGTGATTTATTGTTAACGGTCACTGCTCCCTTCTAGTTTCAGGGGCAGTGCCCAGCACTTGGTCAGGCACTTTGTAAAAGGTGCTCAGTGGACACTCACATTGGCCCAGTCTGAGAGACAGTGGAGGAGCAGTCAGAGAGCTCGAATTCCTGTTCTTGTGTTGCCACTCACTTGTGCTGTGCACTCTGGCCACTGACCTTTGCATGTGTTGGTTTCGTAACGTGGAAATGAAGCTGTCTGCTGTACCCACCTCTTCAGATCACAGGGAGAGTTCAATGAAATAATGTTCATGTAAGCACTCTGAAAAGCACAGAGCTCTAAATAAATGCTGAAGGTTGGCATTCCAGGCAGTGGGGGGCATGAAAAATACTGGGAGTTTCTATTCTGCCCTTGCTCAGTTATGAGACCCTGGGTTGCTCTTGCACCTTCTGAGGTATGATAAGTAGACACCTGTGATCACCTTGAAAGTGGAGGCTAATCGAGGCAAATGTGGCTTGGTTATAGAAATCTTAAAAGCACGTATTTGCTAAGGGATGAATCAGTTACCTGGGAAAGTAAAATCACTTCATCCAAAACTTGAATTCCAAACTGTTTGCTATATAATTGTCTTATAGAAAATGAGATCAAGTGAAGAGTACTAAGTTTTTGCAATATTTTTAATTCTAAGAAGACAAAATTTGGAGATATTATCATTATTTTGTACACACAATTGTTCTTCTGGTGCCAGCTTTAAAAACTAAATTACGAGTCTCCTAAAAACAAGGATTTGTGTTGATGGAAATGCCGACAGATCTCTGTTTAGAAGAAGGGCAGGCGCTTCTATAATTATGCTATCATATCCTATCATTAAAGATTCTATTGAAAGAGGTTTATAAATTGCTCCTCTTTTTAGATAAACCACCCTATATTAAGGCATCAACGATATGGTGCAGAATTAAATTAAAATCTCATAAAATGAAATATGTTTCGTATTAGCTGTTTGACACTTAATTTGCCTCTGAATGAGTAGAGGAAATCACAAATTAACCTGCCTTTGTTTTTCCAACCATGGCTTATTAGGTGTTAGAACAACTGCAATTACAGACTAATAATAACCACTAAGCCTTATAAATATGTACGGAAATACGTCAGTTTGTGTTAAAGAACCCAGTTTGCTAAACGGAATGCCTTCAGCTTGCCCTGCTTATTCTTACGGTGTTATCCACAGTTTATGGTTAGGCAGTGTAGAATGAGTATAGAAACTTGAATGGATTCAAATACATCACTAGAAATAATTTATAATTTATTGGCATTTTGTTTCTTAAATCAAAATTGTGAATTTAGACTCAGAACTTCTAAGTAGGACCTGGAATATAAGTAGTATTATTCTCTGAGTTGTCACGTAAAGGTTGTTATAAAATGTACAATTCCTGCATTGTATTTGTTTAATTCAAGTAATTTGAAAATTAAGAAACACTGGATATGAGGAATCTTCCCGTTTCCTCGGAAAGTTATTCTCCACTGAATTCACCAGGTCTTAGGCCCAATAAACAAATGGAATGTTGCTCTCTCTCCCTCTCTCTCAAATCCTTTGAGAGACTTGTTAAGCTAGATTGCAAGAAGTATAATGTTTTAGAAAAAATATCAGAGTGAGTCTACTTTATTACTGAGATTATTTTGTGCATTAATGAAAGAACCTGAATCTATACACACATACTCTTATTTTATGTGTATATTTTTACTTCTTGGTCTCTGTATTTCCTGCCTTGCATTGTTGACATCAGGGCTGTTCCTTCCCTAACTCGAGGAGACACTACTGTATTCTATGGGAACAAATGATGCCTGCTAGGCTAAAAATAAGTACTAATTTTTAAAATTTCACTTGGGAATGTAGGCAATTGGTATATTACAGCCTACTACCCCAGAATACAATTGCATTGTCAAGTGGCTACTTTCCACAGTAATAATTAAAGTACTTTCTCTCTTGCATTTTGAGTGTGTGTTTTTTGTTTTTTAGTGTTAGAACTCAATTAAGCATGCTTCCTTTTTAAAAGTAGGCATGGTGTATTTGTAGAAACCCAAATTATAAAGTAGCTTTAAATTCCAATTTGATTTCATTCATTTTGGATTTTTCTTGGGAAAAAGAAATGTAGCCCTTATGTACAATCTTTCTGAGCCAAGGTTTTCTAATTTATGGACCAGTATTAATTGAATTTCGAACTGTCTTTCTGTTTCATACTGAGATCTGCAATTCATTTTCCAAAGCAGGGTCCTTGGTTACTAATCCATTGCAATAATTAAGCCCCACCAATCTTCTTGCCAGTCGAGCTGTGAGCTGCTCTTGCTTTGTGCTGTGGATGTGAACAGTACTGCACCCCAAGCCAGCTCACATAAAGGCTGTTGCATTTCACCATCCACTTTACTAATCCACTTTCGAAAACCAGCTTTTCTGTCTTAGGGAAAATGAGCACTCATGTTCTGTTCTGTACGTCAGCCCTTTTTTTTTCTTTGTTGAGTCAATGTGTCTCCTTCCAAGGCTGCCTGACACTCTCTGGAATCATTCCACCTAAGTAAGGAGAGCTGTTCTTCCCACTAAAAGTGGCCACCTCCCTTCACCTCAGGGAGAGGACTCAGTATTATGAAGATCATTAATATCAGCTGTGAGACAGAGTGCACTGGAAATAGGTAAGGCCTCGCCCCCGTAATTATGGCTGCCTGTTAGGGATGAGAGCAGGGAGATGAGAGGCAAGTTTGGCATATGAATAAATACATTTCTTCCCAGAGAGAAAAAGCTCTAAGAAAAGGTATATCATTATGGTAAAAGCTTAGAGAAGGAAATAGTAAGTAGATGACCAGGGCTACTACTGAGTTCCCCTCCCCTAAATTTAGCACGTTGCTTGTCCTGGTATTATCTTTACTGAGAGCTCACATACTTATTCCAAAGGAGCCTCTTCAGTCTAGCTGCTTACTGAAAACACTATATTGGGCCTGTTCATGTAATAGTGATTTCATTCGTTGCATTCTTAGGGAAGTTTCCGGTAAAATATGGAGATTTAGTAAAACCTTATAATTATATTTGGGGTCAAAACTAGTTTGGAATATTTTAATAGTGTAACTTAAAATTAACAAAGGAAAGTTTCCCCCCGCCTCCTCCACCCAGTGTTTGTGCTTTACCATAACATTATTAAGACTGGTAAAGTGTAATGACATATCAAATTGCAAAGTCTAGCAAATACTGTAGCAAACCCTAAAACACTCCCCACCGCCCCCCCAAAAAAGAAAAAGAAAACATGAACTAAATTATAATTACATCTCTCAGGGTGAAGACGATCTGTGTATTTCTTTGCATTTGCTAGGCTGAGCCCATGCTCTACATATGGTAGCTCCTAAATAAATATTATTTTTAATGATGATAAAAATAATAGGGTCACTGCTATGACCATCATTTTTCTTTTGTTTCTGTTTGAGTGTGTCACCTCGTGCCAACAAGCTAGGATTCAAAAAATAAAAGCTCAGTGACTACTTTTGATAGAATAGATTCTATTAATAGTAGCTATTGCCACATCAGATGCTCTCCACTGTCAAACTAATTTCCTGATATTAAAGCAGTTACTGGTCCCCTTATATGACTGAGTGCTATTTAATGTATTGCTGCTTTCCAGAGCCGACACATGGAAATAAAATGAATGAAATTAGCCATCTTAAATGAACAATTTAAGAAGACCATAGCAATATCAAAGATAAGGGCAAAAAAGAGATGAATAGATAATTCAGATGAAAAAGTATATAATCATGACCATAGCTGACATTTTTGAATACTTACTATAGGCTAAGCACAATATTAAAGACTTTATGTAGTCATAATATTTATGTGTGTTAATATTTATAACAACTCTATGCTGGAGTTATTAGTCTCATTTTAAAGACATGGAAACCTTGACATAGAGAAGTTACTCAGCTTACAAGTAGGTAGTGCCCTTGAGTTAACCCAGGCATCAGACTCCACACCCTTGCTCCGGACTTCCATGCCTTGCTAGTGAAAATGAAGACCACAGACTTGGCTGCTCTAGTTTCTACTTCCTGGATGAGCACAACTATTTCTAACAGTACCTGATAGGAAGTTTTCAGTGTTACTGGCTGTCATTGTCTTCTGCAAATTCCCAAGGTGGAAATACAGCAGTGTGCGAAGAGCCATAAAAAGCCACGTTCAGGCCTTTTGACCTAATGTACCTATTGAGTAACCCAAAAATGAGATGCTTATCAGTCTTTGCTGCTGTAGAATGTATGACACTATACAATAGAACAGTTTACATATTCAGCCACTGGAGTGGTTTGGTAAATTGTGATTCATCAACTGGGTGGAGTGTTGACCAATACTTAATCACATTTGAGAAGACTCTGTTAGAACATGGGTAGATAATAATTAGTGATTATAGCGGTAAACCCAATAGAAGGGAAGCCATGTTAGAACACAATGTGTATCTGCGTAGAGCCTTCTTCCTTCAGATACCTATGGCTTGCTCCCTCCCTTCACACATTTCCCTGCTCAGTTTCTGCTTCTCAGAGAGGTCTTCTGTGAACAACTACTTAAAACAGGGATTGGCAAACTGTGGCCTATGGGCCAAATACGGTTCATGGCCTGTTTTTGTCAATAAAGTTTTATTGGAACACAGTGACATTCCTTATTTAGTATTATCTGTGGCAGCTTTAGCAATACAAGGGCAGAGTTGAGTAACTGTGACAGAGAATATGACCTGGAATGCCTGAAAGATAAAAGTTTGCCAACCTTGGTCTAAAATAACACCCCCTCTCCATCTTCACTCTGTACTTCTTTCTCTGCTTTATTTTTCTCTTTTTTATGAGCAATGCCATGTGTCATGTTTTCTACTTTTATGCTTTTCTACTGCTATTGTTCACATTTTTCACTGCATATCATGTCAAATCAAAAAATAAATGTCTTATTATTTGGTTATCATTTCTCGTGATTAACTGAAAAAGTTTAAGTCCTGCCTAATTTTCAAGAACTATCTTAGGCCACCTACATACATAGTTTCCTCATAGTTAGGAAAAGATGGTTGAGTTTCAATTCCTAAACTTTTAAAATTCTGATGAGCGGGCACATAAATCCAGATCCGCCGATACACACTTTACTTTGCGTTAAGAAACAACCACAAAACAGATAAATTGTACTCAAAGGGTGTATACTCCTTTCTGTTTTGCAGTATTTCTAATGACTGAAATACTGAATTCGGTCCTCAGTTGCAGAGAAAGCAGGCCCTAATTATAGTGTATATTCAGAGTCTGAGCCCCAGCTTCTTGGATAAAATTCCTGTGTTCTTTGTGCTGCGCTCAGCAGCACGGTCCAGGAGCAGATATTGACTGAGGTATTCACGTTCACTGAACCGGAAGCCGCCGACTCTATAGAGGCTGCTGTCAAACCTGTTGCGGGGGCCTGGGAGGTACTGGGCTGTAACAGACTTTTTTCTTTGAGTACAATGCTTCCACTCATGTTAAGCCTGGCTTCAAAGAAAACAGAAATTTACTGTTGTCATTTTATTTATTTTTTTAAGTATGTGTTTGAGAAAACTGAACTTTAACAGAATTTGTCCTGATGGGAAGACACTTTGAGGTTAGGTTTATATGGTGAATACTGCCTAAACTGAAGCTCCCTGCAGCCTTTCCTATGTGGCCGTCTCTCCCTCACTTAGGTAACAGAGCCCCACTTTTTTCACCTAAACAAAGACATGCCATTTCCTATAGCCACACTGCAAGCTGAGTTCATTTCAGACCTTTCCTCGGGGGAACAAAGGCCAATGACACAGGGCTGCCTGTCACTCATTGTTGTTATTGTTGCATCCCCATCCCTGCCCCGGGGAAAATCACACATCAGAAAATAAATGTTAGCAGATATGTTTCCAGGAACCTGCTTGCTAACTTTTTGAGTATGAAGTAACAGATTAGCCAGATTTTGGATCTTCAGTGACCCAAGCAAGCTAAGCACACTAAAAGGAAATAGGAGGAGAGAGGTGGATTTTGAAACTCATCCTTGGAGCTCTGAGAAAACTAGGGATGTTTTGGCAGAGAGCTATACTGAAACAAATTTGAAAAATACAATCTTGGCCATTTTTAGTTTTGATGTGGACTTTGCAAAAGGCAGACCAGAGCAGAAATGGGCATGATTGTGTTGCAGTTCAGTAAAAATTAACAAGTTAAACGGCTTACTGGCCTGTGTTTACCTCCTGTGCTGACTTAGCTAATTTGGTGACATTGCCTCAATTTTTATAACTCTGTGTTGAAAAACATCAAGTGCGATGCTAGAAATATACTCTGCCTCTTTTCTCTTGTGTGTGTCTACACACGTGTGCAGGAAGAAAATAATGCAGGGAGAATGGTCAGAGTGGCAGGAACTGCCTTAGAGCATGTGAGTGCATTTCCAATAAAGATAAAAGTGAGTGTCTAACCCAAAGCCATAGGTTTTTAAAAATCCCATCACCTAATATTTTGGCATGTGCAGCATCACACATGTTTATAAGTGACAGATATTTAAAATTTTCTTATGCAATACAGGGAGGTTACAGATTCACTAAAAGAAAAAGTTCTCAGTTGGGACTCTTACAGGGAATGGAAGCCTGGCCCCAGACTGAAAATCTGAACTAATACCAAAATGAATTGTGTGTACAGTTGCCCTTGAAGACATTCTCTTTAAGGCTTTTTTTTTAAGGTTCCCCCATACAGGGTCCCTCATTGCCTGGAAGCACCTGTAAATTGTTCCTAAGGAGCCCTGTGCATACCATGGCCAAGTCTAGTATGGCCTAGGTAGCCAGCCTAAGGGAGTTAGGTTAACTGGGCACAGTAAATGATTCCCTCAGGCCTGACAAGGTTAATATGTCTTTCAAAACCTGGGAACAAGTTACACATGAAACAGGAAAACTGCCAATATTCTTCTAAATACATTCAAATAGTATCCAAATATTGCCAAGTTCACCATAAGTGAATAGTATCTCTATCATCTGATGGGGAGTGGGGAGAGGGAAGCTCTAGAGTTAAATGAATTGCCTCATTTGCAAAACAAATCACCAAACCATGTTGCTTGAATATGCTTTACATTTTTAAGACAGCATGGAAATAAACATTTCCAGTTTACTAAAATGCTTCTTGCCTCTGTTCAAAGTAATCTCTGGTTCCCCCACAGAGCAAAATCCCCATATTCCTAGCACCCATTGTCGTTAACATATACTATGCACACTAAGGAAAGTTTTCAGGAACAAATTTAGAATTGTAAGTCCATAACGTAAGCAATCAGACCTCTGAAGGGGCCTCTGATTTTTCATATGTTATTTGCCAGGGATATAACAAATTAATATTAGAGTTATGTTGGATTATGTTAATACTTTTATTACCTGCCATGTTGTATTGATTTATTTAAAGTAAGTATTTTATGTTTTTTTATATATCTTCACTATGTTACTGTATATGCGTATGTACCCGTACAGCACTCACTTCTGTCTGTGTTCCTTGTAGCACTCTAAGCCTGTCCTTGGGATTAGTCAGCCAAAGACAGCATGGTCTTCCATCTTAAAGGAAGTAGTCAAGAGGGGGAAAAGAAGGTCAGCCTCAAGTATTTTAATCTTGTTTTAATGACCAAAGTCATTTCAGGGCTGCAGTGATACACGTAGTCATTGGATTGAGGGAAGAATAGTCCAAGTCAAGAGTCCACTGGAAATAGAAGAGTGAGGCTGGAGCTGTGAGCAGAGGTGCAGCCTTCTTCAGAAAGCCATGCTAGGCTCCATTCTCGCAATTGAATAGCTGCACGGTTGTGGATGTTGTATACTGTTTGTGAGAGAGAATTTTCAAAGTTTAAATCCTTGAACACTTCTGGAGTCTCTCTTCATCCTCTGGAATGTGGGGAGCAGGCTGTGGGGATCTGACCCAGGAGGTGGGTACACTTCCAAAGGCCTTTTCGTGATCTGAAGTGCGATCCAGAGATGCACTGCACCATATTTAATTTGTGTTAACCTCCCCACCTTTCCCCATCTTTTAACCCAGACAGACTGGACTTTTTAGTTACTTAGGTTATTATTGGTGGTGGTTTCTGTGTTTGTTGGAGGAGGGAGTTGAGTTGGAAGTTGGGAGTTGTGGAAGTTGAATTGGAAGGAGTGAAAAGTAGAGTCCACCCCCTTCCCCCGAGTGTATTGGAGAGAAACATCCTTCCTTGGTCTGTTTGCTTTGCAAGGGTGTCCTTTGATGAGGTCTTTGTCCTAGGCACCCACTGAAGTCTCAGTGTACTCAAGCTTTAGAAAAGCCTATTGGCCCTTCTTTGTTTTCTTTGTTGAACTGTTTATTTTGCTTTCTTCCCATGAGGTTCCCTGGCCTTGCTCTGACAACGCTTTTCTGCATGAATTACATTCCTCCGAGCCACAAGTCTCCTAATTCTTCCAGTCCATTTGATTCCGGCCTGTGTGATTAGTCCATGGCTTCGATCCGCTGTGGGTCTCTGCCAAGCAGAGTGCTTGCTAAGTGCCCCTAACGTGGAGACCTAAAGACATTTTTTAACCTCATTAGTGAGGAGAGTAGTGCTTCATTCTAGTTTAATAACATGGCTACTCGAATCATTACTAGCCTTAAAATCAGTGAAAGAGGCTACTAAGTCATTTGGTTTTCTTTCAGTGTGAATAAGGCTATTGAAGGAGGGTAGTTCAGGTGTTACACTCAAGCCCAAGTTAGTAACATAAATCATCCCGTGTAGGGTGAGAGGGGAGCCCACTAGCTCCATTTGAGTTAAATTTACATATCTAAAGAATTTCATCATAATTTGCATAAAATGGATTGCCTTATGTATAGAAATAATGAACAACAAAAACAAAATTATTCGAGTATCTTACTATAACCACTACATTTTCTTGTACATATGCTATTTTTTGAAGCATGGTTTATGACTGGGACAGAAATGAACAGCTGATAAACTTATGAACTATGTTTTTAACTCTATTAACAAAGAGTAAATATTTTATTCTTTAATGCATTATACCCTCAATGTAGATAGTGGTAAAACATTGTGATATAGCTTGACAAAATTCAGCTGTCTTAAAAGCAAAATTCTTATGAAGGGTACATTCAGTTGTTTTTACTTGCTTTTTTGTGCATGAGAATTTCTACTCTTAACAAGCAGGTGGGGTGCATTGTAGCTAACCAGGGGTCTGCATTTATTGATAATGTACCTGGGAGCAGTTTTAATAATAATTTAAAAGTATTAAATAATAATATTTAATTAATATTAAAATAATAATTTTAATAAATTATAAATAAAATATAATTTTTATAAAATAAAAATAATAAAAAAGAGGACCAAAAAGTTTGTCAGGAATGATTGAACACACAGTCTGTGATGAAAATGATACAGTATAAATACTTATTTTTAACACAGAAGCTCTTCCTTAAAGAACTGGGGAAGTACCAAGCAGTGGGGTCAGGGCCTGGTTTCATTGGTATCCTCTTCTTTTCTTGCTGGGCCTGGCTTGAACGAGGCTTCTTGGGGTCTGACCTCTGTGAGCCCCCAATATGGCTGTGCATCATTGGAGCACAGACGTTATTGTGAGGCTCTCTGCCTGTGTTCCATTTAGCAAATAAACACTTCACTGTACAGGATCAAGCTGCTTCTTCACAGAGGGAGGATTTATCAGGAAGATGGGAGTTAAACCTCTTTTGGCTAGAAAAGGCACTTCCTGCTTGGAGTGGGCTCTGCAAACAGAACCCCCAGTGAGCTGAATTGCAGCTTCCATAATACTTCCTGCGTAACACAGCTAAACATCCCTCATGAGTGTGACTGGATTATGGCTTTGCTGAATAGTTCCTTTGAGCACATCCCTTCCCCACCCAATAATATGTTGGTTACATTCACCCATGACAATGCTATTTGGTTGGGTTTCAAAGTGTAATTCCAGCAAACTCAAACATAGTGCTGTTGGCACATGGCTTCTCATGATCATCTTCGTAAAACAAGTTAATCATCTGTTTTCATAATACATGTGGACCTCAGTGAGGTTCCATTCTCAACTCTACCACAAGTTAACCGGATCCTTGAGCACTTTCCGTCATCTCTGCAGGCCTTGTTTTCATGTACAAAATAAATTAATTAAATGATCTTTAAGATCCTTTCTAGTTCTTAACATTTCATGATTATGGAAAAATTTAAATTTGTTCGTTGTTTTTTCCTAGAGTGTGGACACTTACAAGGGGATTCCATGAAAATATTGTGGCCCTGACACATGCATGCCCACATGCCATTTTTCTCCCTAAGCCATAAAGTTTGTTGCCTGCACTTTCCTTATGTGAAGCTCTGCTGAAAAGTCTTGCCTGAATGGTGGTCATACTTCCCTCATTACTCTTTATACTCTGCAAGTGACACTTTGTGTATACTGCAGCCACCAGTGTGACCTGCCATGGCACTACAATTTGAACATCAATTTAAATAGATTCCCTTTGGAAGTTAAGGTAGCTAGATAACCATACCATCCTTTTCTATTAAAAGCCTCAATAATGTTAAAAATGTAAGTGTAGGCATACATGCACATGTGTATCTGGTTTGGGGCAGTTTTTCTTTGGGTTTAAAAACATAGACTTTGAAGCATAGACTGGGTTTGAATTCAGCTCAGATACTTACTGTCAGATTACTGAATCTGTCTAAGCCAGTTTCACCATTCAATACCATTTTATATCAAGGATTCAGCAAAGGAGCATATATATAGCACTTAACACAGTGTCTGTCACAGCATAGGTATTTGACGAATGGCAGGATTGCCTACTACATATCTATCCCCATATTTAAATCATCTATTCTAAGTAGTACATCCCTTTTTCCATCTTTTAACATCTCTGAAGTTGGGATGTATTTTACAATCTATAGTGTTTTACAATTGCTTATTGGTGAAGTGGCAGTCATGAGGAAGTTCCAGGTATCTTTTAATAAAATAATTTTGCTTATATTTCCCTTTTTTGTACATGTGCTGGAATGATACATGTTTAAAAAATCTATGTCTGAATAATTCTAAAAGAGCTCTTTTAATAAGTAAAGTAAAAACCAAAAGTGATAGGGAACCATTATCTTTTTTTAGTGGTATCTAACACAATTTTGCACCTTTAGATCAGTAACATCTTAGAGTTGAGGATATGTAGTATGTCATATGTATTTGTGTGTGTACGTATGTATTTGGTCAAAAAATTGATTCATTGTCAAGATTTTTTCCCCTGAGAGCCCAGCCACATTTTCCTAAATGTTACAATAATGGACCTAGTTGCAAGAATGTAAAGTTAAAAATGTAAAGAGAATGTTTTCAAAATGCTATAGCTGCCTAAACCTTGCAAAATGAAAAACGAGCACTTCTTCAGCTTGGAACAGTTTATAAAGGAGGCAAGCATGTGTTGTGTGATGGTTATGCTGGTGTATTTGTGCAGATGCATAGCACAGGCTCTGAGAGGGTAAGACTTCATGATTAATGGTGTTTATTCTTGACAGAAGCCTCCTTTATTTATCTGCAATACAGTTTAGCGATTTTATCAGGCACCTGAATGAAAAATATTCAGTCATACCAATATTGCAGTGTAAATTGAGGAGAGTCACTTTTTATTATATCTTTCTGCCTTATCATCTGCACAGTAATTTTCTAGCAGAGGTTTGATATGGAAAGGCTGGATTTAGCTGTACTTGACACAAAGCCTCTTCAATTTCTCCTAAAAGTTCAGGCTGCTCTTAGAAATGTGTGTGTGTGTGTGTGTGTGTCTGTGTGTGTGTATAATATATAAACCTTCTCTCTTATCCAAGCAATTTCAGGATTTGAAAGAATAAAGATAAAATGCACAAACCTGGATGGGAGAAATGTTGTTAATATAAAAATAGCTGTGAACTCACTGGTAAAAGCTCCTTTAGTGTTGAAGCTTGTGGCTCAGTACTGAACCTTTTGCAAGGCTACGTGGTCCCACTTTCTTCTAATCAATCACCATCCAAATCCAGTTAGCATAAAGCCAGACCCTATCGTTTCTCCTGGGAGTAGTATCAAAGTTGAAGACCACAGTGGCCCAGAGAGGACATAAGTTGCTGCAATGATTGTGATGCTATTCTCGAGAAAGGAAAAAGAAAAGAGTTCTCATTTGTAGGATACTCAAGTGATGGGTCACTAAATTTTAAACAAAAGTGTATTCAAGCAACAGACTTTATAACATGGTCAAAGCTAAGCAATGACAGACAGGGGAATATGGTTTGAATCATAGAAAGCACTGGATTTTAGGAACAAATGGGGCCTTAAACCTTGTGAGTAGAATGGAGATCATCTACTCCAAAGCTTCTCATTTGACAGATGAAACAGTGAGGCTCAAAAAGCTGTTTTTGATAAGACCATGGTCCTGTGCACAGGTTTTCCAAGGGTAATATGAACAAGTAATTCTTGCACATCATAGACATTTCCAATCAGATGAATCTCTCCTCCTTTATGGTACTGGAAGACTTGCTTTCTCTCTGAAGAAGGAACTGCAGAAGGAGACTTTGTAGCTCCTTGTTAAGTAGCCAGACTCATTTTCAGTCCTCCATGATGCTGTTCTCTACGTCTTGAGCAAAGTTCCCGAAGGCCATGATAACAAGACCCCTAAGAAAAGTATCCCCTTATGTAGAAGTTGATGCTGCTTTTCTGTTGAATAATATAGACAAATTGTTCCCCATCACTACATACACTCTACAGTACACTACATATACTCCTTTTCCATATGTAATTTAATTTTGAAAAGTTAACACCCTCCAAGGGGATAAAGTTCTGAAATATTGAGAAGTATGCTTAGGACATAAAGCCTTAGTCTCATATAGTAGTCCTACAAGCTCTACTTCCAGTTACATCTAAAGAGCCTGCCACTTCAAAAGGGCTCACTTTTTTCACCTTTATGGGACCAATGGCCCTAGCAAACCTTGAAGATTTTATTCTGGAGGAGAGTTATTGAATCACTAATGATAGTTCCTTGTTGGACATCTCTATATAACTTAAAATAAAGGTGATTAAAAGAATCAGGGGAAGTAGGAGTGAGATGTCAAGGTTCAAGGGATAACTCAAAAAACAGACTAGTTAGTAGTTAACAGTAATAATAATTATGATGAGGATGATGATGATACTAATATGGAAAAAGTCTTTATACTAGCTAGAAGATGAGACTACTGTTGATAAAAGATTCATTCTGATTCTTGAGGTAGCCTTACTGTCTTCTTGGCTCAGAATTCTAGGTGCTTCCTGTCTTTGTTATAAATATCCTCTATAACACCTGCCACCAGACCCAAGATTAAGCAAGGATTAAATAGTTGGAACCCAACTTCCTGTTTTCAATTAATTATATCCACCTAGTACCTGAAGTCCTCTGAGGGGAAAGTTCTTGCTTGAATAACAGATTCTGCCTTAGTGCTGCTGAGACTTTTAAAGTAGCTGTTTACCTTGAATTGTTGAGATTTCCATGTAAATGATACAAACATGAGCTGGTTTGTTTGTAAACAGATCTAACTGAGTCTCTTGTATGTATGTTAGAGTCATTTTCCCTTACACTTGATGTGTATTATGGCTCAGACTCAAAAGTTTCTGCTAAAGGAAATCATGATGGATAAGTTTCTGCATTGTTGGAAAATGTAACACCTATACAAACAAATGTCACTTATCCCAGGAGTTTTCTAGGCACAGTTAGTTCATCATAGAGGGACTTAGTTGTTTGAGGAGCCATTCTTTCTACACTATTGGGTGTCAATATTTTTCTATTTTGCCTTGTATTTTCTTTTGGAAAGGATATTATTTTGCCTATTTGAGTATTGTTTTTGAGATGGAATTGGTAATTCATCAAATTACAGAAAATAGGATTGGTAGAATTAATGGAAAATAGAGAGGAAAGTCACAGAAATCAAACTGATTAAAAAATTTTTGTTTTCTCTATCTCTAAAGACAAAAGTTTTTATTTTTTTTCTTCATGGCAATGAAGTTGCTGAACTAAAACTACAGAATTATTATGCTCTTGAATTTACTTTGAAGAAAAAAAATCCATCATCTTAACTAAGGTAAATCAAATCGCTTAATCTATCTGTTAGGAGAAAACATGAGATGGGTGCGCCTAAGTAATGCCGAAGTGACATCATAGCTGAACTCACCCGGCCACAAACAGCTCACTCCCTATCAGGTCCTTGAGGGAAATCAGTACTCAACAAGGCAACGGAAGCCAGGTGACTTTGGCCTTAACCAACCCAGAGCTCTAGGAATGGCAGCAGCAGCAGGAATGAAGGTGTTGGTTGTAGGGGCCAACATTTACTGAGAATTTACCATGTGACAGTCACCAGGCTACATGCTTTCTGTATACTTCCCTGTTAAAAAGGAAATGGTACAGTGCTGCCGCTTCTCTGTCTGGGCTTAAGTAGCTGGAGAGCAAAGCAGGCTTTTAAGGATCTAGTTCACCCAACAGGCAAACCTAAGCCCAAGACCTTGCAACTGGTGTATAGAACAGCTTACTGAATGCACACTTCCAGGTATAGGGAGCAGGAGAGTGAGACAGAAGGAAAGACTCCTTTGATCCTCTGGGCCTGGCTGGATTGGCCTCTGCCGTGGCCTGCTCCACTGGAGGAAAAGGGACTACCCAAGGGAAAAAGCTTGGCTGATCAAAGGTAACCACTTGTTATCTTAGGGGAAGAGGAGAGGAAAGGACAGCATCTGTGTGCTTTCTTAATGCAGATCAGTTAGGAAACTGTCTAGAAAACAGAGCCCCATCAGATGTCACAGAATCCAACCAATGAGAGCAGCTCTCCATCGCCCATTCAACATGGCACCTAGGTGGTAGGAAAAGAATTGCAACTGGACATATGAATGTCTCTTTTGACAGCGACAGCTGTTTCCTCATCAAGGTGGTACTTCTGTGGACATTGTAAAGATGGACATAGCATATTAGTTCTTCTAATAATGAATTATATTTATTTTTATTATATTAATTAATTTATAATTTGTAATTAAGAATTATAAATGAATATTATATTCATTTATACTTATTAATTCCACTTTATATTTATATAATACATACATTATATAATAAAACATTTTATATAATAGTTACTGGTTTTATCCTTCTTACCAACTCTAGTAATCAGGGGAAGAAGATAAGAAAATGTCTTTCATTTATTAGACATTGCAGAAACAAGGATACCTTTGCGTGAACTATTTGGACTCCATTTGGAGGACAAAAAAGTCTGCTAAAATAATAATTTAATATATAATGTGTATTCATGGAATTAAAATATTTAAAACATATGTTATTTAAAAACAAGTTGTCATCTGCCATTTGGTTCAGGTACGCTCTTTTCTCCACTTCTTTTTCTCTTCTGTTCTTAATTCTAAAATGTGAGAAACATACATTGAGCTCTCTTTAAACAAAAGTTAGTGGGATAGAACGCAGTCCCATGCTATGAGATGTGGTCATTTAGCTCTCAAGTACTTATTTGAACCAGCAGTATGTTCATTAAGATCTCTTTTTAATAACAGTGCATTGCATGTTACAGTGGCTGGAATGGACTTTCTTTTTAATTCTTTGACCTTGAAATTTTAATTTATTAATGAGTTATATTTACAGTACAGAGTAGAGACAAATTTGGCACATTGTTCTTTGCAGTCTTTCCTGGAAGGAATGAAATCAATTTTAGCTATAAACAATTGCACTGCTCTTGTACAGTGATACTTGTATAACATTGTTTCAGTTGTTGGAAGAACATGACTAACATGTATTTGTTTGGCTTCTCTCTTCACAAGAAGCTCCTTTGATTGGCTTAGCGGTAGCCCCTGCCCCCTCCAAAGTTAATACACAGATGTCCACCTTCCATAGCTTACCTTGAATTTAGACTAATGTGTCAGCTAGACTATTTTTGTTTTATAGCAGTAGATATGTTATTATTTATGTTACCTTTAAAGCATCAATATTTTGTAAGTTTTGAGAAATAAAAATGTGTATCAATTTGATTTTCTGAATTTAATTGAAATGGTTGAAACCACTGTGGGAAATCTCGATGTATTTGGC